>NC_000014.9:33248076-33551106 GCF_000001405.40 Homo sapiens
AAATGACTGCAAGTGATAGCTTTTTACTGAAGCAAATTCACAGTGATACAACTGCTTACCTTTTCACAGTGACACTTATTAGAACTTATGAGAATCATAACAGATAATCTCTTCCTAAAGGCAACATAACTTTGTATCAGCTGCAGGATTGTGTATGTTGCTGGCAAGGTCTGTAGTCTGTCTTGTTTAGTCTGGACACTGCCACGTTGGCTGTCATAAAAACAATTTAAAATTCTTACCGGTATGTTAAACAGCCTCCAATTCTTTTCATGATTCATAATTTTGGATGTTCTAATCTTTAGCAGAGAGATTTAAAATTGATTATGAAATGTATATTTTTATTCCAGTGTTCACTTGAAATACACAAGTTTTTCACTTCTTCTAATTCCCCATTCAGTATTTTGCATGGTTAAAGTATGAGTGTAAAAATAGTAGATTTTTTAATGCTTTTGTATAGGCTCAGGAGAGTCTTTCTTGCTATATCTAGCTGGAAAGGTAATGAACTGTAAAATATGTTGAAATGATTGGAGATTAAAAATCTCTGGTGTGTAGTGACAGTGCAATTATATTCCACAGTAAAGGTTTCATGTATTAAGAGTAATAAATAAAACTTATTTTTCCCACTGTGATTGGTTGTCACCATCATAATGATAGCTTTGACCTTCTTCCTCTTCAAATGTCGTTAGTCTGTGACCAAGCAGTCAGGCTACAGCAAGATGCTGTGAAAACCTAAGTTTGAAGTCAGATTTCAATAAAACAATTCTTACAAAACCACAGCCGTGAAAATCTGAGAGCACAGTAGATGACTTTTGGAATTCTGCAAATTGTGTTGCTTTTTCAGTGTGGCATACATACTTTCTTCATGTTATTCTTTGACTCCTGTTTCAGGAGTTGGGTTATGTTTAGAATTGGGCTTAAAGTATTGACTGTATTTAAACATATACCATGGAAGTAAATTGACCCTACTAGCTTGCAGTCCCTCCAAGTCAGGCTCAAATTGCTGACTGACATGTCTGAGGAAATAAGTTAAATAAAAATTTAAATCTTTATAGAGACTGTTAAAATTTTCGAAGATTAGAACAGTACTCATTTTTATTGAGTAAGTAGGGCAGGGGATTTAAGATTATGTAAACACTACTTATTCTTACTTTTTGCCTTTTTTCCAAAGCGAAGTCAATAGTCAAAATTATTTCAAAGAGTCAAACTGAAGAACATAGTATTCTTCAGTTGGTGCTCATCCACTTTACTCCATTTTAATTCCCGTCCCCCCCACCTTTTTTTTTTTTTCTTTCCTAACAGTCTCATCTGAAATGTGGATGTCATGGAATGCCTTCAGTGCAAGACTCCTGAATAGCACTGGGCCATATTTATTCATTAGAATTATGTGCCATTTTGTCTCCCTTTCCTGTTAAGCCTCATTTGTCTGTCTAAAAGGTCAAAGGAGCAGCTGCCTCTGGGGCTGACCTCTATGCACCTCTATTGTTTTGCTCTTTCAAGGATACTAACTCTTTCCTTCTTCCTGGGGACCTGCAGGATTGTCTTTTCAAAGCATTTACTCTTTCTTAGGTCAGGGAGCAAGAAGGAGAACCGCTTACATGTTCCTGTAATCCCTGCCGCTTTACAGTTCAGTTTTGTCATCAATTGCCATCTGGATGAATTGATGCTGCGTTTTAATGATCTCACAGTTCACAAGTGAAATCAGCAAATAATGGATACATTTGTACCACTATTTGAAAACCTTGCGTTTATGCTTTTTGAATGCTTACTACACTGGGTAACTGCATCAAACTCAGTCCCTCTATTGTAACGCGTTTGGAAGCAAATCTGTCATACACACACACACACACACACACACACACACCCCTACATACACATATAAAATTGTTACTGTTCGATCCCCACTTTTAATAAGAATGGGAGTTTGGCAGAGCATTTGCTACAAACAAGTGGCCACTTACTCCAAATTTCTGTGAACCCAAATAATCAATAAGAAACTCCTTTACTTTACAGGAACTTTGCAGTTACATCGGGGTAGGTAGATAATGAGAGTGAAGCATTGAAATGTGCCTAAATAACATGCTGTTACAAGCCTTATGATAGATTTGTGTTTGACTTAACAGCTTTTGGAACCTAATAAAAAGAACTTAATTGACAATTTCTTGAAATTGCTAAGAAAACCTAGTGATGTTGGTAGGGTATAATAAGGAGTTTCTCATTGCTGTCTTCAAGATTGAGCCTACACATACAAAAAAAAAGAAGGAAAAAGAGGATTTATCTCTGTGGTAACTCTAAGTAATTGATATACAGACAAGGTTTGGTTCCAATTTGCCAGCAATAAAGTTGTAATAGGGTTTTCTCTGCAATTTTAGCCTTAATGTGCTCATTCCAAAGAGCGGTATTTTTCCAAGCGAACAAATAACATCAGTAAAGCTTACGATCAGTAATAGCCCCACACTGATGCTCGCATTAAACTTGTTAAATCAATTCGCTAGACACTTTCTAAAGTGGACTGTCTGTTTACTTTGACTTGCACCCTATGTGGAGGATCCATCAGTTATATTTATTTGAATGATCTTTACATTCAAAATTGGTAATTATTCATGCTTGATTGTGGTTATGAATGATCCTCTTTTTTTCCTTCCTCTTTTGTTTTACGGTTGCTCATTTTTCAGCCTTTGGTGTTTGAAGTATAGGAATGTTTGAAGTATAGGAATGAGACCAACTACTTGAGTAGGGTTATTTTTTCCTCTCCAAAAATTCATGTGCATACTTGGTTGCATAAATACCATGGATAATATCTTTTATAATAACCTACCCTTATTCAGAAGGTCTTGTTACTCTTGAAACAACCAAACAAATGCACAAATAGATGTATTTATACTTCTCAAAAGGGGTATAAATTCTAACTGTATTACCAAAGGTAAAATACAGTATATATTGGGCATGGAAAATGTTGGACCAGAAACAGATAGCTGGTGTTCTAGAAAGCATTTTTTGGAGGTAGGCAATCTACTAACCCTGCTCATTTTTCATTGGAACAAGCTAAGCCTGCTACTGCATGCTGCCTTTTGTCAGTAAACACAAAGAGAAATCTGAAGCCATCAATCTCGCTTATCAGTACTACTCAGTGTGATTCTTTTCCTAGCCGTTTTCCTTTTTCTTTTCTTATACAGAACTTCATTTTTCCCAGTGTCCTTTCACTTTGTCTGTGAATGAGTTAAGGGGTCAGGTGGGTAAAACAAAATTAATGCTATGTATTTGCAGAATTGTGTATTGCTTAGGGTTGGGTGGGTGTACCTCCATATACAGAAGTCAAATGTGGCTAAGAGGGCATTTTCTGAATAAACTGAGTTGCCTGGTGATGTCTGCACTGGGTATGATTATAGCCACTGTGTTGCTTTCTGTGGCTGGAGCCCAGTGAATGAAAAGGCAATTCCTCTGAAATCATTCCAACTTTTTATGTGTCGTTCATCTGCGTCCTTAATCCAACTGTTTACTTTTTATACTTATCTATATTTAATATTTTTTCTTCTACTGGAAGTGAGGATAGCATACTTTTAAATCAGGTATGTTACATAACAAAAACATTATCTCAGAACAAATATGAAAAAAATCTTTATAATTCAACAAATAGCCTTAAAAGGTATTAAATCACAAAAGCATTATGTCCTTGCTTCAATTTCATATTATTGTAATAATGTTTTATTTGATCACATGGAATCACAGTTCTGTGAAGTAGTCTAGTACCATTATAGGGCTTTAGCTTGCATTCTAAATTGAAATTTTAAAATTTTCCTCTGCTTTCTCTTTTTTTTAGAGGGGACCTGGCCCAATTTATTTCAGACCTTGGTGTTGAAGCACGTTGCAATTCGTTGTCTACGTTTACTTCTTTATTCATGCCCCAGATTCATAATTAAAGAGATAAGTTTATTACTTGTTGGGTATTAGAACCTTTCGTGGGTGTTTGCGTGTGTGTGTGTCTGTGTGTGTGTGTGTGTGTGTGTGTGTGTGTGTGTAATAAACCCATTATGTTAGGATCCACTTCTGTGTTTTTTTAAAAACTCATGACGAGCTATTGTGATTTATCTAGTGACTATGAGCAATTTGCTCATCCCTGTGAGGTATATGAAAACTTTCATGGAATCAGGTACAGCCCATAGGACTGCATTTCTAAGATACCCAATTTTATTTCCTGTGAGTCTGCAAGTTACTCAGATATAGCTTTGGTTCATTATAGAATGATACTCAAATTAATTAGCTGAATGAAGACTCAACTCAGGGTAGATGTCTTCTCTAGGTTTGACTGGTTTGTGTCTATTCATATGTGTGTCTAAGAAGGCAACTAAGGTATTGAGTGACTACCCTGTGCTAGACAGTGTAGTAGGTATTCTTATATATGTTATCTTAATAATTTAATATGCAAAATAACCCCATGATGTAGTGGTTATTCTTTTATTGGTTATTCTTGATTACATTGTCTTAAAGTTTATTAGAGTTGTGCAATCTTCACCTTACTTTTCATTACTATTACATATGTTATTTGATTTCTGAAAATAGTTATCTATTTTTTTTTTAATTTCAGATTCAGGGGGTATATGTGCATGTTTGTTACATGGGTATATTGCATACTGGTGGGGATTGGGCTTCTAGTGTACCCATCACCCAAATAGTGAAAATTGTACCCAATAGGTAATTGTGCAACTCTTGCCCCACTCCCACCCTCCCTTCTTTTGGAGTCCCCAGTCTGTATTATCTATCTTTATGTTTATATGTACCCATTGTTTGGCTCCTACTTATAAGTGAGAACATGCTGTATTTGACTTTATATTTCTGAGTTAGTTCAAAACAGGATAATGGCCTCCAGCTCCATCCGTGTTGCTGCAAAGGGCATGATTTCATTCTTTTTTATGGCCATGTAGTACCATATTTTCTTTATCCAGTCAACCACTGATGGACAGTTAGGTTCGTTCCATGACTTTGCTATTGGGAATAGTGCTGCGATGAACATAAGTGGAAATGTCTTTCTTATATAATGATGTATTATTCTTTTGGTAGATACCCAGTAGTGGAATTGCCGGGTCAAACGGTAGTTCTGTTTTCAGTTTTTTTGAGAAGTCTTCATGCTGTTTTCCATAGAGGCTGAACTAATTTACATTCTCAACAGTGTATAAATGTTCCCTTTTCTCCATGTCCAATGATGTGGTTATTGTTTTCTTTTTTTAGAGACAAGGAAAGTGAGGCACAGAGTGATTAAACAACTTTTCTACTTAAACACAGCTAGTAACTGAAGGAACCAGAATTAAAACTCTCATCTAGTAGATTCCCAAGCTAGTGATTTTTATTTAGCACACGTCAGTTTTTAGGGAGTAAATTACTTTCCCATTATGAGAAGCAGCTCCTCACAACTGATTTCCCAATGGTAATCAAGCTTCCTGGGTTCCATTTCCTATGATTGCCCACTCTGCCAATTTTCACCCTGCTTATTACTACCTTATTTATTTTTGGTACTTTTCTCTCTTGTGCTCAAATTATCATTTTTCCTGGTTTTATGCCTTCCATGATGAGTCACCCATTATGTTCCTTAATGGACTTTATGTCCCCCATATGTCCTTAAATATAAACATGTCCCTGGTTTCTGTTACTCTGGCATGCCTTGACTGGGTGATCTCATTCTGTTCTGTGGTTTTACCCACTACCTAATTATTCATGGCAGTTCTGTACCCCTACTTTAGATTTCTCTCTGGAGTTCTAAGTCTTGATGTTCAACTCTATTGTGCATTTTGCCTCGATCTGCCATAGGCTTCTCAAATTCAAAAGGTTGGATGCTGAACTCAGTATCATCTAAAACCCAGTTCTCCTCCCATGTTGGCTAGCTAAGTAGAAGAAATCACCATCCACCCAGCTACCCAAATATAAACTGGGAAGTTAACCTCACATTCTACTTCTTATTCAAGTTGGCTAGATCAGCTCTTCTCCATCCTCATCCTCTCTGCTTTACTTAAACCTATCATTATTTTCTCATCTGACTGATGTTGAAGACTGACTGGGGTCCTCGCATGCAGTCTCTCCTCTCTCCTACCCATCCTCAATTCCAATTTTCCATGTAGCAGCTTCCATAGTCCTCCGTGGCCTTCTATAACCTAGAATTTATCTGTTTTCCCAGCCCCATCTGTTAGGATTTCTGTCCTGTCTGTCCTAAACTTATATCTTACCTTCTGGCCTTAACACACTTCTCGAAGTTCAAAGAGAATGCTACCTTCTCTTACCTCTTTTGCACTCTATTGAGCAGGATGACTTGGGTTTCCAGTGTCCACTCAGATACTCAGGTGAGGTCTCTTGAACTCCCCATCCTCATTCTTAAGACTTGGATTAGGGGGTCCTTCCTTTGTACTCTCCTATCAGCCTGTGTACATTTTTATTGCTTATTTACGTTTCACCTTCCTCAAGCCTTTTATCTCCTTATCCTCAAAGCCTACGGTAGTGCCTGGCACAGTAGGTGCTCATTAAGTTAATTATGTATTGAAGAATGGCTTAATGTTTCAGGAGAATCACTCTTTGAGGCAACCAGTTATAAAAGCCGTTTATAAAGTTATGTAATACAATAGCTATGAAAAATACTAAAAGGCAGCTAAGCAAACATTGGGGAAAAAGCAAGGAAGGAGCAGACTACAGAATCAGTCACATTTTTCATTGGCCAAAATTCTAGAGGAATTATCAAATATGAAATGACTCGTAACTTGGTTGAAGTTCTTAAATGTCAGAGGTATGTATGAGGAAAACTCTTAATCTTGGGTATAAGTCATAGTGAAAATCTATGGAAATATATATTCATGGACTATGTCAGGAGATGCTATAATATTTCTGGAAACATTGGAGGAATTTGTAAAAAAAAAAACTAGTTGCAGACTGACCCAGTCTTACTTCTTTTCTCATTTCTGGAAAAGTATTAAGGATACGTTGGCCAGGAAAACTTGGAATTGGAAACAGGCCAAAAGCTTGTATGAATAGGAAGTATGCTTTTCCTTGTTCTTGTTCAGTAATATGTTTCTTTCCAACCCTAGCATGTGATGGCTAACATAGCAGGTTTGGAAATAACCCTGTTTTGAAATTGCTTAAGGCTTGTCTTTACTTTGAAAGTAATTTGGATAGTATATGAACAGAATGTTTAGATAAATTAGTAATCAGAAGATACCCTGCCAGTGTTGTTCTTAGGTAATTCTTCTAAGCATGGTGAAACTTTGTAAACATGTCAGCATCTGTAAAACTATTCACTCTCATTTAATTTGCAACTCTTCTGCAAACTAATATATAGAGAAATGAATGCTCAATAGCTGTATTTTAGTACTAATTATAATAATTACGATATGAACCAGACCAACCCGGACTAGAGTATTTATAAATCCTGGACTATTTGAGCTGGAGAGACCCTGTGAAACCACTTAAAGTGTATTTTTTTTCCAAGGCTCAATTGCCAAGTGGGCTATTAGTTTCTTTCTTCTCCATGATTATAGTTTTTGTCCTTAACTTTGGCCAGCTCTCTCATCCAATGTTGGGTAGGGTGACTCAGCCTGGTCTCACCCTGTTATAGATAAACACCTTCAAATGCAGATTTCTGAAGATGGTATAGCCTTAGTCTTGGAAAACCAATTTCACAGTTAAGGTCTTTGTCTCATCCTTCCCCAGTGTCCTGTGTGATGTCTTTCACTAGATGCCAGCAATTAGATGGAATTTATTGAGGATTGATGGTCGACCGATTAACACACCAGGAGAGAGTCTCGTATCTATGGTTTACAAAGGTTCAGGTCAGTAAAGTGGGTTATTGTTAGTTGTAAAGAAAAAATGATGACCTCAAAGAGAGTTGCTCTTTAGGCTAAAAGGATAGCTAGAAATTATTTGTTTATGTAAATTCAAGTATAGAGAGGAATAATTGTCTAAATTTAAAATTACTCATAAAAAAATTTCCTGTTTTGTTAGAATAAGAACCAATAGATTACCATGGTCACTTGTAGGTTTATATTCTAAGTAACATACAGCATTTGTGTAAATATTCATAATTTAGGTAAAGCCTGACCACCAAAGTTGTAGTTTCGTGTAAGAGAACCGGTGTTAAAAGTCATAATAGTTTGTGTGTCACATTATACTTTATAATAGATTTCAATCCCTTAACAACAAAAACAATAAAACCTTATCCATTTTGACTATAGAAATTGATTTCATAAGTGATGCATTTAATCATAGAAAAAGTTTCTTTCTTTCTTTTGAGGGAGAGCATAAATAAATAATTTCCCTCATTTGGATTGGATTGTAATTATTTTGATTGATTTTGTTTCCATAAATTACAAATAGTAATAGGACCCAATTTAAATCTAAGAAATGGTGAATTACTAGTAATTTCACTAATTAGATTTTAAGATCTACCCCAAGCATTATCAATTGCAGTTTGTTCTTAATTTTGTGATGAATTAGAATATAATCCAGGGAGACCCTTTCAAAACAGATTGATTTTGTTTTTGCTTTACACTGGCCGTTATAATGTTTCATTACAAAAACATAAACCTGGACATAAATATGCTAGAACTTCCTCCCCTTCAACCTGAATGTATATCTTAACTGTATTTCCTTCTGTTGTAAACACAATATAATTTTAGACTTACATATTATTAATAGTTTATTACACAATAATTTTGGCTCTATTTTTTCCAGCATAATCTTAATGTCAATATTGTTGACACACTCTGCATTGTTCTTTGAAAGAATAAATGAAATGTGAAGCAAAAAAGTATGGAAAGCTAGACCTGGATGGCTCTTAGCGGTCATTGAGACATCATCCCCATTTTACAGACAGGAGAGCAGACCCCTAGAAGGCAAGGTGACAAAGAGGTCTGGAAGCAGACTTGAGTTCATAAATAGATCCCTCTTCAGACTGAGTTTCAAACATTGGCTTGTGGCTTGGATCCACTTAGAGTTCCTTTCATATACTCCTGGTTAGCTGACTTTCTTTCCCACTGGGCGCCACTCCCAGACATGATTGTTTTCCTGGTAGCCCCAATCCTATCTGTCCCAACCCTCCTTCTTCCTAACAGATGATCTTCTTCCTTCCATCGCCTCCCAGAAACTGATGGTGCCAGGCATGAATGCCATTGGCTTCCTGCTTGCATGTCTGTGGGTATGTCTGTTTGCACCAACGCTTACCTCTTTTCCTCAGGCTTAGGGGAGTCTCAGCTGACCCTTTTCTCTTGGTGCCTTCACCATAATAACTCCAGGGTTCTCCAGGCCTTGGGCTTTATTCCTTTAATGAGTCCCTCTTTGGTAATTTCCGTTCCCTTTCTCCCTGGACTTACCCTACCATAGCATTTAAAAAGCTCTTTAGTCCTTGAAACAGACCTAAAATATGGAGATGCTGGTGAAATACCTGTATTCAGTAAGTCTAAGGAGTTGAATTTATTCAATTTGACTAAAAGCTGTATCTACATACAAGTGTGCTGACGGGATTGCTTTTTGTTCAAATGAAGAAGAAAGTGTGCCATAGGAGTAGATCACTTTTGAAAATATTAAATAGTGTAAGGTACATTTAAGTTCCTCAAAACATCTTCTGTGCATTACCACTGAATGTGACTCTTTTCCACAATTCACCATTAACAGGTCACTCCAGGGAAAGACAGTTTATGACAATAAAAGTTACTCTCATTTCCATACCCCCAAGAATAACTGTGCCTTTTTGTCTTTTAATGTGTGTTTTCCTATTATATTACAAAGGAGAAGTGCCACAATACTATTTCAAGGGTATATTTTATGCCAGTAATCATAAAGTAATCATTTTAGATTATACTTGGCTTGATTTCACTTTTGGGTGGTATGATAGAAAGATTATATCTCAAGAGATTTAACCACATTTTATAGAACTTCCTAAATTCAGCAGAAATATGAGGCTTATTTTGGCTGACACTTCCGGAGAGTAGCACAGCAAAGTAATTGAGAACAATAAACTTAATATTTTATTTTTGCTGCTAAGGTACTTATGAAATTAAGAAAGTTAGGCTAGGTGCAGTGGCTCACACCTTTGTAATCCCAGCACTTTGGCAGGCCGAGGTGGGCAAATCATTTGAGGTCAGGAGTTTGAGACCAGCCTGGGCAACACGTTAAACCTCCATATCTACTAAAAATATGAAAATTAGCCCAGTGTGTTGGCACACACCTGTAGTCCCAGCTACTTGGGAGGCTGAGATGGGAGAATCAGATTGCTTGAACCTGGGCGGTGGAGGTTGCATCAAACTGAGATCACACCACTGCACTCCAACCTGGGTGAAAGAAAGAGTGAGACACTGTCTATAAAAAAAAGTTAAAATGCCTGACTTGATAGTTTGCCAAGTTCTTTTAAGGGAGTAGTAGCAATTTAAAGTAGACGTAGTGTTATGTTGTAGGATTAGCTTTGTCCTTTCCAAATGAGTAAAGCTAATGTAGGTGGGGCTATGGAAAGCTGAAGAAAAGAATTCTTTAGTGATTCATTAGAATTGTCCATACATTGATGTGAAATACATACAGCTAATTGCTTTGATGTTGTGAGTATTCATAGGACCTAATCTGATCACAAGGGCATGTTGACTTCATCTTATGACATGCCTGAGTCCTTCATGGGTCATCCTCGTATTTCCTCTTTACCTCTCATTATAAATCTTCCAACTAAGTCTTATTTGAATGGAGGAAAATACTCATTTTTATCATAAATAGCTGTAGCTCTTTTGTTTGTTTGTTTTTGAGATGGAGTCTCGCTCTGTCACCAAGGCTGGAGTGCAGTGGCGTGATCCCTGCTCACTGCAAGCTCCGCCTCCCGGGTTCACGCCATCCTCCTGCCTCAGCCTCCCAAGTAGCTGGGACTACAGGCGCCCGCCACCATGCCCAGCTAATTTTTTGTATTTTTAGTAGAGACGAGGTTTCACCATGTTAGCCATGATGGTCTCGATCTCCTGACCTCGTGATCCGCCCTCCTCGGCCTTCCAAAGTGCTGGGATTACAGGCGTGAGCCACTGCACCTGGCCAAATAGCTGTAGCTCTTTATACTTAGGAAAGAATTGCCTTCACTCTGGAATCTGATTTTCTATCAGTTTGCTGAGAATGTTGCCTTTTATCCCCCAGGTTCAGGGTTTGAGCTTTATGGTTCCTAGTTCTGTCTCATCGAAACATCAGCTATGATTTTTTATCTCCTTCCGTCCATTTTATTTTTTTTTCTCTGTAGAAGACTACAACAAAAAGTGTCACTGACCACCCATTTCTAATTTTCCAGCTTATTAGATGATTCACAAACTAAACTACCAATCAAATCCTTGGCTTACCGATGGAATAGAAATATGGTCTTTACTTTTATGATTTCACTTAAAATATTTTCTAAGTGCTTCTTTTTTTATTCCTGATAGCTATTTCTTATACAGATAAAATAAACAAAACATAAGCATAAATTATAATCGCACTCAATATTCACAGTAACCCTGAAATTCATATTAAGGAAAATGGGTGATAGGCAATGCTGAAAAATATTTTGAGGGGGAGACATATTGTAAGTCATATTTTAATAGATTTTGTTCATTTTATTTTTAAAGGGAAGACTCAAACTGTAAAGTGGGGAAGAAAGAATAAGTAAGGGCATGAACCCTTGTCTATAGACACAGCATGGTGCTTGTGACAGATGCTGAAAATGCCATCTTTAGAATCAGATAAAAACCAGTTTGACCACAACTATGTGTTTATTTTAAAATATGAAAATAAATAATAAGCAGCAGCAGCATCTTTTTTTTTTTTTTGAGAGAGCAACATCTTAACCATGAAATCAGATATGAATCTGATTGACTCACTCAGTGGGGATATGAGAGCCAAAGAGGAGGAAACGAAATCACAGGGGAGTTGCCCTGAACAGACATTGGGGGCTGGATCAAATGGGCCAGGTGGTCGGACACCCAAAAGCCTATTGCATGCAGCCGGCATTTTGTTGGCCCTGGCAACTTCATAGCGTGACCATCTTACGTGTATATAAGTTTTTCCCAATGGCTAATGTCTGACTTTCACGTTTCTTTATCCCAGCCACTGCTTCTCCCAAAGGAGTAACGTTACTTCTTTGTTATGAGATGAGATTCTTAGATCCTTATGTTTGTACCTTGATAGAGTAAACTTAGATTTTTGAACATCTGGAAATGATTTGTTGGTATATACTTAGATGAGTTAAACACATCTCTAAAAAGAAAGCCTCTCTCCCTGGTCAACTTTTTCTTCTTTGTTTTCCTTTCCTTTTTTTTTTTAAGTTTGGCCACAGTTCACTTTCGCTCCTGTCATTCTACAATAGCCATTCAAGTCCAACCAAGTCTTACACTGGAGTTATGCTAAAGCTCATCATGCACCCGTACATTTTTATGCAGCAGGACTCAAATTAAGTTTTTCTTTTCTTCCAAGTAGATTGCCTCTTCAGTTTTCTGCTGCTACTTTTTCAATCACCTGGGCTTGAAATTTGAGAATCATCAGCAGCAGATCATTTGCTATAACATCTAATCTTTCAACTGGTATTTTTATCTACACTATATTTCAGAATTTTTTTCTTCTGTTTCTCACCGATAACAGTTTTGTCCTGGTCTTCCTCATTTCCTGTCTGTACAAACCAAATATCATTCATCTAATCTCTTTAACCTCTCTCTTCTGTCCCTCTTACAATCTGTATAAACACTTATTGTAGCTTAATAATCCTAACAGATTTCTTCTTCTTGGTCATTTTTTCTTTCCAGAAACCTACAATGACTATATTTTGCCTGTTGAATGAAGTCAGTTCATGATACTTACAAAGATAATCCTATGTTTATATAGCCTTTCAGAGTTTTCAAAATATTTTGAAATCCCCTACTCATTTTTGTCTTCACAGAGTAGAAAGTACTGTTTCTCTTTTAAGCATGAAGAAAACAGTACAGACACCTGTCATCAGCCTGCTTCATACCTTTGCATGTATTTCTCTTCCTGCTTAGAATACCATCTTTCCTTTCTTTTGTTTATTTCAATGCTAGCAATTCTTCAACAACCCATGTCAAATACCACCTCTTCAGTGAACGTTTTGTCTGTTGATTCTCTGTAGACAGCATTCTTTATCCTTGTTCCTGAGTTGGTCATATTTTCTCAGTAAAATACTGTTTTAAAAGAATTTAATCAAATGGAATATTTTTTAAAGAATTCTCAGCTCTTTAAGCTTTTATTTAAAAAAAAAAAGAACTCATTTTCCCCTTAATGTGACTTTTTGGGCACTTGTATAAGCTATTCTGATTGTCAAATTGGTGTTAGGAATTGGAGACAAAGGTTAAATTAGACTCTGCTAGACACTTAGAACAACTCCAATACTTTATGGCAATGAACATCCATTGTACATATATTTAAAAGATAGTAACTCTTCAGAAAAACAATTATACCAGTAAAAAATATATATGTATTTATTTTTATATGTACACTATTCACAGTTTTAATGTTGCATTTAAACATTTTCCTCAGTTTAATATTAAGGGGTAGTATTTTGACTCTTTTAGGTATTCAGAATCTAAACCTGTTAAGTAACTGGCAAGTTAACATTTCAGATCATCATAATACAAAGTTTGACATAACAATTTTATGTGTCAAAGTAATTTTCCTCCAATATACATTTTCCATGTAAGAAGTTAGGTAGTTTTATTTCTATTTTAATGTAATAGAGTTTGAAATTCACACATCATTTTATCCTAAAGCAATGTGAGGAAATAGAGGTGGTATCTATCTTATTATAGGAATTCTTGGCTCTTGGGCTTAGCAATGATCATGAGGAGTCTGTGCTTGCCTTGAGAGCAAGGGGACAGATTTTGGAAATGTGCAGTATTTGGTAAAGGTAATGAAGCAGGAGGTACAGCTCATCTAGAGTTTCAAATAAACTACCTGCTAGTGGCTTGACAGAAAGAAAAAGCATTGGCTTTAAAAATAACTCTGTCCTCCACTTTGTTTTAAGCCTGATGTATTCCAAAGATATAAGTAGAGAGGACAATTTTTAACAAGTTGAAGGGAGGCAGCATTTCTTTTAGAAAGCAGCAGGCATGCAACCCTGATGGTGTTGGTATTTCTGCCTCTGCCTTCATCATTCTAGATCTGGTAATTAGAAACTCAGAATCCCAGGAGAAACTTTTGCCTAATTTTGTGTTGATTGTCTCATAGTTAAATTTTAAAGACACATTGTGCATCGTAAGCCAAGAAATAAGTGTAGGCAATACAGTTCTACTTTTTGCTCCATTGTTTTAGATTTCCTTCAAGTTCTATACACAACCAGATGGATTACATGCAGAGGATGATAAAGTTGATTGATTGAGCAGCATTCCAGGACCTGCAAGGTCATATTTTCACCTTGATTCATTGAAATTAGGTAGACACACAATTTAAGTGATTTTCAATCAAATCATGATGAAATGTTAAAATTGTTACCTTGGATATATTTAATAATAGTAAAACATTGCCTGTTCTCATTTTTCCACAATTATTCATGGCATTTTATTACAATTTTTTTAAATTGTAGATTCATCAACTCAACAAGATGGTTCTTTTAATTTATAAAGGAAATATTCCAAGAGTTCTTTTAATTTATAAAAGAAATATTCCAAGAAAACCAAAATGAAGAATTTTAATTTTCTTAATGAAAATAAGAGTGGTTTATTTAAAAATGATTTGAAAAAGTAACTGATTTTTTAATGATTGCCATTCTAACTGGTGTGAGATGGTATCTCATTGTGGTTTTGATTTGCATTTCTCTGATGGCCAGTGATGATGAGCATTTTTTCATGTGTCTTTTGGCTGCATAAATGTCTTCTTTTGAGGAGTGTCTGTTCATATCCTTTGCCCACTTGTTGATGGGGTTGTTTGTTTTTTTCTTGTAAATTTGAGTCCTTTGTAGATTCTGGATATTTGCCCTTTGTCAGATGAGTAGATTTCAAAAATTTTCTCCCATTCTATAGGTTGCCTGTTCACTCTGATGGTAGTTTCTTTTGCTGTGCAGAAGCTCTTTACTTTAATTAGATCCCATTTGTCAATTTTGGCTTTTGTTGCCATTGCTTTTGGTGTTTTAGACATGAAGTCCTTGCCCATGCCTGTGTCCTGAATGGTATTGCCTAGGTTTTCTTCTAGAGTTTTTATGGTTTTAGGTCTAACATTTAAGTCTTTAATCCATCTTGAATTAATTTTTGTATAAGGTGTAAGGAAGGGATCCAGTTTCAGCTTTCTACGTATGGCTAACCAGTTTTCTCAGCACCATTTATTAAATAGGGAATCCTTTCTCCATTGCTTGTTTTTCTCAGGTTTGTCAAAGATCAGATAGTTGTAGATGTGTGGCATTATTTCTGAGGCCTCTGTTCTGTTCTATTGGTCTATATCTCTGTTTTGGTACCAGTACCACGCTGTTTTGGTTACTGTAGCCTTGTAGTATAGTTTGAAGTCAGGTAGCGTGATGCCTCCAGCTTTGTTCTTTTGGCTTAGGATTGACTTGGCAATGCAGGCTCTTTTTTGGTTCCATATGAACTTTAAAGTAGTTTTTTTCCAATTCTGTGAAGAAAGTCATTGGTAGCTTGATGGGGATGGCATTGAATCTATAAATTATCTTGGGTAGTATGGCCATTTTCATGATACTGATTCTTCCTACCCATGAGCATGGAATGTTGTTCCATTTGTTTGTATCCTCTTTTATTTTGTTGAGCAGTGGTTTGTAGTTCTCCTTGAAGAGGTCCTTCACATCCCTTGTAAGTTGGATTCCTAGGTATTTTATTCTCTTTGAAGCAATTGCAAATGACCATTTGACCCAGCCATCCCATTACTGGGTATATACCCAAAGGATTATAAATCATGCTGCTATAAGGACACATGCACACATATGTTTATTGCGGCACTATTCACAATAGCAAAGACTTGGAACCAGCCCAAATGTCCAACAATGATAGACTGGATTAAGAAAATGTGGCACATATGCACCATGGAATACTATGCGGCCATAAAAAATGATGAGTTCATATCCTTTGTAGAGACATGGATGAAGCTGGATACCATCATTCTCAGCAAACGATTGCAAGGACAAAAAACCAAACACCGCATGTTCTCACTCATAGGTGAGAATTGAACAGTGAGAACACATGGACACAGGAAGGGGAACATCACACACTGGGGCCTGTTGTGGGGTAGGGGGAGGGGGGAAGGATAGCATTAGGAGATATACCTAATGTAAATGATGAGTTAATGGGTGCAGCACACCAACATAGCACATGTATACATATGTAAAAAACCTGCATGCTGTGCACCTATGCCCTAAAACTTAAAGTATAATAATAAAAAAAAGAAAAAGTAACTGATTTGAGAATGATAATCCAGACAGATGTTTTAAAGAAAATAAACCCAAATGCTTCCATTTAATATTATGTACTGTGATGTTATTTAGATTATTAATAGTCTATACTCATATGATTTAACTAGATTTTATTAGGAGAGGTAGATATAATGAGAAGAGTTAGTGTCTGAATGGTACTAGGGATATTTGGGGAAGTGGCTTAAATCTGTCTTGAACTCCCTCTGCTGAGCTGTTGCTTTTTTCTTCTCCTTCTAGCAAATCCTTTCACACTATAAATGTGAATGATAGAAGGTGATCTACAGATATTCATTTCCTTCCTCTCCTTTTCTGAGCCATCAGGCCCAGTGGCAGCCTGACCTCTTGCCTCCCACTTCATCAGGGCAGTCTTGGTCTCCTCACTTGGAGAGTTCCTCAGAGACCAGGGACCTAAGGCCTCCAACTGCACTTTGTAGCCTGGTCCCCACTTCCATTATTCTTCCTGAGTTCCCAGAGTTTCTCTCCATAAGTTTCTCTCAGTAACTGGTCATATTTCTTGAGGTAATATGGAAAAGAGCCTAGCAGAAAGGCAGGCACAGAGTGAGTGAGTGCTGTTTAAGTTCTAGCTACCATCATCACTACTACCTACTGAGAATACTCTTTTCTTCTTTGGTAGCTTTCTTGAAACAAGGTCCCTCGTGTTAATTCAAGGCAGCTGCTGTGATGAGGAGATACTCATCCAAGCCTAGCCCCTTGGCTAGTAGGGGAAAGGTAGCAATAAGGACAATCCCTAACTGGGTACCAGAATTATCCTAACACTTCGGACTTCTGAAACTCTGTCACTGAACTCTGCTCTCTGGCATCACTTCAAAGAACTATCAAGTAGACTTAAAACATGGGCTTTGACATTACTTTTCAGTTTAGTAATAGTATTAACTGCTCTGTAAAATTTTCTAAGGAGTCATATTTTCTTCATCTTTTACAATATATTTTTTCTCCCTATGGATTTCACAATCTCTATTATATGCTAATGGCTTTGAACTTAACCTTTTCTGTGATATTTGGTAAGAGCAATGCATTACATTTTTTTTTCATTTTATAACAGCAAATAAAGTAAAAGCTAACATTTGATAAATTAGGCTCTGTCTTATGGGCTGTACATGTGTTCACTTACTGAATTCTCACACCAGTACTAGCGGGGAAGTACTATTTTTCTATACTTGAGAAAAGTGAGGTGGAGAGATTAGTAATTCACCCAAGGTAAATTGTAGAGCCAGCATGCATAAGTCAGCAATGTAGATCTGGGGCCCAAGCTTGTGACTACTATATTCTGCTACTTTCTTTGTTACTTTTTTACTTGAAATATTTAAATCAACCCCTTAAAAAAGGAATCTACGTTGGCTTTCTGATAGTCTATCATTAGATTACCTTGGAAATCACTGTCCATGATTTCCTTTATTAGTGGCACTTTAAAGAAAATTACATTTTAGATAATATATATTTATATAAGAAGTAGAGATAGGTATATATTGTATACTTACATATGTATATGCACTTATTTATATACTTAAATATGTAATATAAATAAAAATATATAAATACATATACACACACATTTATTTAGACTATACTCTAAGATAAATTTTGTGCTTCAGAAGCTAACATTGCAGAATTGTTATAAAAGTGTGATGTCCTTTGGGGAAGTCATTGCATTTCCCATTCTTGAAGCTCACTTTTAACTTAATCTGAAATTAAAGAGGCCTAACTGGCTAAAACAATGTAAAGGATGAGTTTAAATGCACAATTTCCTTCCTTTTTATATATGATAGCAGTGAAAGGATGTGTTTTAATTTGTGGACCTCCCACCTAGGACCATTTCAACAGCTTTGAATACCTGAGAAAAATATCAACTGCTAAGCCAAAATTATCCTTCTTGTAGGAGACTAAAATAGAATAATTCAGATTGAAGAGAGAGCTCATATCTAGGTTCCAAGTCTCACACCATAACCCATCAATGAGAATCCTTACCTCTAAGCCAAAGATGATTATGCCATTTTAGATATGGTTGCCATTTTACTGCTTCAGGAACTTACATAGATGAAGTAAAAGCAGTATTTAAAAACTAAATACAATTTAATTATTGCCTACTGTATCTGATACTTTACTATATTCCTTATGTACACTTGGTTCAATCACCTCATTTTACAGATGAGATAAGAAAACTGAGGCTCATGGAGAGTGATTGGATCAAGGTCATTCAGCTAATGCATGGCCAATATAGGTCTTGACCCTTTATCTCTCCATCTGATGAGCTTGTTAAAGACTCCCCAAGGAAATCTCAAATATTTTTATAGAGCACTGTTAATGGAATCTTGTATGGCTAGTACTCTAGCCACTACAGATATTTGTATTCCTATCCTGGGTATTGTCAACAGCTCTTATTGATCAGCTTTAGAGATAAATATCAAAGGTCTGAATGCAGAGGACTGTTAGGAAAGTTGCTGCCTTAAAAAATTCTCTCTCATTTTCTATCCAAAAGAGACACATTTGGAATATCTGACTTAGCAAGGCAAAGAATTGTTTGGGATGGGTAATTGCCAGCTTGACATTTGTTATTATGGCTTTGTCATTTTTACCCTGTAGTTTATGAAATCTGCTATTGTATATTGCCCAAAGGCTTTTAAAAATCAATGGTTGCATTTTAAAGCATATAGAATAAAATAAATTAAATGCCACAATTCACATTGTATAATTTTAAGACTTTGGGGAAGCTGGGCATATCAAGGTCAGGCTATTCTTGGGGTATTAAGAATACTAGAAGATATTGCTTCCAGCTCATTGTACTTTCTATATATTTTATGGTGTGAATTTTACTACATAAATGTACAAATGAGAATATATTAAGTGAATATATACAGATAGAAGATTTTTGAAATTTAATGCTGCTGAGGTAGCAGCACCAGCATTTAAGGATCTTGACTTATGAGAGGACTGTAGACATCTAGTGTCCTTTCTGTCATCTCATCAAAATGTAGAATAGAGAATTAAGAACAGGGAGGAGCTGTGTTTGCATGAATTGAAAGACTTTGTAGGCACTCCAAATGCTTATGAAATCTCAACCATGAAATTAAGCTTTTTTCCCCTATATGCCTTTATAATATAAGCCAATATTCTTCTTCATGAAGGTAGAATAGAATTTATTGACACATTTTTCTGGAGCTTGTCTCACTAAATAAAAATTTTCAAAAGAATTTAAGTTTGAAACAATTTAAAATATTATCTTTTTATATTTAAATCACTGACTAGATTGTAACCACCTTAAACTGTATTACAGATTTCCTGAGGTGGGGATCTGCATGTGTAATTGTTTGAATCCAGCAAAACGTGGAGCCCAGCATTGGGCATGCAGAGGAGTGCTATCGGCACATATTGGGATGAAGTGAGTCTTGGCCACTCTGCTCCTACATAGTGAAGAGCCAGTCGTACTCACTCTAGTTCCTCTCAGACTTGTGAAGAATTTGGCATCTACTTGTCCATACAACAAGTTTCATTTTATCTCCTACTGTATGCCTAAGGATGACATAAAAATTAAAAACATAATTACTATATTCTTCTTGATTTTTTTTTCAGCTGCTAAGTTTCAGAATGGCCTGTGATAGGGGACTTTCCCAAAGAGGTGTAGGTCTTATGTGAACTTGGCCCCAGGTGATTTAACCTCCCAGTGACCTTGTCATTAAAGCCCCTTCTCTTGTCCATTGGACAAGGATGCCCAGTCCCAGGACAGCATTTCTGCTGCCTTTTTGATCTGAAGTCTTGGAGCCTGCTCTTGTTACTGGCTGCTTTCTCTCTTAATGAATACAGACCTGCTTGATCTCTTCCCCAGCTTAGACTTTTTGACTCCTTCCTGTATAAATTTACGAGATGCTATCTCTCCATAGAAGATTTTGTAAATAAAACTAATATAGTAAGACATAATTATGTAAAATTATCAAGTCTTTGAGGTGGCAGGACCCTTTATTCTGTGGTTTCTCATGGTTCCTGTTGTCTTCATTGCCATACAATTGGCCTTGTCTTTGATGTTTATTTGCTATGGATTTCTTTATTTCTCCTTTATTGTATCTCTTTTTTTTGCATTCAAATGTAACCACTCCTCTACTGGTTTGCAGATTTGCTTCATGTCACTCCATGAGGAACTTATCAGTCAGCTATGATATGCCTATCACTTACTGAACACTGTGAGAAAGATGCCCAAATATACTTGACGTAGCCTCTACCTAAGTTCTTAAGGAGCTTAGGAACTTGGAGAAGATGTTTCTGTTTTTTCCATGCCAGTCTAGGTCATGGATACTGGAAAATTGAAAGCTCATTTGTATGTGTTTAAGCTGAAGGACGATGTTGATATTCCCTATTGTAATATTTTCTCTGTGCGTTTACCCTCCTTGCTTCTCTGAGAGAGACAGAGGAGGAAGGCAGTCCTGGAAAGGGCTTTTTTGCCTCTCTAATTCACATCTTCTGTGCCAGCTGTCATTACTGATTCCCTTGAAGTGAAAGGTCATGGCAGACTAATGCTTTCTTGAAGTATGGCCGGTAAAGCTGCGATCTAGTGCATCCACCCTTCCATTTGTTTCCCCGATTTCCAGGCAAGGCTTAGAAATGCTTAGTAGGACTTTGATACATAGTCGCCTAGGAAACAGTGACTTATTTTATCTAAAATATTGTATCATAAAGT
Source organism: Homo sapiens (assembly GCF_000001405.40). Taxonomy (NCBI): domain Eukaryota; kingdom Metazoa; phylum Chordata; class Mammalia; order Primates; family Hominidae; genus Homo; species Homo sapiens. The sequence goes on from NC_000014.9 coordinate 33,269,148, forward strand.
GTGTTTCAAAATAAAATTTCAAATAAATTAAAATAGAAATTTCAAAATAAAAATAGCTAAAATCTGTTAAATACCCTCTGTCAGGCTTTAGTGAAAATCCTTTACCATATTAAAGTTTAATCCACACAACACCCTCCTAAGTTGGTACCTTGTTGTCTTCCTCATTTTATAGATGAGAAAGCAGAGGCATGGAGAAGATAAAGATGGATCTATGTACTTATCTTTCCCAACACCCAAATTTAGTAAGTGGCAGAGCTGGGATTTGAACTCAGGTCAGAATAGGTCTTGAACCACTATGAATCACTCTGTTAATCACATGCTCCTTTGAGCAGGAACTAAACATAGGCATTTAGATAAGGAAATGTGCAAATAAGGTGACTTGACTTTGAGGGGTTAATAATTATTGACCTATATACTATTTAGTAGTTTTAGGTTCTTGGCTCAAATAATTAGTTAGGGAAACAATGAGAAAATGAGAATACAAGTCAGGGTGTTAGGAATGAATTAAGACAAAGAGGTTCCAGCTCACGAGCATGACTTCAGATGGCCTCTGATATACAAAACAATGGCTGCCAATGCCAAAAAGCTTTATTCGTATTTTCATGACTTTATCTTAAGGCATTAATACCTGTTAAAATCCCAAATGTCCTAATAGGGAAGCAGGGAGGGGGGTATGGGGAGGGAGGGCAAGAATAAACTGAAATACTCATTCAACCAGTGATTTACAGAACTATGCAAATTACAAAGTGACAACTACCTATACTTTAACAGAGGTGTCTTGGGGTCTGATTCTCTGGAAGCAGAGCCTAAGATGGGATTCTTGGGCGGGTGCAGTAGTGAGGGAGTGCTCTCAAGTGAAACCTGTGAGAGACCGAGGGACACAGGACAGGGCAGGGGAAGGACAGCCTCAGTCTGATCCCATGGGGAGCTCTGGAGCAGAAACTCTCCATGGAATTAAGGAAAGCGGTTGGCCTTTTGTACCCCAGATAAGTCAGTCATTGACTTATTCCCCTACCACCCTCTCCTTCCTAGTATAGCCTCCCAGACATTTCCAGAAGACTTGGCTCCCAGAGACTGAGAGTAATGCTTGAGAGAAGGATACAGCTGTAAACAATTGGCAGCCACACTTTCAGCAGCTGGGGAATGAGTGATTGACCCTATAAAAGGAAGGGGTAGTAGAAAGGCACCCCAACACCGTGTACCACAAAGGACTTCCACAAAATACTCTGAGAGAATAGAAGAGGAAAGATAAATTCCACCTGGTGGTGATGATATTTATAGTTATTAACAGTGTAGTATGAATAAGGCATTTGAGTTATAAAGGTGTGTGTGTGTAAGAGAGAGGGAGAAGGAGGGAGAGAGGGAAGAAGAGAGCATTAAGTGGAAAAGGGAGAGATGGAAGGGACTTCCTACTTCAAAATTCTGCTCTAGTATTTAAAAAGCTTAATTACATAGGTTTTTAGAATTCACCAGAAGAGGAATGAGGACCATTGATAAGGTGGCTAGATTACATGTTTTCCCTCTGGAAGATCGTAATTAAAGAACAGCTTTGGTTTTCTTTTTTGTTTTTTAAAATAACTTTGTGGCTTTAGCCTGTTAAGCACATATCACAACCATGAGTTATTTGACAGGCCATCCTAGAATGGACGATGTCCTGTCTGCAGATATCTCAGGTCAGCCAGTTTGAGAAGTGAACACCTTTCTGGATGGATGGCAGGCAGAAGACAGGGATCACTGGAAATACCAAATACCCTCTAAGTATAGGGCTGAAAGGAATGCCTCCCCTTCACCCTCTGAATGTTCCTTGAAAATCAAGTGACAAAAGGAAGATTAATAGGATAAAAAGCATAGAAATTTATTTGATCATAATTTTAGATGACTATGGGAACCTTTAGAATGAAGACCCCAAAATACAGAGAAACCGTCTGTTTGTGTGCTTAGGTTCAACAAAGAAGTATGGACAGTCATATAGAAATACGACTGGATAAAAAGGGTCTGATCTAAGGCTCATAGATTGAATGGGGAAACCCAGCAAGGCCTCTCTGTTCCGATTCTTCTTGGCCTCTCTGTGCAGCATTTCTTCCTCCTGGGTATAAGGCAGAACTCTCTTTGGAATGAGGGTCTTAAGTCCTACAGTCAAACGGGATAGGTCAGAGAATTTCTTTATGGCCAGTTTTCACACAGAAAGGCAAAGGGAAAGAGAGTAGTATTTAGGTCTCATGGCTGGCTTCAGGGAAAGGGGGTTCTGGTTTCCATGACTCACCTTGGGGAAGAAGGATTCTGATTCCTGTGGCTAGCTGTTGGGGAGAAGGAGAGGCCAGAGACAAGAGAGCAGGAGGTCAGAAAGAGTCCTTTGCTTCTGAGGCTTTCATTTGGGTATTGTTTTCGGAGCCCCAGGAGAAGCTTCCCAACAGCCTTGTAGATAACATGCTTAAAAAAGGATAATAATTCCACCAATGCTAATAATGTAGAGATTTGGAGCACAAATATTTATTAAAAAATACCTGATTTTAAAAAATTCCTCCCTGGTTTGCTTGCTCTACCATCTGGTTCCACACTTACTAGAGCAGTATTAGCATAATTAAATTAGCACTTTTCTATCTCACCTTCCTCTGTTCTGGCATGTACTGTAATATATCCATTTGGGGGGACAATATTGTTTGACAAGCTATTTATAAAATTAAGTTAGTTATATTCCTTATTAATGTAATCTGAAATAAAGGATGGGCTCTTGAATGATCCTTAATGACTTTTTCAAAGAGAAAGTAGAAAAAAAAAGATCAAGCTGATTGTTATTACTATGATATTGTTCTGTTTTTTCTTTTTTCCAAAACATAGATAAATTAAGTGACTGTAAATTTTCAACAACAATGAATAAGCTGATGAAGATCAAGGTGATGCCTTCAAGTGCTCATCAAATTCCAGGCTTGGGGCCAGCCTCCTTGCGTAGCACTTGTAATCTTTTTTCTCCTGCCAGAAATCATGTTTCTCAATCCTGTTTTGCTCAGCATCTTAGGCAAATCATGGCTTGAATTGTACACATGATTTTAATATAATATTCAGCAGTCTTTTCTTAAAGACTCAGTCGCTGTACATTTCTTCCACAAAGAACACCACCTTCTTGATCACAGTACTCATAATTATAGCAGTGGGATATTCATGACCTTTGTCTAAACTACTTAGTTTGGCTACAGATTTAGTTTCTGAATTAGAGTCATAATCTTAAGTATCTCTTAGAAGGGCCAGATGAGAAATGAATGTTTGCTTCATTTAATTTTTTTTGTTTTGAGATGGAGCCTCACTCTGTCACTTAGGCTGGAGTGTAGTAGCATGATCTCGGCTCACTGCAACCTCTGCCTCCCAGATTCAAGCAATTCTCTTCCCTCAGCCTCCCGAGTGGCTGGGACTACAGGTGTGCACCACCATGCCCAGCTAGCTTCTGTGTTTTTAATAGAGATGGGGTTTCACCATGTTGGCTAGGCTGGTCTTGAACTCCTGATCTCAAGTGATCCTCCTGCCTCAGCCTCCCAAAGTGCTGGGATTACAGATGTGAGCCACCATTCCTGGCCTAATTTTATAAGCATTTACTTTGTTTCATCAAAATATCACTGGAATTCTGGTAGACAACACGTTGCAAGAAGTGAATAGTCTTCCTCCAAAGCAGTTACTTTGGGAGAAACAAAACTCTACCAAAGGGTAGTGATACTGACAGTTTTGCTTAAAAAAGAATCGAAATCTCTTTACAATTTTACAAAGCAGAATTATGTCAGCTAAACTGTTGTCTTGACTAATTCCTCCCCTTACTTTGGCCCAGCATTTCCAATTTACTTCCCACTTTCTCGCCAATTAAATTACTTGGTATATTCTTTCAATTGCTGTTGCCACCTGTGGATCTTTCTGCAGTCCTGGTCCCTGACGGTCCATGTGTTTGTGCCATTGACTTCCTGATCTCTAACTCCAGTGGCTGGTCTGCACAGTGTGTGGCTTGACTCCTCTGGGAGCCTTTGACTGTGTGGGCTGTCCCCTGACTCCCCCGCTCTTCCCCAGACTCACTGTCTCCCACTGGTTTCTGGTGCAAATCTCCTCTCTTTTAAATCTCTTGGCACTTTCTTCCTTTTGTTGGTTCTGAGTTCATCCTCTGCTGGCCTCCCTTAAACAGGGGCCTCTCTCAACCTTTCTCTGTAGGTCTCTTCTGTTCTCAGTCCACACAGGGTAGGAGTTAAAAGCTGTAGAAGTGGAATAAAATCTAGGTTTGAATCCTGACTCTGCTCTTTATAGGCTCTATGACTTGGAGAAAATTTCAGAGGCCCCATTTTCTTATCTATAAATTGGAAGCTATAATATTTATTCCATCTTGAACAACCTAGAGAATTATGTGATTTTTTTAAAGTAAACATTCATTTCTCATCTGGCCCTTCTAAGAGATACTTAAGATTATGACTCTGATTCAGAAACTAAATCTGTAGTCAAACCAAATAGTTTAGACAAAGGTCATGAATATCCCACTGCTATAGTGCTATAGGGCTTGTATGTAGAATAAACTCATTAAAAATGATAGATTTGGCTTTAATCTCTGGATAAACAATTCTGTATTCCCTAGATTGTAACTACCTGAAGGCAGGGGTACTTGTTTTGTTGTATCTCCAGGACCGGAATAAGTGCATGGCATGTGGTAAGCAGTCACTCAGTGGTTGCTGAATGAATGTCCAACAAAAAAACTTTCAATGAAATAGTGACTCCCAAATCTGGTTGACTATACTGATTTCTCATCTAAATTCTAGACCCCAATTTCCTAACTCTTTCCCTGTAGTTTTATGATGTTAAAATGTCAGACAAATTAAATTTAACAGAATGATTTGCAAATCGGACAGCCCCCTTTCCCCAAACCAGAAGATGCTGTTTGGAGAGACACTACACTGTGGCATGGCCAGAGAGGATTTATGGACAGAAAAAAAGAAAGTGACACACAGGAAACGCAAGTGTGGTACAGAAACAGCAGGATTGGTTACAGCTCAGTGTTTGCCTTATTTGAATATGGTTTGAACAGTTGGCTGCCTTTGGCCAAAACACAGTGATTGGTACAAGAGTAGGTTACAGTCTGTTTACACAGTTACAGTTCACTATGTACGGAGAAACATTTAGGCTGGACTTAGAATATGTAAGGAGGCAGCATTAGGCTAAATTGAATTTAACACCAGACATCTCAAGGTAAACATGTCCGTGAACATGCTCTTTTCCTAGCCTGTATCTCCTTTCCTATTAATACTACCATCAATTAACTGCCTGCCATCCTAATTTCCCTCCCCTTTTCTCTGGCCTCCCATATCTAGCTGGCTTCCAAGTCCTAATTATCTTTACAATTGGCCGCTACCCGCTGTTTCCATAGACCCTGCCTCAGTTCAGACCCATCCCCTTCTCATATGCATTATTCTTCTCACTTCATAACTAGCCTCCTTTTAGTCTTGACTTAAAGCATTACCTAAGCTGATCCAAGCACAAGCTTTATAAAACTCAGAGTCATCTCAGTTGCATAAATGATATAGCTAAACACCCATACTCTGAGGGAAGGTTCTCCCAGCTGGCCAGGAAATGAGTTTAGAGTTTAGGCAGGCTCTGGAATTTAGGCCTCCTGCTTTTCACACCTAAGCTTCTTCCTTGGACCACAGTGCCTCCCCGTAAGGAAATAGATGCCAGGACTCTAGCAACTTTTTTAAAGGGCTACATTTTTATATAAGAAAAGTTCAAGGATCTTTTATCATTTCATTAGTTGGAGAAGCTAAAACAATGCACAGAATTTAAGTCATAGATGCACGATAGTGGCAGTGCCTATGCAAGTTCTCAAATCTGAATCATGAGTTTGCTGCTTTTCTCTTGACCCTTTCTTGCTTCTCTGAATTTACAAATGTGCATGTGAGAAAACATGCTTCTCTTTAAAGATCCAAGGGTAAGAGAGAAAATAAGAATCCAGATAATAAAGTATAGCTACAAAAGGGAGCCCACTTAGTTTGGAAAAACCATTACTGTATCAGAATGATGTATCTGCAAGTGACTTGCATGAACATATTTTATGTGCCCACCAGCATGTTTTTTGTGGTTCCCTGCAGCAGATACTGCTCTTTTATTACTCGTTAGCCACTTAAAATCCAGCCCAATTTTAACAGTGCTAAAAGAGCAAGAAAATTTATTTTAAAGAAAAAGGCTACATTCTTCTAAACTGGAGTCATAATATTAATACTTAAAATGCATGGCAACATGCTGGGAAAATGGGATAGTTATTTAGATATATTATAAAATGTAGCCCACCACTTTGATGTGATTCACTACTATTTCACCAAACCAATTTAACAGTACCCTGTAGAGAGGGAATAGTGCAATTAAAATTAGTGACAGAGATTTTCACATGCATAGATCTAAATCAGGGTAGGTTGATAATGAATTAAGTAATTTTGCTTCCTTGTGAAGTCACATCCATAATAGATTCATCCAGGATGGAATTCATGTTTAAAGGACCTGTCTACTCACAGTATTCTGACTCAATTGACAATATTCCTGGTTGTTTTCCTTCTTTTCTTTTTTGCTTTTTCAGTTTGGCTTTGATGACAGAATTTAAAGTGGATAGTCATAATAAATTAGTATAATCTGACTATTTGATCTGTTTCAGCAAAGGCCAACTCTTTTCAAAACATAATTTCACAAATCTAATTTTTAAGAAATCAAAGCCACACAACTATATGTGAGTCCTTAGATATGATAAATATATGCTCTATAACTTTTTGGTGTGAGAGCACACAATAAAGTTATTCACATATTCCCAGTACTTAGTTTCATATGAAAACACCAAGGGTACCTACATTGGTTTGACCCTACTGGGGTACTCTATATTGATACTTACAGTTTCATGCTTTCTGTTCTGAGATGAACTGTGTCTGCAACAGTTGGTAGCACCTACACACTGTGTGCATGACCACATCACCATTAGATCTTCGGTTATGTTAGTCATTTCTACATCGAAAGTAGGGTTAATTTGACCTGAGAAAGTTGATAAAGAGCTATGGATATACTATTTCTGTGACTTGCAAAAAGTGTTAAACGTACTTACAAGGAGAACACGGGAGTAGTGAGGATGGGAATGAATGCAGTTAACACAGTAATAAGAAGGAAGAAATTACTCTTTGTTCACTGTGGCCATCTGCAAGGTTTGTGTAGTATCTCTTGTAGATCTTATCTGAAATTGGTAACCTTCTGCCATACCAGAAGGAAATGCAAAATCAACCATTTGTTCTAGTCCTCCCATCTCCCTATTATGAACAATAATATTTATTTTTAATAATGGTGTCCCAGTTTTAATGAAGTAATTTTTTTAAAAAACTCATGAATTTCAAAGCCACAGAAGTGTTGATTCTGGGATAAATCCCAAGTTTACCACTTCCTAACTCTGAGATCCTAAATAAGTTACTTCTTTTTTTTTCCCTGAGCTTCATTTAGTTCCTTCCTTTGTAAAATGAGTGTAATAATGGCAATTATTTCACAGGATTATTGTGAGGATCAAAGATAATGAACATATCATACTTGGCATATAGAAGGTAATTTATAAATTATTATAAATAGAAATTATGATTATTTTCTCATGCTTTAAGATAAATGATACTATGACAGCAGAATGTCTGTAAACATATATTCTTCTCATAGAAAATTTTGTTTCTTCTAAGGTAGAATTCTGCTTTCTGAGGGAATGATTGGTAGATTGTAAAATTTCTTGATTTGTTGATTCACTCACCAAACACTCATAGAGTGCCTACTATGTGCCTACTATGTAAACATAACAAAGCCATACCTCCACCAGAGCTTACATTCTAGCAGAGAGAAATAGACAAATGCACATGTAATGCCATGATAAATGCTGCAAAGAAAAATCAAGCAGTATAGGGTGACAGAGAGTAATAGGGGATGATATTTTAGATAGTGTTCCAAGTATTTTTCTCTTACAAAGAAAATCCAGAAACACAAAAATACCAGCCATTAACAAAAGAAAGACCCTTATTTCTATTTTATAGAGTTGCTTGATTCCCAGCAGATATGCTCAAGTGTGGAGGCAGTGTGGTCAAATGGAGGATACATGGGTGTTGACAAGCAAGAAGTCTTTCTAGTCCCAGCTCTGGCACTGATTAACTGGCTACCATATGCAGTTCACTGTATCTGAGTTTCAATTATTTATTTTTCAGAATTATCAAGTACTTATTTAGTGCCTGCTGTATGCTGGGTACTTGGAACAGGCAAATGAACCAAACAAAACTCTGCTTTCATGGAACTTACCTTCTGCCAGAGAAGAAAGTCAACAAATACATATGTGATATTAGGGAAAGTGCTATAAAAATATAAGGGGCTAGGTAAAAGGAATAGAGTACAATAGGGGATGACATTTTTGATGGGATGCCAAATGTTTAGCTTCTCTGAGAGGCAACATTTAAGCAGGAACCTCAATGAAGTGATGGAGCAAGTGATACAGATCCCTGAGAAGAGGCCACTGAGGGGGCAACATGCAGAGCCCTCATGGGAGTAGGCTTGATGGAATCTGGGAAAGGCAAGGAGGTTGGAATTGCTGGAGCAGAATGAGAAAGGGGTGAGTTTGGAGTAGTAGCCAGGACCAGACAGAGGCTTTGGATTTTCTAAGAGGGAAGGGAGGATGTTGGGAGGGTTCAGGATGGGTATAGACCTGATCTGAGTGATAAAAAGATTACACTAGTTGTTGTGTAGACAGTATACTAGGAAAGGTTAAAGTGGAAGCAGAGAGACTAGTTCAGAGGACCGTTGCAGAGGTTCGGGTTGCAGAGGTTCGGGTGAGAGAGAAGGGTGGCGTACACTAAGGTATGGTGAAGGGGGCGAGAAGGAATGAAATTCAGGTTATATTTTGAAGGCTAAACTCAGCATAATCTGTTAATTGGATGTGGATTTGAGAGACAAGAAAGACAAGGCTGTTTCCAAAGCTTTTTGCCTGAGCTATTGTGAAGTCCTTAGGAAACACACGAGTTTGGAATGGAGGGAATCTGGAGTTCAACTCTGCACAAGTTAACTTTAAGGAGATGTCATGTCAATACAATGGGATGTGAATCTATAGTAAGATTGGAGGTTGGGGCTGTGGAAGTATACATTTCAGAGTTATCAGTATGTATCTGGCATTTACAGTCAGAAGGCTACGTGATGTCACCTAGAGATAAATGTGTAGAGAAGGATGAGTTCTGGGAAAGGATCTCTAGACCTGCCAATATTTATAGATCAGAAAATGATGAGGACTTTGGGAAGATCCAGCCAATGACTTGATAGGACAATAGGAAGATTTCAGAGTCCTAGAAGCCAAGTAAAAAAAAAAAAGTATCTCAAGAACGATAAGGGGAAAAAAAAGAATGATATGAAAGATACAACAAATATATGAAAATCATTTTGAGGATATAAAAACCACTACTCTAACAATTCTTCTGGCTCTTCTTAATTTTACAATCTGGTGTGAATAAATGGTACTCACTTTCTAATTACAGTACTTAAAGATTGAGCATATCTCTAAAGCATGACTGACAAAAAAAGGAAAGTAAACAGATTTTAAATTAAAGCATTCTAAGTTCAGTGATATTCAACTCAAATATATCATACCACATTTTGAAGTAAATGCTTTTATCTTAAAAAATGTTAAGAAGCTCTACGTAAAATTTTAATGCGAGTGTGTATATAATTTGCATGAGCAGAAAGGACACGAAGATTTCTTCTTGAAGAACAGCATAATAATAGACATGAAAAGAATCACAAACATCACAGTTAAATGAGGTCAAACCCACGAAATAACTATGCTGTAAATATTTCTAAGTTAAAAAGCTTATTCCTATGTAAAAGTACCAGTGGTTCTCAAACTTCAGTGTTAATCAGAATCACCTGGAGAGCTTATTAAACACAGATTTCTGGGTCCCACCCTCAGGGTTGCTGATTCAGTAGGTCTGGTTTTGGCCTGAGAATTCACATTTCTAACAAGTTCTCAGGGTATTTCATGCTGGTGGTTCCGGGACCATACTTAGAAATCTCTGGATAAACTATAGCTCCTAGGGCAGAGCTCCTCTTTACTTTATGTTTGTTAAAGGTAATAATAATAATGACTATTTCATTTAATAATGTATTCATTTAATAATGTACCAGGCACAATGCTAATCATTTTGAACTTATTTCATCCTAAAAAGAATCCTACGAGATAGTTGTCACTTTAGGTACATGGACACGGAGGTTGGAAGGAGTTGACTAACTCGCCTAGAGTCACCAGCTAATCGCTAATGAAGCTGCCAATACAACTTTTCTCTGCCAGAACAATACTGGCTAGAACCTTCTTCCTCAAAGTGTGGTCCATGAATCAACCTCATTGATGTTACCCGGGAGCTTGTTAGACATGCAGCATCTTAGACATACTGAATCAGATTCTGCAATTTAACAAGATCTTCAGGTGATTCCTATCACCTTTTCACCCTGGAATTTGGAAAGCATAGGGGTAGAGAGCTTTTTAGCATAACTCGGAGCACATAGGCAATCAAGAAAACATTGGGGGGAAGGAACAGTTCAGAAAAATAGTTGGGATCTTGCATTATGTAATGTCAGAATACAAAGTATTCTACCCTGGGAATGAAATATCCAAAATGCCCAAAATAGCAGGTTGAATCGCACAAAATTGCCAGTATTTAACTCTTTTTGAACTGCAAAAAAATCATTTTAAAACCTAATAATTAGAGTGAGGAACCCAAATTGAAATGCCTGTGAGACCCAAAGATAGATTGCAAATGAATAATGGCAGCTGATATGCTTTATTGAAATGAATGAAAAACAAATGTCAGAAGCTCTGCAGCCTAACACTGTGTGAAGGCAAGCGTGTATGCTGAATGGGCGTGGCCTGTTACCTTGCAGTTCTTGAGTTCTGGCGGAGAGTCTCAGCACACAAGAAGCTTATCTCTGAGTAGCTTCCTTGGTAGTGGGTACCTGTCCAGGGACCAGTACCTGTTTTCACCCATTTATTCCAGTGTAATTATAAACATACCCCTTTTACTCTCCTCTCAAGGGTCTCCTTTTGGGTGACAAATTGTATGGTCACCCAACTTATAAGAAACTTGGAAAAAAGTAATGTTCAGAAAAATATGTGTATTAAAATAATAGCAAAATTGATTATAATTATATATTTAAGATTTAAGCATTAGTGTTGTAAAATGAAAGAAAGGTTGTTTATTACAGTTGGTCCTAAGATTAAGAGCCATGCCAATACTGAGGAGAAAGCAGATGATGAGCCTCGGAAGACCTGAGTTTTGACCGTGGTTTTGCCACTAGCTATGAGACACTGGAAAAGTCAGTGAAGTTCACGGAGTCTCTGTTTCTTTATCTATGAAATAGAAATAGTAAAGGCTGCTTTACTGACTCTGATGCCATGTTATGTGGATTATATAACATAGATGGAAACATTTTGAAAGTGTTAAGGAAGTACAAAGGGTGTTCCTACTGGGCCAATAATATGTTGTCAAGAAAGGAAGAAGGGGAAAAAACAGGTAACTTTTGAGAAAGTACAAAAAGGATATTCTGCTGCTTCAAATTAAACTACAAAAGATAACTATTGGTAACGCAGCTAGTCCTCTTCTTTACGTGGGTGGTTGGGGGTGAGTCACCACTCAAGTTCAGTGAATTGTGCCAGGAGATACTCTGCCCATCAAAGCTCATCATTAGCGTGTCATGCAGTTAGCAATTGTAATCAGAAGGAATTTACAAGAAGTGAAAGTAAAATACCAAAACTTAATGTAAAACCATTACTCCTTATATATACCAAATTCTTGTTGAAACAAGTTATTGACTTTTGTCTGTAACTGGATTTGTGCCTCTGATACTAAGGAGATAAGAGTTCACTTGATGCCCTCCTCTTCTTACGGTAGTGAAGCTGGATACATTTGTCTGAGGGTTTTCTGGGAACCATTTGTTTTGTAGTCAGTGACTTTCTGTTTCTACACTACGTAGGACCTTTTCAAGGAAAGATAGCAAACAAAGCAAAGACCTTCACTCGACATCTTGTCATGGGATCTGGAAATGGTAGATTTCTTAGATTTCCTGATGGCCTTAGGAAATTTATTGACTATCATCTTTAGAATGTTTTGTGGCAGATGATTTAGAAATAGATATTTTAAACATTTTTTTTCAGGCTGGGCATGGTGGCTCATGCCTGTAATCCCAGCACTTTGGGAGGACAAGGCAGGTGGATCACTTAAGGTCAGGAGTTCGAGACCAGCCTGGGCAACATGGCAAAAACTCGGTCTCTACTAAAAATACAAAAATTAGCCGGGCGTGGTGGTGCATGTCTGTAGTCCCAGCTACTTGGGAGGCTGAGGCAGGAGAATCACTTGAACCTGGAAGGCAGAAGTTGCAGTGAGCCAAGATCGCGTCATTGCACTCCAGCGGTGCTGATAGAACAAGACTCCACCTCAAAAAAAATTTTTTTTCTGTGCTTATTTTGGCACAATTCTGTACATATCATTAAGTCAGGACTAAGAATTTTTTCTTCTTTGTCACAATTTTCCTGGTTTGTTACCCAGAATGGGTAAAAAACATTCATAATAAACTGATTAACTTCAATATAATTTAAAACTTCTCTGGCTTGAATATTACATTTATTTATCTAGTAGTATGCGTTGGCCACAGGTATTTTAATTTTACTTGTGCAAACTTTGACAGTTACAGAATATATGAACAAGAGGCCAGTCGTTTGTGAGTATGGGGTAATCAAACCTGTAACTTATTAATTCAAGTTTTTTTGCTAATGCTGGGTACCTCAGTCTTTTCTGTTCCATTGAAGGATAATGTTCTAAGTCTGTCAAGTGTCCCCAGTAGCTGTATATGCCACAAAAGAATGGCCAAGAACTCCATGGCCTTAGAGAAGCAGTAATGCTAAAGCCAGTCTATTTGTTTGACTATATTAGAGTCCATAAAAAGCTTACTCACGATTTAAAAACTGACTTTCTCCTTATTTTCATCTTTTGGATTGTCATTGTTTGTTCAGTTATAAAGTGGCTTGTTGACACCAAATATTTTAATAATTTGATTCCAAGGCTTTGTGCCTATGCCTTTGAGATGCTGGTGTAGTAATTAAACTGTCTTTTAGCTGAAATGCTTGCAAAGCGTCCAGTTCTGTGCCTGGCAGCTGGTGATGCATTATAGAGACATTGAGCTAATCGATTAAAACCGCAGAGGCATGGGAGTTGTCTGACAGCACTGTACTAGGATGAAATTAGTTGGAATTGCATGGTGAAATTAAGGGGAATGCAGCTGATTGCAGCCCTTCTGGGAGAATCCTGGGTGAGAGGGACACTGTGCGTTGATCCCTGCGTAATTAGGACAGCCATGTTTTAACCGTATTTCTAAAGTATTAAAATGGACTGGATAAATCAGCCGGGCTGCTTCCAGTGAACTTGGCATCCATCCACTGTGACTGAAATAACATGAAATTTTTCGGCTGCTAGAGAATGTGAAATTGGACTAATTGTCTTTTAACTAGTCTGCTCGACTGCTAGCCTGGAGCGGGACTGAATAGGGGATAGGCTGGTGGGACTGCAGCTGGGGGATGGGAAACTGAGATTCATGACTATTATTTCAGTCCATCTGAATGGATAACACCATCACATATGCAGACGGCTCTGATTTGTACTGTCTCATCATGAGAATCCCTTCCTAAATATTTTAAAATCCATTTTAAAGTGGATGCCTTGATTCAAAGACTACAGAAGCCTAACCCTGTTCCTTTGACTTACATTATTGCTCATTCCATTCTTGAGATTCCCCTAGAAAAATGAGAGATTTAAGAAACTTGAAAATTACTCATCAGCTGTCCACATGTGACTCTGCCCCACAGTCTATTATGAGCACATTGTGCAGAGAAGGGATGCTGATGCATATTACTGATTCTATGTATCAAACAAAGGCTTGTTCCATAATTGCTGAATGTTATGACTGGTCCATCATTCACACTTTACATGTGATTAAATAGAGAGCCAGAGAGGATAAATGACATGCCCACGGTCACAGAGTAAGGTCATCTAGGGCCCAAGATTACTATTCTGCTGTTCATTTCATTGTAGTGAATTGCCATTGTTACCAGCAGGTAGTAGTGTTTGGCTTAGCATTACATTTTTCTGTGGATCCATAAATAAAGGCAGAATTTCTATGATATAGGCGTTATTAACAGTCTTCAAGTATTTGGGTTATCCTTCTTTCTTTAACTTGATTGAGGTCACTCAAACTTACTGAAGTGCTATCACTATCAATTTATGTTTCTAGAATATAAAGCACATAGACAAACATACACACAAATGACACTTCAACAAGTCTCACGGAGGCATAGGAATCATCTGACCACATTTTCTTGCCTTCAGAAAGGCATATTTCCTTGTCACTATCTATTCTTGTACAGGTGACTCTTCACAAACTATTGGAAAGCCTCATACTAGACTGTATCATTTTGGTCCATTAGAGAATTTCTCGAGTTGAATTGTGTTGTGGCATCAGACTTAGTATTTAGGGGAATCAGACAAAATAGAAAGAAAAGAGGAAGACCACTAATCATTGTGCTTACCGTAAGAAAGTTGTTGTGGGCATCACATATCAGATTTTCTTTCTCTGAGGACCTGTAGAAAAGGTTTCTCTATGGTCCTATAAAGGAGTGGTTAGGCATCTCATAACTAGTGTGTCTTTAAGTCATGGATCCCGTAAACCCTGTGAGGATCAGAATTGTGGCCTCCTCCTATCAGGTTCAGAAGACTTCTTTGCGTGCACATTACTGTTTAATACTTTGTTTATCTTCCTCTTAATTCACCATCCTTTTTCTCCTTTCTTCATATGTTTTATTTGTTGTTCAATTATTGTATCATGCTATATTGTTTGCATCTTTGTAAACTTATTTAAATCTTTTTCAGAATAAAGCGTAGTATTAAAAATAAAACAATTCTTACACATGCTGTCCTCATCCCAAAGTACAGCCAACAGATATTAGAGGAAGAAACTACAATATTAGGGGAAATGTACTTCTCTATCCCCTGGATACCTCGCATACCCTCATGTTTGGCTGTATTTTGGGGTCATACTTTAGATGACATAAGAGCTATTGTTTCTTCATAGAAACAGTGCTCTATTTTTTTTTTTAAAGATTCTTAACTCTGCATAATTTCTGCAAACTCCAGAATTTCAAAAAATTTATAGGTAGAAGCAACCCCAGAAATGCATTACACAGATGAGTAGTGTGTGCCAGTATGGGTAGGAAGCTGTACATGCAGGTCAGTATGAGTATGATACTAATAGAAATGAAAAGCCTCTATGTATAGATGCTTGATTTGAAGCCACAAATCTGCCACATTATATGCACTGTTTATTATTAGACAGTAATCAAATTACTGGCAGAAGACAACTCATTACCTTCAAAATGATTTTTTTTCTCCAAATAATGAGAAAGAAAGGAACTGTTTCTTAAGGAAAAAGCAAATTCACATTGCATAATATGTATTGTTTATGTGTACTTTCTATGTACCTGTCACTGGTCTACATATTTCATATCTATATATCTATATCTATATCTATCTATCTATCTATCTATCTATCTATCTATCTATCTATCTATCTATATAATCTTCTCAACATCTGCCTGTAGTAGTTATAAGCTCCCTCATTTTGCGGATGATGAAGCCAACCCTTATAGAGGTGAAGTACCCCGCCTGCAGTCCTGCACTCACAGAGGTCAGATGTGTCCTATAGAGCCCACGCTGTAACCACTATGCTAGTGTGCACTTTGGAAACGTCCAAGGAGATGGAAAATATATGACTTCCTAAGTGGCTCTCATGCACATTTATTCTCCAAGATTAATTAAGGGGCTTCTGGAGCACTCATGTTTCCATTCCTAGCATAGTCATATGGAAAATGAGAACATACTTTAAATAAAATATCCACTTGGCACTCAGAGCAACTTAAGGATCTGATTATCAGAAGTTGAACTCAAATGGCATGAGGAATGAAAACACATGAATGGGAGTCAGAGCTGCCGTAGTCAGAAGCTTGGTTCCCTCCATGAGTTCCCACCTCTTTACACACAGATGAAAAAATGACCTTTCTGATTGCTAATCAAATGGGAACATTAGTGACCATCATTAGGTTAAGAACTAAGGATTAATTTATTGTGCATTTAAGATGACCTGGAGAATAGACAGCATACTCCGTAGTTATTGAGTAAAATATTTTCTCCTTCCAATTCATCTTGGCTGTATAAACTCAATGACCCATCTCTGGAATGGCAGATGGGGCCAACAGTCAACAACAATGAGGCCCAGGGATGCTGTTACACTCAATTCCTCTCAAACACGTGTTCCACACTTACAGGTTAGTGAAGAAGCTAGGTCTCAGGTTAAATGGACTTACCACAATAACAACACAATATATTGAGATAAGAAAAAAGATTCTGCCTCCTTCTGCAACCTTGTCTCTCTCACAACCCTGTGACACCCTCCTGTTACAGATCCACTGCTTCTCTTTCTCTGTCTTGAGACATTTGTACCTGCAGTGCCTCCTGCCTGGATTACTCCCCATTCCCCTACCGTTGCTCCCTTTTGTTTAGAAGCCTAAATCTACCTCACTTTTTAAGGAGTCCAAATAGAATTGAAAGCTTTATGTATGCCACTCCTTCAACTCCTCCCACTTTCCTCCTAGGTAAGACTGAATTTGTTGCACTCTGCCAGGAGCACGAGCAGTGCCTTGTAACCTTCCCCATCCCAACCTATCCTACCCTTAACCTTGTCATAGCACCCCTTACACTGTTTTATGGGATGTCTTTGTTAGTTTGTCTCCCCTCCCCAGGCTGATGAAACACTTGAAGGCAGGGACCATGACTCTTATCTTCCCTGTTGTGCTTTTAATGCATGGTATGTGCCTGAAATACAATCAATGAGTTGAGTTCCAAAGATCAGGTAGCCAGTTAAATGGCTATAGCAGGGCTCACCCCAGCCTCCTGAGTCCAGGGCTCTTTCTACTTCTTTCACAGGTCCTACATAGATCAATATTTTTCCTACTGTATTTCCTCAATAGAATTTCATATAATTATATCTCATACTTGGTAGAGTTGATTTAACTTAATTACCTTCTAGAAAGTTATATCGCATTATGTGAACAATGCTTTTATTCATTCCTTTATTCATTCTGCCAACTATCTGTGGATACAGAGATAGTAATCATAGTTGTTTTAAAAAAATTCCATGAGACAGATAAACAAACAGATAATGGCATTGTGCTGTGTTCATGCCCCCAAATGCTTTCTATTGAAAGGACTCTTAGTTTCTAAATACTTGTGCTTATTGAATGCGGGTAGTTATCTCCTTGTGGGGTTACCGAATATCGGCCTGAATGAGTGATTCTGCCATCTCCTCTCTAGTGTTGTTTCTTGCTATTATAAGTGATGATAGCATGAATGTGAGGGCTTTTCTTGGCACTTTTTTTTTTAAATCAAAAGTTGGCTTTCTTCTTAGTTTTTTTATTAGGTAGTCTCTAAGTGCACCAGTTTCTTATAGCCTTCTCCACTATAGTTAGAGGATTGACTTGCTCTGACAATGTGGTTTCTGAAATCACTACTTTTCCCACTGTGAAGAAGATAGAAAAAGAAACAAAGGTATATCCCTTTGATGCAGTGAAAATATGATATTTCTCCATGGTAAAAGAGCAGCCGTGATTTCCTTAAAAATCATTTCCTAAGTGGGAGTTGGGCTACTTCCTGAGCAGAGAATGGTGGTTATCCCTGGAGTCATCCAAAAGATACATGGTTAGCAATGCTCGGGAAAAAATCTAATTTGCAGATAGGATGTTTATCTTTAGATAATAAAAGCCTGGAAATACAATTTGTAATTTTAAAAATAAAATATAGGAATATAGAAAGAAAGAAACTTTTCCCGTTTGGAGTTATTCGTGGGAGAAAAAAAGTGATGTGAAAGTGGTTTTGGAATAACCATATCTCTTGGAAATGCTGTGAAGCTTTCTTCTTTTTATTGTATGGGCATCTTGCTGCAAGCTCATTTTGTTGTTAAACATGAAGTTTTACAATGTAGATTGCACTAAGAATTTTTTAATGGAGCAATTTAGAGCAGCTGCAAACGGCTCTGGAATTCCCACGGATTAGTCTACAGACTTTTCTGTGATTACAAATCCCACAGTCAGAGGAGGTGAGGCGTGTAGGTCCTGGGAAGGTGGGGGTGTGAGCAACTGAGCAGGAAGCGAGAAAGAGAGACTAACCGACAGGGCACACACATGGACAGACTGCCTGGCTGACTCCACGTGGCTGCTGTTACCTACTCCATGCCCTCCTTGTTTACTTACCTCATTTCTTCCAAGTTAAATTACTAATTCTCTCCATATTTACTTACCCTATTCCCTCCACCTGCATCCCTCTCCTACTACTTAGTGCAAGTCCAATACTGTATCTACATCACGCTTTAAGTCCAGGACTCATCAGAATACCCTTAATCTGGTTTCCTGTCACAGTTTGGAGAAGGGGTTAGAATTCAGAGCTAATAATTCATTTTCTATATGAGAAAATGGATACTGAGACCAAATACAAACTAGAGCAGGGTGAAAGAACTAGTTAAGGTTGAAATATGGACTAGAACCATCGTTCCTGGAATTCAGTGCATGTACATTCCACCAAACTGGCATATTATGTTCTATTATTTTGTACTTGTCAACTTATTGTTTTATTATGTTTGCAAGTAACTTTGTGTATGCAGTTTTTTTCTTCCCTCAAAATCAGTTTTATAAGCACACCAACCATATCTCTTAGTTGCACTATCTAGTATTTATTGATTACTATTTATATGCAAATTACTTTGCAATCCTTTCCAAATTTTGCATTGCAAACTTTCTATGAAATGGATGTTAGTCCAGAAGAGGAAACTGATTTAGAAAGGTTAGATATCTGTACAGTTTGGCATGGGTCGATGTGGGAGGGCCAGGTCTGCCAAGTCCAGGAGTCTCAGCCCTTAATAGCCAGTTCATGGTCTGCATTCTTTGTCAACACTCTACATTGTCTTCTCATCTGCTTTGGCCCTTGTGCATTTTTCATACATCCTCTGTGTACCCTCAATATGTGTTAAGGCCAGACTTTGAGCATCTGTCTTTTCCAAGACTTTCATATTTCATAGTCTCACAAAGCCATTTGTCCCCATCTGATCTAGGTTATGAACTTTGGAATGGGCGAGCATGTTCCCCAGGCTGGACCAGATTGGTCACAGATGGTTATATGGAAATTATTAATATGGCAATTTTACTTCAAAAATCCATTCTATACAACCACATGCATTGATATGGGTGAGTCCTAAACATGATGTTGAGTGAAAGAACCCAGAGGCTAAAGAGTCATACTGTACTATTCATTTTATATAAAGGAAAAATAAACACATCTAAACTATGATGTTAGAAGTCAGGAGAGAGTTTACATTTGGTCAAGCAGAATGCGGGGGAAGAGTTTTTGGGGCTACTTGTTGGTTACATGTGTGTACATTTTCTAAAATGAATCAAACTATCTGCTTATTACATTTACTTTTCTGCATGCATATCATACTTCAATCTAATCATGCACATGTACACACACCCACAAAGCAAAATATCTAAAAAATCTATTGTACACATTTAAAATTATTATGGAACCTGAGTCTAGAATGAACCAACGTTGGGGAGTGCTCAATCATGAGATTCCAATTAGCACAGTGCCTGGCATATAGAAGGTGGTCAGTGTTTGTTGAGTGAATAGAAGAAATAAAACACTAATCTTATGAAATTAGAATGCCATTCATAAAGTGTAACTATGTGTTTCCCAAGTCACTTACGGAGAGAAATAGTGATACCTAACATTTTTTTTATGTTGGAGATGCCAAGTACTGTGATTAAGTGTTTCACACAGATTAGTGTACTTAATCCTTATAATCCAAGAGGCACGCATTTTTATCATTCCCATTTTGCAGATGAGAAAGTGGGGTGCTAAAGGAGTGTTTTTCTGAAAACATGTGCCTCGTAAGTTTTAGAGTCAGAATTGAATACAGGCATTCTGATTCCAGAGCCTTTGCATTTGACCATGATGATGCTGTTATATATGTATGTGTGTGCATGCGTGTGTGTATGTGGTATCACACACACATATAAAATTTGTTATCTTCTCCAGCCCTGCCAAAACATGGTGATGACACCCTGCCCCTTTTAAAACCTGAAAGATGGCTTTAGTAATCTATCCTTGGCCCTTTTAAAACCTGAATGATGGCTTTAGTAATCTCTCCTTGGCCCTTTTAAAACCTGAAAGATGGCTTTAGTAATCTATCCTTGGCCAGGTGCGGCGGCTCATGCCTGTAATCCCAGTACTTTGGGAGGCTGAGGTGGGCAGATGGCCTGAGGTCAGGAGTTCAAGACCAGCCTGGCCAACATGGTGAAACCCCATGTCTACTAAAAATACAAAAAATTAGCCGGGCATGATGGGGCATGACTGTAGACCCAGCTATTCAGGAGGCTGAGGCAGGAGAATTGCTTGAGCCCAGGAGTCGGAGGTTACGTTGAGCCGAGATTGCACCACTGCACTCTAGACTGGGCAACAGAGCAAGACTCCGTCTCAAAAAAAAAAAAAAAATCTATTCTTGTCTTTACCCCAGAAATTGGCTGTGTTTCTTTTTAGCCTGTTGGTATTTCCCATCAAAATGCTGTCACTACCAAGAAATTCCTGTCTGATACGCCCATCTCAGGCTTCAGTTTCCCCATGGATGTTGTCTTTTGTACTTCTGACCATCTTTTTAGGGAGGTGGAGTTAGAAGCCTTTTTTCTACATCCATTTGGGAGCTGCCTGTTTCATGGCCAGTCCCATCAGGAAAATGATAGACTCAATACATGTTTAGTATTTTTATTATAAAGCATTAAATATATCTATCACAGCTTTTAAAATTGCCTGGGTTCATGTTACCTGCCAAGACTGTCCACTATTAGCCTGAAGGTTTATGTAATATTCACAGTTCAGATTATCAATATAAACCAAAACTCTAGAAAATAGACACTAGAGATATGAGCATGCTTTTCATTCCAGGATTGTATTTTATTGTTTGGGTCTGGAATGGAAGTGGAGAGGAAATATCCCAAACAGGGGTTATTACCCCTAGGAAATACGGCAAAACTAGGGAGCAACCAGCCTGCAGTATATAGAATCTTCGAGAAAGAGGGGCTAAGTGTGTTTTTCTTCTGTGCAAGTGTACACTTTATGGGATGAATAGCATATTTATTAAATTCAAATATATGTGTGAATAAATGGACATGTGCTTAATGCCAGCAGGCAGCTGTGTGGGTGAGTTAACAAAATATGCCCCAGTGCATCTCAGCAGTTGCATTTCCTTCCTGTCAATTGTATAATCAACTGGTTGTTAGTCCAGGAAGCAACAATAGTAACAATAACCTTCTTGCTCTACCGTGCACACTAAAAAAGAATTTTTTAAAATTGCATGTTGAATTTTTTAAAGGTGGTTTGCTTTCTTCCATAACTGGATGCTTTGCCCAGCATCTGGTTTGCCACAGAGCTCAGAGAATGATTTTGTGGGAACTTGATATTTCTGCTCCAGGCACCAGAGAATAGAACTCGGCAGCATCTGCATAATCCCTTTGTAATACAGTAAGTTTAAAGCGGCAGCATAATTGTCACAGGTTTCTAAAGATATACACAGAATGAAGTAAAGCAGATTCTGGATTAGAAGGGGCTGCTTGGATCTTGCCCCACTTTTTATGACTAGTTTTATGAATCAGATGGCAAGTGGAATCTACAAGTGGTATCTAGCTGTACCTCTCGGTGTATCTAGGCTTTGCAATACGAATGGCTTTACTCTGTAAGGAGAATGGAAACTACCGATCTCATTCCATTTTGAATTGTAGGTTCAATTCACCCTATGGAGCCAGAGGGGAAAGCACAACCCCATGCTTAATTTACTAGGCAGTCTAGCTTCCAGTTCTAGAGCTTAAAAGTATATCAGCTTCTGTTTAGATAACAGATGAGGATGCTGTTAAGAGAGAAGCATTATTGAGGTGTGGTGATAGCACAGATAGGTGGCCGTGCCTAACTTTCTATATCATGTTTTTAAAGGCCTTATATCTCAGCCTGGACTTCATGTAGGAATATCAGGTTTGAGGTGAATCTGTTTTCTCTGATGGTAATGCAGGCCAGGGCCATATTAAACAAGCAGTCTGTCATTAATATGTTCAAGGTGTCAGAAAGTAAATGTTGATTTTATCATTGTGGCCTGGATTTATTTTTCTCTAGCTTCAGCCTCAAGATGAGGATGAAAGAAATGAATTTGTAATAGAAAGAGGTGAGGAAGAAATTACTAATTAGTTAAAAATTAAATGCTAGAGATTTTGTTTGTTGTGAAAGTCATACAGGATCCGCTGGCTTTATATTTTTGAGGTATTCCACTTTCTGTTCAGGTACAAGCTGTCAATCAAGGCTAATCAAACTGGCACAGTTAACATGATACATCATAAAATTTCACAATCATGTCAACCTGTGATTCTGTCAATCTGATTAAGGGAAATGGGCTAAAAACAATATTGTCATTTTATAATAACACTCAGAAGGTATTACGGAATAACGGTACTGTCAGCTCCCGTGTCTCCACGCCTCACTTCTACCAGAGGCAGCCCTTGCTGCCGACAAATAGCCAGGGGATCAAAGCCATTCCTTGTTCTCACCACTCATGAGGCTTGGCGTAGGGCTGCATAAGTGGAGAATGCTGCCCCACAGCATTTTGCCGGTCTAATTTCTTTGATAAATCAAAAAGGATGCATTTCAGAAAACAGTGTCAGTATTTTATACTCCTTGCCTCATGTAGTATAATATACATGGGCATTGAATACTCTTATTTATTCAGTCAGCATACTTATTATGCATATGTTCTCTTTTTATGAACTTACATTCCAGGGTGTTTCAAAAGCATCCGTTTGAAAAAGCATTGCAGTTAACAGTAAAACACAGGCTACCCGTTGCACCAACCAATAAAACATGGCTCCCTCTGCAAACTTTATGTAGTGCTTTGCAGCCCCAGGATATCATGGTCCCTCATTGAACTAGGAAGGATAATAGACTCTCAACTCAGGAAGCCCCTAGATCTGGGCTCTGTCCTCGACGTTTTCTGAGAATCCTTGCCTGGACACGTGAACTCCCTTCAGTTGGCAGGTCTTCCTTGTGGCTAGTGTGGCTAGATTTTAATTATTAAATATTTCTTTATTGTGAAAAAATAAAAATCACCCCTTCATATTTCTACTATAGATATACCCTCAGATATTTTTATTTTAAATATGCCCTAAAATATGTTTTACAGAAAAAAAATTTACAGAAGGAAAAGATTGGCCAGTCAGTGATTTTCAGTTTTTATTTTTTGTTATTTTTTTAAAGCCAAAGAGACTTCCTGCAAAGACGACTTACCCAAAAACATAAACAAAAACAGATAAAGTAGAACTTCTTTAGTTGTTGGAGGGGGAGTCCGCATTCAACTCCCTCTGACCCTTCTTTTCATGGGGCACTTTTTGTAAATGGCTAAAGTACATGATTTCTAGTGTCCCATTCAAATAATCCCCATGTATTCTTGTGGAATGTATTTTGTTGCTCTGATGCAAGACAAATTCTTTCAGGGAAAATGTCTTGGTGAGGTCTTAAAGTTTCAAGAGACTGAGAACTTTCTAGGTTACTAGAATCAATGGGGAGGTATTCAAGTTGCACAGGTATATGAGGAAGACCAGGCAGCAGTCTCAGCTTGTTAAATGAGTGTTTGGATTATAATTTTCTTGCCGCTTGATTCCTAGGAGCTCTCGTGACCCATCAGATATTCTGGTCATTATTTCCTTAGAACTGAGCATCTCTTGCTGGCCACCTGTACTACACTATGTCCATGTTGCTCTTGACGAACCCTAATTTCTCCAGCTGGCTGCATTCTTTGCTTACTCATAGTTTAATGATGAAAAATCTTAAGATATAGAAAAGAAAACTGGAGTCGAATTGACTAGGAAAAATATATGAGAAATCAATTTGAAGGTATGGAAAGAGTTATTGTAAACTTAATTTATAAGCAGAAAAAATAAAGGTGGGCATGGTAGAGGTGTAAGATCCATAC
Organism: Homo sapiens; assembly: GCF_000001405.40. Classification (NCBI taxonomy): domain Eukaryota; kingdom Metazoa; phylum Chordata; class Mammalia; order Primates; family Hominidae; genus Homo; species Homo sapiens. Next base: position 33,293,349 of record NC_000014.9, read on the forward strand.
CTTCTCTGCCCTGCCCCTTTTCTCAATAAACATTTATTGAGCATCTTTTTAGGATAAAAAGTGTTGATAGACAAGGAAGATACTGTTAAAACATTCTAAAAACATTTTCCAAAGAATATGTTGTGAGTGATTTAATGAGCATAATTGAGTGATTTCAAAAGAGGGGAAAGAAAACACTTAGGATGGTAACCAGTTTTTCCTTGATCATTTTTAAGAAGAGATATTCAATAATATGGTGGAAAGCCTAATACAACGCTGAGTAATAGATGTAAAGGGAAGACTTCTCATGAACGGTAGACATGTTAACTTGAAAAGGGTGGAGGAAAGGATCTTATGATTGTAAAAGGTTAGTAATTAACTGAAAAGAGATATACAAAATTCCAAAAACTACAGTGCCATATTTTGTGTTATGGTGAAGTTCAAGAGGTCAAAATAATACTAATTTTACTTCCAGCAATAGTGAAGAGTTTAGAATTAATTAGCCAGAGTATTAAGGTAATCTAAGAAAATAAACAGACATTTGTCAGTAATTGGATGGCTCAGGGTAAAAGAATCTTTGGCCACTGGTATATGGATCATTAATGCAGCAAGACAACATTTATTAAATAGTGTAGGCAACCTGCTGTGCAGGTGCTAAGTAAGGCAAGATATGTAAGAGGAAGTGCACACAAATAATCACAGGACAAGGCTGAATAAGATGGTACCATGAGAAAAACACAAATTTTGTGCAACTGAGGAGGGAAAGCTTGCTGCCTGCCTGGGTAGCTGGGATGGTCTATGGAAAGGGTTGGAGAGGTTTCTCATTGCATTTAAGCTATAGCCTAGACGTATTACCTTGAAGCCATGGTCTTCCCTTGGACTGCCTCCCTAGCTTTTGCTTTCTCTCTATTCTTCACCCACATTGGTCTTCTTTCAGTTTCTAGAAGTCTCCATGTTCTTTTTCTCCACTGCCTACAGACATATTTACCTTTTTCTGGAATGCTCGATCCCAGGGCCTCATTTTTTTGACCTAATTTTACTTTGGATCTTACTTTCCATCTCATCTGAAATGTGAGTTCCTCAGGGCAGCCTCTTTGATGCTCCATTTTTGGTCTTATTGCTTTGTTATACACTCTCAGTGGCTCAATTCCTTCCTTCATAACTCTTCTAATTATACAGCTGTTAGTGTGATGCATTGTTGAATAAGTCTCTTCCACTGATTGGAAGTTCCATGAAATCAGGGATAGTATTTGTTTTTGCTTGGCTCTATATTCTTAGTATTGTGTGATCAGCATGTATTTAATCACGTGATGATTTAAATAAACTATTTAGAGTAAAAATCTAAATAAGCATCACTACCCGTAAATAATTAAGACCTGATTATCCTTTTCCCAAATTTTAATGGTGTCTGTATTCATTGAATAAAGGAGTATTTATGTTGGGCCTTAAAAGATGAACAGGAATCACAAGTGCCCAAACTGGAAAGTGAGGGAGAGAGCTTTGGCAGATATCAGTGATGAGCATGACCTCAGATGGTCAAGGAACCGATGAGGTGTGCTTTTGCTGAAGCCACGTGGAAGGAATGTGGGGCCAGATCTTTTAGCGTCTTGCCTTCCAATGTGATGCTGTGGTGTTCGGGATCTTGCAGTGAAATTTGAACTCTTGGAGAGTGACTTTTTAGGACCCTAGGAGGGAAAGATAATTTTATAGAAAAAATAGACTTTTATTTATCACAAGCTAAGATTTACAAAAGAATTTCAACCAAGTGTGTTGTTGGGATCCCAAAACGTAGCTATGCAAAAATAATATTTTTAAAACGAAAACAAATTTAAAACACCAAGGGATTATTATAGTGTGTAGCACAAAACAATGGAGCGTCCCCAAATTAGCCTACGATAAAGTCATGCTCTGATGACTAAAAACAGAATAAATACCTCCCAGCTCCCGTAAGTACTGATGAAGGGTAGGCCTAAAGTTGGTGTTTTCAATTTCTGCCATTGAAAGGAGACATTAATAAAAGACTTCATTTTAAAAGTCCTTTTCTGATACTGAAAGCCTGCCACTGTGTACTCCGCATGCTGGCTTTCATTTCTATCTAGCTCCACTTTGTCTTCCCTCAGCCTTCTAGATACTACTCTGTAGATTCCAAAAATGAGGCAAATCATACTCCTCAAGTTAAGGATTCACCAGCCAAGTAGTTATACACAAGGAAGAGCTGCTTATTGCTGTCAGCATCAACTTCACAGAATAAGTGTAGGCTCACTTGCCTAGGTAAAGCATATAGATTGGCTCTAAGTGAGTATCGCTCCCTGTGAATAATTGAGATTTGATTATCCTTTTCCCAAATTTTAATTAGGATACTTATGTAATGTATTTTATTTTAATGCAGAGGTATTTATAGAGTCCATAAGGAGTTATATCGGTTCAAACATTTCTCCTAAAAAGAACAAAGGTTTTATTTGCTAGCTGAGAGTTCAAGATATCCTTTTGGAGATGAACAGTATTGCTCACTTATAAGAAGCAGACAGTCAGAATACAATGGGATGGAATTAGAAGACCTGTCTCTTTCAGCAAGTTAAGACTTTAATATGGTACCCCTGTATAAATGTAAGAAAGTTAACTCATTATTTGATCATGTATGCTGCAGTGCTTTACAAATACTAAAATCCTTAAGCAATACAAGACATAACATATTCTGTCCTTTTAAATTACTGAAAGACGAAGACTCTCGGTTTCTTCCAAATGTTTCCCTGAAACAAAACAGAAAAAAAATGCAAGCGGTGACTTAGAACTTTGGAATTAGCCTTGATTTTTCAGATGCTACTATACCAGCAGAATGAGTTGGACTTTCCTTCTGCCATGTAAAGAATATTCCTGGAAAGTTAAATTTAATTCCTATAAGATACTTTTTTTTCCATTGAAGATGTTGTTGTTACTTCATTGTCTCTTTTAATAGATATATATTTATATAGACATCATTCAGTATGTGTACATGTACACACATCTACCCCAATAAACACACATACACGGCCACCTTACTCAGTAGTGAAAACTTCGCTTAAAAGGTTATAGTTTTCTTTTGTAAGTTCAGATTCTTCCATGCCTATCTATCTGTGTCTTTACAGCATTTCTTTTCTGGTGTTAATTCAAGGCATTGATTTAAATCTATTAAGCCCAGTAGAGTTGTGTGTGTCTTAGATAATGTAGTCCTAACAGATGAGGGCACCTGGGGTGCAGCTGGTAACCACCACTATATCACAATTATGTTTGGATGTAGATGTGACTCCCTGTATTACAGAGATCTGCTTCCAGATTTGCAAAGCCTGCATAGAAATTTGGTGTCCTATGATAGCCACAGAATTCTGAGTAGAAAGTTTTTCGACTCCATTTTTCTTGGTTCACGTAGAAGCAGAAGTGTTCAGTTTAGATGACGGAAATGACAAAGCTGTGGTCAAGAATTTTATTAGTCCGGGTAAAATTATGTTTGTTTTCCTGACTAGAAAACTGGGAGCTACTTATAGGTGAAAAGGGTCTTTTCTGTTCAAGCTGATGACTGTGGCTAACTAACCTAGCTCTGTTCCTCTAAGGGACAAAGAACAGGGTCTGTACTTGAGCCAGCAGGCAGTGCTGGACTTTATTTAAGAATAAATCGCATCCTTTTCTTTCCTTTGATGCTCAAGAACCCTATTTCTCATCCTTTTTTTCTCTCTGCATACTTAGTGATGACATATGTAAAAATCAAAAGACTTTGAATTTACATAAACTGAAAACATAACTAGAATGGAGCGATACTGCCTATAAATGAGTTGAGAACATCGATTTGAAATGCAGACTTCCTGGTTCTAATCCTAGCTCTGCCATTTACTGGGAATGTTATCTGAGCAAATTACCTCTCTTTGCCTCAGTTTCCTCATCTGTAAAAGAAGGAACTTTACCTCTGGGTTGTTGTGAGTATTGCATAACTTAATATATACAAAACATTTAGATTTATGCTATATAATGTATCATAAGCTCCCAGTAGATGTAATTTATAGTAATTATCTGGAAACATTTATATATACTATTATTCATAATATAGTAAAGGAATATCACAAAATAAAAGTGCTCAGTTCCCATAATGAAAAAAGGGAGACTTTCATTTTCTTGCTGTATCTCCCTGTTACTCTCATTTATTGTTATTTTTTACTTGGAGATGCTGAGCATGCATTTCACTAAAAATGTTGCTCAGTAGCCATATTTGGTAAATTGATTGCTAGTATAGGCAAATATAAAATAAAAAATAAATGCACACACACAAAAAAACCAAACAGACTAAAATAAATATTTTGGGTTCTCCTTGGTCCTGCTGTCAGGATCCCTGCTGCTTGCATGTAAAAAGAATCCTTTCCTTTCATTAGGAGGAAATGGGAGTGCTGACATTTCCAACTCTTGCCAGAGGACCTTTCTGAGCTCGCTAGTTCACTGGTGTTGGAGCCTTGTGCTGCTGCCACCGCGTGAGAAATGTTATTTAACATCACAGCGAGTATCACTTCACCTATTCCAAGTTTTCAGGCAGCTTCAGATGAGTCCTTCTCTGCCCTCCTTTTGGACTGGCTTTGTAAAGGTGCACATACTGGAGATTTAATCATACACTATGCAAGGCAGAGAGCAACTGGTTATTAAGATTTTTGAAGGCCAGGTGCGGTGGCGCACAGCTGTAATCCCAGCACTTTGGGAGGCCGAGGTGGGTGGATCACCTGAGGTCAGGAGTTCGAGACCAGCCTGGCCAACATGGTGAAACCCCGTCTCTACTAAAGATACAAAAAATTAGTCAGTTATGGTGGTACATGCCTGTAATCCCAGCTACTCGGGAGGCTGAGACAGGAGAATGGCTGGAACCGAGGAGGTGGAGGTTGCAGTGAGCCAAGATCGTACCACCGCGCTCCAGCCTGGATGACAGAGGGAGCCTCCATCTCAAAAACAAACAGAGATTTTTGAGGCACTTCCTGCAGTGAAAGGTCTTTGGTGGTTTCCAATAAAACACCCAAATGTGTTTTTTTGTTTTGTTTAGTTTTGCTTTGCTTTTTCCCAGTTAGCTCTTTCAGATTGTGCTGGGATAAATATTAAGTTTCAGGGAAATCTTTAGAGACTCCTCTTTGTGACACTTTTGCCTGTGAAGTCTGATCATCTTTGGAAATTATGTAACTTGATGACCAGCTTACATTTACATGAATAAATCAATATTTTCAGACCTAAAATATGTTTATTTCTACCTCTTGCTAACCCCTTTCTTCCTATCAAGGTCTATCCTTTCCTATATGTTTTCCCTTTCCATTTGGTCTTTGGGTATCTACTATGCACAGAGATGTAATGTCATCTTTATTTTAAATGATTCTAGGAAGATAATGTATAAGGGGAAATTCGTTTAATAAAAAAGTGATATTTGACATTCTTTTCCACGTAAATAACAAAGGCAATAAATATTATTATAATCTGACCATATCTTTTAACTAAACAGAATATCTGGAATTTGAATCATTAGGAAAACAGGAACAGAAATAATCCTTCCTTCTTTTCCTATTTGCCAACCCCAACCACATCCTATAATGGTGACTGCTTCAAGGACTGGGGGGCCTGTATTCATTTTATAATCTGTATCACCACCAAATCACCACAAATTAATACACAATTTAAAGTTAAAAAGTGGGATTTCAAGGTAAACGTAGCATTGTGACAGGTCCATTTGCACGCCTTCTCATGGATTCTTGCCTTTAAGGCCCCAAATAGAGTTTCTGGAGCTGCCATAGATCTATGTCTATATACCAAAGTTAAGCTGAGGTATAAGTGAATATGTAACTTTGGCCACGTAGTGTTCAAACACTCTTCTAATGGTGTCAGTAGTTTTCCCCTGAGATACCGTCTTTCCCTTGAGCCCACATCTTAGCTTCTGGGTTAGGGAAGAGTTATTTCCATGGGAATGGGTTTGCGATTCAGTTTTTCCAAGTGGAGTTCTGGATGTCGCTGGCCATGCCATCATGATTGGTTTAGCAATGGACATCTGAGTCTTCTGCTGGGGCTGTTAGAAGAAAAGCGTGCCCTATTCTACAGGACCTGAACCTGAGAAGACACAGCTTCGGTGGTATTGGCAGCCATCTTACCACCTCATAGAGCCTGAGCTTGACTTGAAGCCCACCAAGTAGAAAGAGCTGGGAGATGGAGGGAATCCAGATCTTGCAGACAGAATTTGAACCCTGCATAAAACCCTATCTGAAATCCTAGAAGCTAGTTTCTTTTTTTTGTGTGCTTAAGTCTGAGCTCAGTAGGATTCTAGTTGTGCTTAAGTTTGTGCTGAGTTGGAACCTCTGTCTCTTTAAATCAGAAGAGTTTGATGCTACAAAGGAATAGGAAAGGGGGAAAAAAAGCAATGATAAAATATATAGAATTCCAGAGCATTTTTTTTTCTTTGGAGTGAAATAACATTAAGGTTTAGAAAAATATTTGGAACATTATTTGACCTTATTCAATGAATTATTATAGCAGTTAGGTTCAATATAGTAGTTTCTGAATAGAAAGTGATTTTCTAAGCACCAAGCACATGTGTTATAGGTCATGCAAAGATATGATTTAATTACATATGCAGGTCATCCTCATGATAATTCAAAACCGTAGTACAGAGGTTAACTTTTAAATTTGAAGAATGACAAGATTTGCCACTATTTCAGGAACCCTGCAAGACCACTCCCAGTATCTTAATTAAAATATGCTTTGAGTATCTTTCTTTGTGATTAAAACATGTTCAAAGATTTCAGTTTACATTTGATTAGAAACTTGAGCTTCTTTAAAAATATCTAGGATAGTATTCTGTAAGTGAAAAATGTTGGCTTGATTTGGGTAGCTATTTATGCAAGTCTTGTTTCCAAATACATTTAAGAAAGAATTAAAAATCATGTTTTAGCTCTAAGTATTACAGTCTGAGGTTTGCAAGCTGTGCTTTTAATTGCTCTTGATGCTTGTAAGTTGGGCTAGTAAAACAGCTTGCTTTCAACAACGACCAAATAATATTGGCTTAACTATTATAATGAACCACCACGTAACATTGGCCTAGCTATTGAGATTTAACAAAACTACTGTGATTGAAAAGTTATTCCTTAAATCATCAGCCCAACCTCTGCAGCATGCTGCTTGAAGCATGCAAAGTGTACTCCACTTTAAAGTGACACTGCAAAGCAAGTGTGGGTCTTTGTGCTTCAGATGAAGTGTGAAGACTCTGAGAAGCTGAGGGGACCCACAGGAGGAGTGGGCAGAGCTGGAGTTCTCATCCCCAGAACCTAGCTTTACCCTACCTCCCTGGACCAGGGGCTGGCCATAGAGCAGGGGAGAGGCTCTGCATTGCGGGTGAGGGGTGGAGTCTCCTTTTGTAGGGGAGGGGTTGGGGGCCTGGAGAGAGCACCTCCCAGGATCCCCCATGGAGGGGAGCATGGCTACTAGACATCTGTTAGGGACCGTATCAGCTGTAAGCCAGCCAGGAGCCTCCAAACACCCCTCTAAGCTGCCCTGGCTCAGATTGGGGACCTGAGTCCCCCAGCACCCCTCAGAGGCAGGCCCAAGCTTAGAAATAGGATTGAGGGCCAGGTAGAGGAAGGTGGACTCCCAGCCTCTAGGCAGACCAGAGATCTGGAGAGAGGGGATAGCAGGTGGCTTTGATATTTTCTCTTGCCCAAGACTTGGGTTTGACAAGCACTTGGTGGGTACTACTCCTCATGTTTTTTCTCAGTCTCCTGCCCTGGAGCAGCAGCTCCCAGATCCAGGTCTCCTACTGAAGGTTCACCCTTCCTCTGCTGCCACTTCTCAACATCCACCTGTGGGAATATTATGAGATTCATATGAAGTACTATGCCACTTTTCTTCCATATCCCCCTGACGCTGCCTGAGCTTCCTGAAGGTCCTCACAGTTTGCATATCATTCAGGCCACCTCTAAACCCCACCTAGGTTTTATCATTATATATATATATATATTTTTTTTTTTTAAATCTAGCTGTAATGGGTTATTTCATAAATAAGGCTTGGGGCTGGAGCAGGGGCCTCCAAGCCTCTAGCTCCTGCTCAAAAGAAGAAAAAGTTACTTGTTTGTGGGTCAAGAAAAAGAAAGTTTGTAAAACTCAAATTCTACTAGCCTGTTAGACAGAGTGGGAAGTCTTGTGAGCTTCTTTTCAGTGGTGTACTCCACCAGACCTCCCAAAGCTAAGCGTAGTGGGTACTCTTGGCGAACTGGAATGTTAAAATGACATTTGGATTTGAATTTAACTACATGATAGTTTCTGAAAAAGTGTATATGCTTTTGTAGCATTACTAAAATACTTATATAGGCACAGATGTTCAGATATTTTAAAGTACAAGAACAATACCAGGGATAAAGCAAATCAGCAGTATAAACTACTAATTCTGTAAGTACCATGGTACTGGTAACACACAGAGAATTATTTTTCTTACGTTATACATCAGTAGCCATGTTCATTTTTAGTATTTTTACATTTATCATTGTTTTCCCATGGTGTAATGATAGGTACTAACTTCCTTATAACTCTACAAATATGTTTTTCGTATAATATAAAAGAAACAGGCCAACAGTAGTTGTTCCAAGTGAACACTGGCCTATTTCTGACATGACTTGGAAGCTGGTGCCCTCTCCGTGCGTGGCTTGCCTTCCCCTCCGGAGGGGTGGCTTATGTCTGTTTTATTCACCAATATATCTCAGCATCTAACTGGATTCTCAGTAAATGTTTTTAAATAAATAAATGAATTGATGAATAATGATTAAATTAATGAACAAATTAATAAACAGAAATAGGTTCTTGATTTGGGAGGGAGGATTTGCATACAACAACTTGTATGTAGATGGACTTGAAAATATAATTTTCTTTCTACTACTAACAGTGGCATTATTAAGGAATTAGGAAGAATAGGTAAGAACACTGAAGCAAATAGAAATCTCAGAGCACAGTGTTGAAAGGAATAGGTTAAGATCTGAAAGAGTGATGACATACCTAGTCCTGCAGCTGGGACTAAGTGAAACTCAAAAAATGATGGATGAGAATTCAGAAATTAACAAGGGTCAGTATGGCCAGAAGAAAATTGAAATGAATTGTAACATGGGTAAAAAACGGTGAGATCCAGCCATCATTATTAGTCTATGCATCAAAGTGTGAAAAGTCGTTGATGAAAGAAACTGAAATGGAGAATTATTTTTAGGCTTTGGAATAGGAAAGCTGGAAATACACTAGAAAGGCATAAAATAAAACATAGACTGACCTAGATTTTATAAGACCAAAGTACCCAAAAGACAAGCCAACTTCCAGAGCGATGGCTTTATTCCCACAGTCTACGTTACGCTACATAACTCCTACTAGTGGTAGTTCTGGAGGATGTTAGTTCCTACACAGTGATGATCTGGTTAGTTCAAAATATCTGTGGTTAGAAGGAAATATCTGAGCTTTCACTCTTTTGTTTCCCATTTCATATTTCCACATAGAGCAGTTACACTCTGTATTTTAGAGTCCTATGGATGATGTGGTTGTGCTAGGAAGTGCCTATAAGCCTCTCTCTCTTTTTTTTTTTTAATGCCCCTATATATTTTTATTTTCTATTAGCACCAAAAAAGCTGTTAGCATTTGTGGCCTTGATCAAGCTTAGTCACAGCTTTCTCATCTTTAAAAATGGCTTCTCGCAACTATTCCATTTGGAAAAGCTGTTTATTTTTGGTGACTTTTGGCCATCAGGACTTTATATATAACTAATACAAAATGTACTTTGGAACTTGTCGCCAGATATTTTTTTCCTTTTTTCAGTCCTGAAAATAGTGTGGTAAAATTTAGAACCTTCATTCTAGAAGTTACCTGTGACTTTTTAATGGTGAATAGGATTGTGTATTCGAACAGAGTGGGTACTAAGGTAATTGTTAGGATAATTATGTAAAAGGACAGCCAATTATAGATTTATAATTTACAGAGGAAAATTAGAACTTACTCAAAATTTAACCTACTTTAAAAAATCTATATAACATTTGAAAATACTAATATCAATTATTATAGAATATTTACTATGTAAATTTCTAACTCTTATTCACACTAAAAAAAAAATCAAAGTTCAGCCAGCAAATATTACATTTGTAAAGAAACATGAATATACAAGTTTAAATAATCAGAGTTATTCTATGGTAGTTCTTTCATTTCTAGGTTATTTTCTGGATTTTCCAAAACTTTTGGGGAACAATGGAAGATGGCCATTTTTCATTATTAGCAAGCATAGATTGATAGATTCTTCTAAAATTATGAATAATAGAAAACCAAATAAAACCTCAAAGTAGGTTTGTTGCCTCAGAGTAGCTATTCATAGCATTAAGGGATAGATGCTTTTGAGAAAGGAAGTGAAACATCTTATTGTATATCATGATATTGTTTATTGGAGAATAGCAGTTATGCTGAATAAAAAGAAAATAAGATGTCTCAAATTCCAGTAACTTGTCTTGTTGTGGTTTGATTGTTGGTGGGAGATGATGATTTACAGGACAGAAACATAGAAACTCACTACCAAGCTTTGTTTTTGTTTTTGTTTTTGTTTTGAGACGGAGTCTCGCTCTGTTGCCCAGGCTGGAGTGCAGTGGCACCATCTCGGCTCACTGCAAGCTCCACCTCCCGGGTTCACGCCATTCTCCTGCCTCAGCCTCCCAAGTAGCTGGGACTACAGGTGCCCGCAACCACGCCCGACCAATTTTTTGTATTTTTAGTAAAGACGGGGTTCACTACCAAGTGTTAATTCCAATTTTTATTAATGATTCATCTTAAGGTCTTGAGAAACCTCCATAGTTGCTCTGTTAACAGATTTAACTCTTGGAAACCATTCATAAGATTTAATGTGGAACTTGAAGTTGAACTATTTGTAATAGTCCATGCTTGGTGAGATGTTGGAGTTCTCTGTGACAGTGAATTTCAGTTATCCTTTTTAATTCTTTTTAAGCTATTTCAAATAGAAGTTAAATTATCTAGTTTGAATCTTGTTTTACAAAGTCAGCTTAATGTTACTCATAGAAAGTTGGTCCTCAAACACAATCCTATTTTCTTATATTAGTGTCTATCAAACATGGCACACATGCTGAAACAGTAGGGTGTAGGTGGTTGATTGAATAACATCTAGTAGCCTGGAGTTTTATCTGTCCATATATTTTTCCCCATTATTTTCTAAACATAAGAAATTTGGATTAAGAACAAAGGAAAAAATATGTTTCCTTAGGGCTACATATGTGACATTTACCCTATCATTATTTTCTAAGCATATGTTCAGAAAAAATATTGGTACTATTTATATTTTAGCTTAAAATACTCATTTCTAAACAGTATAATGAGCTAGGTTTATCTAGCATCTATAACCAAGCTATGAATACTCTAAAATTTTGTGTATGCATGTTTATTTCATTTTCTATAAAAACACCTTCCTATTTTTGGAAATATTTGTTCTAACAAATATTCCAAGGGTTGGTGAAATTATTATATAAGTTTTACATATATGAAGACTCTGAGTAATATGGAATCCTCACTGTCGCATTTGTAATAATCAGAATTTCAGATATCCTAAGCAGCTACCATTTACCCAAGCCCAATTACATATATAGTTATCTATAAATGTCCAGCATTGGTGTGGGTGTGTCTTGAGGCAGAAGTAGACAAGAGACAATAATAACTAGGCAAATAATTACATTGCCCTGGAGAAAGGGAAGGATTTGAGAGCTAAAAAACTGTGATAAGGAGGTGTATGTTTTTTAAAAGTATGGGATTAGGGCTAATCCAATGGATGAAGTAGAGAGAGAGAGAGAATTGTTATTTTTCTTGAATCATCATTGTATTCCAAATAAATAATAATATAATTATTTTTCACTAGATTATTATTTAAATAGTCATTTTGCTTCTTAAGTTAGCTATATTTAATCAGAGAAGAAAATAATTAGAATAATTTATCTGCCAAATTCGCCTAAATCCTTTAAGGCAATTCTGTTTCTAATGAAACACCACTATGGAAATCAACATAAAACCAACTGACTTTTCATCTAGATAGGACATTCTCACCTTGCAAAGGGTGAAAAAGAGGATGTGTGTCATTTTCAACCTGAAAACTATTTTATTTTCACTGTGAATGGGGCTCTTAATAACTTGATGAGTTTTTGTAAGTCAGAAGTCATGTCTGATTTTTAAAACAAATCAAGTAAGTATTTTCTGGTTATATATTTACTATACCTAGTATATTGAGAATATTTTTAAGATTGGTAATTGGAAATGAAGACATTGATTACAGCTGTATCCAGGTTTTTGTAGCCTTCTAAAAAGTCACCATCATATTTTCAATTGAATGGCTAAATAGTCTACCAAAGGTTACAGAATCTCACTGGATTCTCCAAACTCTTTGCACCAGTGAGTTATATTATTGTGACACACAGAAATAACCATATTGCTGTTGAAAAAATGTGTCCACCAAAAGTTAAAGTTGACACTATAATTTTAAAGAAAACTTTTACCACTTCTTCTATGCCTGGTATTCTCTGAATTTGCAAGTGTAGGCCCAGCAAAACATTAAATGTTTGATTTATTGGTTTGTTTATAGTATGCTGACCTAGGAGTAGGGTAGGAAAGTGGTTGGGTGTTTTTGGTTTTTTAGACCAGCATTATATATTATATTTCATTTAAACACAATTACTGTATACTGTTTCCCCCATATTCTTAAGTTAGGACAAAACAAAAGTAAAATATTTAAACTAGTATATAAAAAGAATGGTGAATCCATGATATAACGATATAAAACAGCAACACATGAAAATTAATATTCTTAATATTTGACAAAAACTCCAGGTTATTTTTATCTCTTTCTAAGAATGCCCATTATTTAATTAGTAAGAAATCTTCAGACACTTCAGAAGTTGTAGTTATAAATAACATTTTTCTCATAAACTGACCTAGTGATATTAAATTGGTACAAAGCTCAAAATCAGTATTTAACATTTAATGGAACGAACAAACTAATTCTGCAATTTAACTCAACATTTGCAGTAAGATGACTTGTACCCTAATGGCTTGTAATTAATCTTTCTGAAAATCATATTTCTGATAGTCTGCAGATTCGGGCTTTATCTAATACATAATGTTCATTTTGAGCCTTTAATTGCATTTAAATTAAAATTGGCTTAGCAGGAAGATGAATTGTGGGAATGCATCAAACCACCCAGCATGTCCTGAAGATGTGAGCCTGAAAATGCAATTTGGTGGAGATGTGCAGAATCATTTGGAGTTCATTAATTTGTATTGCACAGGTAGTTTTACTAAAGTAGGTTATTTTCTTTGAAATTTATATTTATGTTTATGTCAGTAGCTGAATATTGTATTAGCCCTTACATCTATTAGAGTTTATTAACCTGGCCTAATGGAGGTTGTTCATATTGAGAAGAGAGATAATTTGTGTTTGCCCCTCATTCTGATTTGGCAAAACTGACACCGTAAAAATGCATTTGAGAGGGAAGGTTGGGAAGGGGAGCAGAGTCTTTGTGGAGGAAGTCAAACAAGTGTCTATTCGGGTTCCAGAGTAAGCACTCTGGAAGAAGCAAACGAGGCCTCCTCTGAGAAGACCTTCTTACTGCTGACCTTCTAAGGCCTTCCAGGCTGAATAATCTCTTTTTCTTTGTGTGACTAAGGCTCTGACCTGGCTATTGCAGTGAAGGCTTTTTGAGGTGTAACTCCGTTTGGTGGCTTAATGTGCCTGGGCTTTGTCCAGCCAGCTTGTAAGTGATTCCTTAACTTGCAGATGCTACTGAGGTTATCCAATTTAATTATAATGTCACTTTACAATTATAAGGGAAAAGAGGTTTTTGCGTTGTCTAATGAATACAAATTTTCTGCAATTTGAAAATTCAAAGAAATAAAAATTAACATTTGTCCTCTTTGCCAGAGAATTTACATATGTGCAACTGATACTAATAAGTAAAATAATTCCATTACCTGAATTCATTAAACACATGTGCTTTTTATTTTGGAGATTGTATATCGTTCTTATTAATAAAATGATACTGTTAGCATTTGCCATTCTGGACTCATTTTTCCCCCTTTGCAGACAGTGTAATTAGGGGTGGAAAAAGCTTCAGGATGAGCAAATGCATGCTACAGAAATGAATTATATAATTGTGATCATGATTTTCCCTAAAACTCTTCCTGCCAACTGTAACGTTTTTCACCTCACCAGGTTTTTTTTCAATGTGTGTGTGTGTGTGTGTTCGTGTGCGTGCATGTTTGTGTGCTGACTTATTTCATGAAAATGTGGAAATAGTTCTCCATTCCAACAATCTGTTACAAGTTCCTAGTTTGTGGTCGGAGATGATAGAAGCCCATATTCATTTAATATTCTCCAATCAGAACTTGACAGAGGTATTGCTTATTTTCTCATTTCATCACTGAAGCATGCTGTTGTAGTTTAGTCCCTAATTACTCTCAGACTGAGACGCTCCGAATATCCCCATGGTGGTAATATTTTCCTGCCTGGGTGAGTCATTACGTTGTTTGGCAGCCTGAAACACCAGCCTTCCGTTGTTGGAACACTACCCCTCATGTAGCGCCACATCCTCCCTTCATTGCTGTCTGCTCTGCGACTTGGGTCCCGCTGCAACATTTCAAGCTATCCTGTACGCAATCACATTTGCCTGCCTTCTCCCTGACTGATTGGACTGCTGCCAGTTCCCTCTTCAGGGCCAAGGACAGGAGAATGGGGGGTATCTGAATAGAACTGCTTAATGATCTAATGGACCAGTGCCTCTCTCCCGCTGAGAAAGAGGGCTTATTTGTTTGCTGCTTACAGGAAAGGTCAGGGAAATCCTTTTCAACAAAGGCTGTGACAGTGAGAATGTGCCATACCGTACATTACTGGTGTTTGAATAACTTCATACCTTGGGTTTACCCCACCCCCAACAACAAAACCAAACACTTTTTGGTCTTTATTTCATGTTCAATATTGTCCAGATGGCAGAAAATGGAAGTGATGAAGCTTGGCTTCACACAATAGCTTATACCAAATGCCGAATATCAGGAAGCTTCACAGGTATTCAGTTCTGAAGAGTGTGATTGAAGTTTGGAAATTTGAAAATAGCCAACATTTTCTAAAGGGACTATTGCATAGTTTATATATATATATATATACATACACACACACACACACACACACACATACATACATTATATATATGTATATCTATATATATGATCTATCTACACACTTGTGCACACACACACCCCTTCAGGGATATATATTTTATTTTTTAGTAGAACTTGGAAATTTGTCACTTTTGGTTTAGAGGTATGTTCCTTAAATAATTTTCCCGGTTGATCTTTCATCTGTTTGCATTTCATTAAAATAACCACAAATAACTGTTCACCACAACATACTGGGAAGTTTTGGATAAAAGCCTTTTTAAAAAAATTTTAAATAAACAAATGCAATGACATAAAATTGTATTAATAGTGCTTAAGTTATAATGCTAAGGATAGCATTCTAGGAAAAAGTTTTTATTATATATAGCTGGCACTTTATATCTTGGTAAACAGTGCTAGGAACTGTGACGTAGTTTCTTAGATGGAGAAATTTGCGAAAGAAAAACATACTAAAAGGAAAAAACAAACTTAGATGAGCCAGCTATCACACTAGTAGATATTTGGTGAAAAATTAAGTGACTAGAAGAGATTTAGATTAAGCCATGGAGTATCCAGTTGCTACCAGTGCCTGCTTCTATTGAGATGTTTATTTAAACAAAGAAATCATCAAACAATAGTTTGAAGGAAGTTGTTTGTTTTTCCTCCTTTTCCTTTTTTATATTTTCTGAAAAAGGAAAAGAGAAGGCAGGAGAGGTTTGTCCCTCCATGTCACGGTTCACCTGCCTTGGAGGTGGAGTGTGGGAAGCCTTGCAGTCTGCTCACTCAACTGTATTTGACTAGGCCGTCAGCCCCTCAGCTTTCACAAGCATTGAATATGTCAGAAATCTTTCAGAGAAAGTGTACATTTTAACTGGACTGTTTCTGGTTTATATTTAATGCTGTTTAAAAAGCTTCAAGCATGTTGATGTCCAGGAGGCTCTCAAATGTGTGGGCTGTGCGACTCTGCTGCGTTGTCAGTGGATGTGTGATTCCAAGCAATTAGGATAGGAGACAGTTGGTGCAGATAATTCCTGGATCTCTAAGAAGCTTGGAGTAGTTTGTAAAGCAACCTGAAATTAACCTTTTCTCCAAATGGGCTGTCTGTGCCTGGAGTAGGATTTTTCTACTGGGTGTACCACTTTAAAGGAATGACTCTTCTGGCAGGTGTAACCACTGATTTCCTTTAGAAGATTCCATGTTTATTGCTTAATTTTTAAAATGGACTGTGAAATGCTGTATATGAACAAATTATTACTGTGATTAACATGGTGACAATTATTTTCTGTAAGTCTGCCTTCCCCTGGCATGTTAAAAGGCGAATGCTCAGCTAGCTATGGAGGTGGGGGAAGTAGTTGTCATATTTCCCTCGTGAGAAGTCCTGGCCCTGCAGAGGGAGGAGGGTCCCTCTAGCACCCATACTTCCTGCTGGAATGTTGGGCTGGGTGAGCATGGAGAGTCATTGTCTTCATACCGTTGGTATGATCCAGTTTGTTTTCACCTTTACTACTGTAAGAAGAAAGAAAGAAATGTAGCCATAAAATGTATAGAAACATGGCCTTCAGGTGCTTGAATTTATTATTTTCTCAAGCTAACATGTAGTGAATGAAGGGTACAACATCCATGTGTACACACACGTCTCCACCCTGGTTGGAGTTTAGTGATACTAAATGATGTTTTAAGAAGGGACTTGTATCCTTCTAATTTATAGCCTGTGGATTTCTAAAGAAGTGTCCTAGGTCTCTTTCTCAGCTAGTAGCCTCAAACTGTAAAATGCATAGCATCTGAAAAAAAAAAAGTATAGCTTAAAGGAGAACTGTTTATCCTTGGTGCCAATTTTCTCTGCATAACATTATTTCCAGAAAATTACTGGGGGATTTCCTGTGAGGAAAGAGGGGATGGGGGCAGAGAATTGACAAAAATGAGTAGAGAGCAAGACAGACCCTCACGTATTGAAGAACAGATTCTGTAGTCTTGGTAGCTGGCAGAAATGTTAAGTGCTTTTCACAGTCAACATTCAAACAGATTATCAGATGGCATATTTCACCCTGTTGTTACTTTAAATGAAGTGACCATGAAATCAACAAATCTGCTGTCAGGTGCCTGTCACTAAGATAGTTCTTTCTGTCACACAATGCCTCACATAGCAGGTAATGTGTTTTTAAGAATCAGTCCTGTGTCACCTCATCAAGTCCTTGTTAAAAAGATGAAATAAGACGGATGGTGTTGTGTACCATGGAGTTGACTGAAATTCAGTAGAATGAAATGTATGGTACACACACACACACACACACACACACACACACACACACACACACAAATACTTCAGAGAAAACAACCTTAGTATTAAGACTACAGTCTGTTACTGCTTTCTTGTGGGTCTTTGCTTGTGACCTTAGGATCACTGTGCACTTTTAGTTCTTATTTAATTCTAGACTTCAATTAAATTAGATTTTGAACTCACTGATGAAGACTAGGCAGGTTAGGTTTGTGCCACGTGGTGTATGGTTCTGCAGAGTGAAAACACAAAACTGACCTAGGATCTCTTGAACATGCTTGTTTTCCTTCCATGAAGTGAGGTGCTAATTTACTGAGCTATATGGAGTGTCACAGAATATTTTTGTTGAGTTTTCCTCTTGCCTTTTGGGGTATTCTCTGGATGTTTGTCGTCCTGTCTCAGCTGTCCTTTGGCAAAGTGCTCTCAGTATTTCGAAATAATAATAGAAAAATCAGAAATTTTTCTGAAAACCATATGAACAGTGCAGTGAGCACCCACATCTGTTTGTATATTGATTGACCATGGTTTTATTCAATCAAAGGCCTTATTCATAAAAGAATACATTTTATGTGTAAGTTTCCTCTGGTATATTAGTGGTCATAAGTATTATGTTCTCCTTGTGGAATATTAAGTACAACACTGAACTTATATATCCTACAACTTCTGGTCAGAATCATTGATGCCATGGTGCAATAGGTTTTTTTTCTTTTAATACTACTGAACTTGTGTCATCTGGATATAGCTGGTAGATAATTCAGTAGCAATCTTGTTATAATTTTAAGTCAAAATCCCAGAATGTCAGAATATGGATTGCAATACAAGGTAGCCTTAATTCATGCATGCATGAGTCCGTCCCATCAATCCAACTCTGAGTATTTATCATAGAGCTGTACCAAATTTGGACATAATAAAAGTAAATAAATACTTGCTTTCCAGGAATTCAGTCTGGTGGTGGAGGCGGGAAAAGGATTATTAATACCTATGGGTGATACAAAAGGTGTAACTTGGCCTGAGAATGACAGGAAAGACTGCACAACCAAAGTAATCTTTGAGATGAATCTTGAAGGATGAACGGGAGTTCATCAGAAAGAGAGGAAAGGAAGGGTATGCATGCCAAGGCATGGAGAGGGAAATAGGCATGATATGTTTTGGAGAAGGTTGAATAGTTTGGTTGGACTATATCACAAGGAAGGTTATGTTCCAAAGACTTCATTTTTGAAAGATCTGGAAAGGGAGCTTTCCTTAGAACAACACTAAAGCATTTGGTGAGTTGACTTGACATACAGTAGTCAGAGCTCTGGTCACATTATAACGTGGGTGTCATTAGGAGAGAATATTGAGCTATTAACAAATCAGCCAAAGGTCTTTTTAGATAAGAACAGTCTCAAGATAATTGCTATAATTATTACTTACTATGGATATTGCTACTACTGGTATTTTTTTCTATTTATGTTTTGTATGTAAGCATTGGTCCTTCGAGTTATCTTTAGACTTGTAAAGATGTATTTCTAGATGTTCTTCCCCAGGTTGCATTTGTAATGAGACTTGCAGCTTTCTTCACACTTCCTTACAGCTTGGTTGATAAAAATCACAATTTTTATTGTGTGTGTGTGTGTGAGTGTGTGAAATATTCAGCTAGATAATCACACCTGTAGGCTCTTGTAACAACGGGAGTAATATATTTTATTTTTTTGAAATCACTATGTTCCAATTACCATTTGAATTAAAAAGTTGCAACATTGGGTTGTCATTTATGCTGCTTAAAGGTCTTAACTATAGAGCTATCATTTGTAGTTTTAAATTACCGATCACGTCTTTAGTATTATCTTTAATGCATATTATACTTATGGAATAAGTTGACAGGTATATTTTCCTTATGCTTGTGGTTATTGATTTTTCCAGCCTTTGACGTGAAGCTCTGTACTTGAATGTACGTGGTATAATTAGCATTTTTCTCAGATGTTGTGAGGATGACTGAAACAAAATCAAATAGAAAACAAAAGCCTTAGAGAGAGATACGTAGATATAGGCACAACTTTTAGTGGAGTAGGGGGAAGCCATTTATAATTTTATTAACTCATAGACATTTGAGGTTATGATTTCCTATCATTGGTCGTTATATATACATAGAATTTTGGTGGTTGGTCCTTTAATTATGGCATCCATTTAGAATATTCTAGTGTCTTAAAGTGTTTATTGGGAATTATGGAACTTGCTTTTCCTGTCCTGAAATGAGCTCATGAAAATGCATGAAGGCTCTTGTCATTTGAGGTGGCAGGGGGTGTTTTTGGCAGTACAATAAGTTTTTCCCTATAAAGAATAGCTAGGATGGAACAGTGAAGTGTCGGAATGCATGGAGATCAGATTAAATGTATTTGAATTAGTATCTCTATGGGTTTTATATCTCAAAGTCAAAATAGTCATTCTCATCAGATAAAAATATTCTTGACTGGAGAAACTCTGATCCAGAAACAATCTATCATTTGAATCCCCTGATTGTAATATGAATGGATATTCAAGTTCTGACACACTGAGAGTTAATGCTGTATCCCAGCGGTTTATTGAATCACAGTGCCATCTAAAGTGATCCTCTAAGAGAGAAACCAGTCAGAATAAGTATTTAGATACCAACTACCAAGGCACCTCGCTGTAGTACAATTCCCAGTGGTGGAATTTGTAAATGAAATGTCTATCCTGCTCCTCATCCAGGCAGTGCTAGTTACTGAAGTGCAAAAGTCTTTGCTGTAGGCACTCTTTAAGGTCCTGTGAATATAAAATTGTTATAGTGTTATAACAAAAATTCAGTGTCCATTCCATCAGTAGCTGTGACAGCAATAGGTATTTGCGGCTAAGAGGCCAATTGAAATTATTTGATATTATCCTCGTAATTACTTTAAATTATCAGAACTTTAAACTTGAATCACTCTACCGTATCAAACTTTGGGGATTGTTACTTAAGTAATGATTGGTTACCGGAAGTATCATACCAGAGAATCATGTTCACTTTGGGATTTCGAAAATAGCAATCTCTATAATCGTGACATATTTTTATTTAAGCATCCCTTTTGGTCACACTGCTAAGTGTTTTTTTAAGCTTTGTTTCTCTTTTACCTTTCAAATGTTATGCATAATTCATTGAACTCTATTCAAGGTCTGCAGAGGCAATATTTCCAATGTACATAGCCTAGGTATGGCATTTTTCTTCCTGTTGATTTATGTTATTTGGATGTTTTCTGCCTTTTAAAAATTTTCTTTGGGTTTCAAGATATTATGTATGGTGATGGTGTTATTTGATTGAACCT
Organism: Homo sapiens; assembly: GCF_000001405.40. Classification (NCBI taxonomy): domain Eukaryota; kingdom Metazoa; phylum Chordata; class Mammalia; order Primates; family Hominidae; genus Homo; species Homo sapiens. The sequence continues at coordinate 33,314,097 of NC_000014.9, forward strand.
AATAGACCACTTTGTAAATAAATATCTAGCTTAGATTGTTAAGTGATAATAGGTAGAATTTTAGATCAATCCAAAGGGTTTGTCCAAAATAAAATATTAACTTGGTAACAATTAGATACAGGCTATACCCATTTTTGTTATAAATATTTATTGTAATTTTCTTCCAGAATTTGTTAATTACTAATTAACTTTATTTTTCCACCGTAGAAATAACAAGATTTTCAAATCACATAGAACAGTTAAAACACTAGCTTTCATAGGAGCTACACAGACTAGGTATGTGACCTTGAGTGACTTAGCTAAAGTATTTGACCTTCAGTTGGCTCCACTGTGAAATGAGGATAGTAGTGTCTATAAAGTTGGGATAAGAATTAGAGATAACATATATGAAGGACCTGACACATGGTGAGGATCAATACACGGTGGTGGTGGTGGTGATTATTTAAAATTACTCTTTTCAGTTGGCCTCTGAATACATGGGAAAAAATACTCTAATTGGATAATAGATTATCATCTAAATATAGAATATTATCGATCCATATAATGAATGGTAAGTCTGCATCAGGATATTAAAAACATATTGAATGGATTCCAGAAACACCTGGACCTCCAGTTTCACGACAATTTGAATAGGAAGGGAACCTTCTACCTTTACTATCTAACCATTAGCAAAATTTGGCCTGGTTTGCTCACTGACTCAATCCTAATTTGTGTTGAAAGAAAGCCTCTCTTTTAAAAAAGAATAAAGAGTAATATTTCCATGCATTAATCTTAATTTTGTGGTTTCTACTGGCTGGCTAATATTTGTTAAAGACTGATAAAAAATAGAAACCAAAGTCCATGCTTTCATGAGGTTTATAATGTGCTTGTAGCAAACAGTATTCAGTGAAAGAGCTAAATAATAAGTTCATATCATCAAAGGGCAACATGGCATGATTAATAATTATCTGTGTAAATACTGTAGGGGTATAGAGAAAAACAGAGATGAGAGTGGGCAGTGAGCTGATGTGAGGATGCTTCTTGGAGGAAATAATTGAAGCTATTGTCAGATAGGTAAGGAAAATGACATCTATGAAAAGCCACGCTGGTGGGTTGTCTCAGGGAGCCAGCAAACAAATGTTTATCTGGAATTTATGGGAAATATTAAGTATTTTTAAGACAAAATACAAAACTATGTGTGAATAAAGATCTTTGTTTGCCAAAATTTTGAAATTGTATTCAGTAGATAATATGTATTAGTTGTAGGTTTCTGAGTAATAGATTCTTTATTGTGTTTCCTTGATACCAAACTTGAGAATGAGGTCATTAAAATATGGTGGGAATGTTAGATGGTAAGCAGGTGAGAGAGTAATATAGCAGGCATGTGTGCGCCAAGGGAGGACGTTTTGCATGAGATTAGAAGAGTGTGTCGGGGGGGGAGTGTGTTTGTGTGTGTGTATGTGTGTGTGGTTGGGAGGGTAGCAGTGAGAGAAATAAGTAACCTCCATTTAGCAGGATTGTAAGAGATGCAGAGTACTATAGGTGAACAGGGAGAGAGAGAGGCTTTAGTTAGGGTAAGAGATACAGTATATGTTCTGGGAGGAGGTTGAGGATGGAGAGAGTTCATCTTCAGGGGAATGGATGTTAGAGGAAGATTCATCAGTGGGAAAAGCTATGGGGGTAAGGTAGGCTGGGGTGAGGAGTAGAGATCCATAAATGAATGAGAGTAAAAGGAGACCAGAGGGGTTGCATTTTGAATTTTGTTGAGAACTCCAGAAGTGAAAGATGTGCATGAGACGTATTAGTCTCAAGTTTCCCAACTATGACACAAGAGCAGTTTTTGTGCCAGAACTGGCTAGGATCCTAGTTGGTGACAGTGCCTGGTTTATTCGTTTATAACTCAAGGTATGTGGAGCAACAGTGTCTCAAAAAAGTGAAAATTGTAACTTCCTTTTGCAGTTTTATAGAGCATGTTCCTGTGAGAAATTATCTTTTATACATTAAAGCTTAAATTTTTCTCCATTTTGTCTTTTAAGTAGAATTAACGATTCCCAGAATTATCTCAGAGAAAATGGAGCTCACTGAGCATTTCTGTTAATACATATCAGTTACCTTAATTGCAAAATTGTGCCTCAAATCTTAGCAGTTCAAAGTTTGCATAACAGGTTTGATATGAATGAAGTCAACAGATTTTTTTAAAATCACGCGTGGGCTTCTGTATTGAATTCTCTGCTGAAATAGATATCACCTTGGAAGTGGAAAATACGTGAGCAGCAATACATAGATTTCTCTTTCTAGCATTACCTCAGTTTGGCTGTGCAAGAAGATCACAGTACTGGAGAAGTTACGTGGCATCCTGCAGACTCAGAGAGACACAGGCCCTGCAGATTTATCATGAGTTCAGATTGTACCTCTTGAGATATTACTTCTAAGCCCTAAATAATTTCCTTTGGCTCTAGGCATGGAAATCTATACTAATTTCTGTTACTATATTAGCCTCAGTGTTGACTAATAAAATTAATCTCTTTTACATTAGACAAGCCCTTGTTATATTCTTATCTGGACCATTGAGTATCATGAGGAGAGGCACACCCTATCTTAACTACCACTAGAAAAAAGTTGCAGGCCCTCTTGTGCATGTGTTAGCATAAAGAAAGCATGTCATGTACTCTTAGAGCTAAAAGGGATGTTAGAGGCCAGTTGTGTGCTCTCCAATCTAAAACAGGAATCCCCTCTTTAGTACCCCCAGGAGTGAGCCAGAATGGCAGGTATTAACTCAATCTAAGGAAGAGCAGTCATACCAAGACCTCAGAATTGTAAAGGACTGAGCTGTAATGTGGTTATTCAAGCAAAGTATGGGAAATAAGTGGAAAAGGAAGTTTTAATAGATCACTTCTAAAGTTCCTTCTAAAATTCTGTAATTTCGTAAAGCATGCTCCTTCAGATTTGACTTCAGTGTCTAATAGGAGTGAGAGGGAAGAAAAGAATACTAGCTTGCTGAAGGATTTAAGGAAGCCAAACAGGTTACAGTGAAAAAGAAAACATAATAATGGGGAGCCTAGCTTTCCCTTTTAAGAACAGCTGAAATGATAAGTGAAAGTATAGTAAATAACTCTTCAGTGCTATTAATGATTGAATAACATTAGCTTTTCCATGGCAGAAGTATTTCATCACAGCACATGTTCAGAGCACATATACCCTCTATTAGGCACTATACTGAGTGCTTTCGTGGTACTGTTTTCTTCTAGTGATCCCAACTCTATGAAGTAGGCATTCTTATTATCCCACTTTACAGATGAGTAAACCAAGGCTTACCAAGGCTAAGTAGCTTGTTTGAAGCCAACAACCAGTGAATGGAAGGGCTAGAATGCAAGCCCAAATGATATGGTTTGGCTGTGTCCACACCCAAATTTCACCTTGAACTGTACTTCCCATAATCCTCCCATGTTGTGGGAGGGACCTGGTGAGAGGTAGTTGAATTGTGGAGGTGGTTACTTCCATGCTGTTCTCGTGATAGTGAGTTCTCATGAGATCTGATGGTTTCTTGAGGGGCTTTTCCCCTTTTGCTTGGCACTTCTCCTTCCTGCCACTGTGTGAAGAAGGATGTATTTGCTTCCCCTTCGGCCATGATTATAGGTTTCCTGAGACCGCCCCAGCCATGCTAAACTGTGAGTCAATTAAACCTCTTTCCTTTATGAATTACCCAGTCTTGGGTGTGTCTTTATTAGCAGCATGAGAATGGACTAATACACCAAGGCATCAGCTAACAGCTACCGTAATATGAACCTTAACAAATAAAAGGAAATATTTATGCAGGAGAATACCATCATTCTTAAATCATGCATGTTGAAGTGCAGGGGTAAAATTTCATGATGTATTTTTATATGATCCATGATCGAGCAACTCCACTTCTGGGAATGTAGCCAAAAGAATCAAAAGCAGGGTCTTGAAGAGATGTTTGCAAAACCGTCCTTATAACAGCATTATTCACATTAGCCAAATGGTGACAACAACCCAGATATTCATTGACAGATGAATAGAATTTTAAAAAAGGGGTATATACGTACAAGGGAATATTATTCAGCCTTAAAAAGGAAGGAAATTCTGACACATGCTACAACGTCTGTGAACTTTGAGGACATTATGCTAAATGAAACAAGCCAGTCACAAAAGACAAGTACTATATGATTTTGTCTGTATAAGGGACTTAGAGTAGTCAGATTTATAGAGATAGAAAGTAGAATAGTGGTTGCCAGGAACTGAGGGTAGCGAGGAATGGGGAATTGTCATTTAAAGTGTATAGAGTTTAGCTTTGCAACACGAAAAGAGTTCTGGAGACTGGTTCACAATGATGTGAGTTTACTTAACATTACTGAACCATACACTTAAAAACAGTTAAGATGGTAAATTTCATTTATACCTATTTTACCACAATTTTTTAAAAATGTCATTATGTTTATAATTTACCTTCCATTATTATCCAAAAATGTGTGTATGTGTTCATGCTTATATTTTTAGACTAAGCAGCTAGTGCCAAATGATAATAATTGCTGAATCAAGGTAGAAGGTATATGGATATTTACTACAATATTATTTTCACTTTATTATACTTCTGAAATTTTTAATTAAAGTTGGGGAAATGTATAGTCATAATGGACAAAAATAATTACATCCTTAATAGTTAAATTAACCAAATGATATTGACCAAATGATATCCTTCAAGTTACAACTTAAATCTTCCAAGACATTTTCTGACTATTCTAATTCCTACTACCTTCACTTTTTTAACGTAAATAACTACTCCTTAGAATCCGTACAGTTATATCTTCCAATTGTACTGTGCACATTAATTTTAGTTATCTCATGCTGCATAACAAGGGACCCCAAAATACGTCTCTTCAGTTAACAGTGATTTAATATTGTTCATGGTATGCAGATTGGCCGGAGAGTTTTCCTGTTAGTCTTACCTGAGATTGTGTGACAGCATTCACCTGGCACATGGGCTGGGCTTGTCAGTTGAGTGTGTAGATCTTCCTGCACATGGCCTCTCTAGTTGGATAGTTTGGTCTTTTTCATAATAGAGGTCTCTGGGTGGTGAGACTTCTTATGTGGTAGCTGGCTTTCACCAGAGCAAAAGCAAAAGTTACCTGGCCATTTAAAGGCTAGGCAGGAGCTAACACAGTGTCACTTCTGCCCCTTTCTGTTGGTCAGAGCAAGTCACAAGGCCAGCCTTGGAACCAAGGGAAGGCAAATAGACTCTACCTCATGATGGGAGAAGCAACAAATAATTTACAGCCATCCTTAGACCGCCAGATATTTAAAACTACAATTAAAATGCTGTCTGATCTATCAAATGATATCATATAAATTGTATAATGGCGAGTAAGAGACAGCCCCTGCCTTCAAAGAAAGTTCAGTGCAATGACAGAAGGGAAGAAGGAAAGTGGCATGTATGAAGGACCTATGTGAGGCACTGTGCTGGTTACTTCTCCTTAACAAAAAGAATTCTAGAGTAAATAAGTTATGATTCTATTTTACTGGTTCAGTAGCCGAGGCTCTATGGGGTTGGAAAAAAAAATCTGTCAATCTAAAGTGTACAGAGTGGAGGAGTCCAACCCTAAGTTCACTTTTCTTTGTGCTGTTTCCTCTTTACCTGATGCACAGGACAACCTCCCGCAAAGCTCCAAATGCCAACAGGGCCAAGGTTGAGAAACCTCACACAGAGCACTTGTCACATTGACTTATCAGTTTTTTGCACATCTGCCTCTCCAGATACATTATGAACTTTTTGTGAACATGTTTATTTTTCATCCTTGTGTTACAAGTTCATGGCACGTGGTAGGTATTCAAGAAATGTCCTCTGACTGAATGAATCAAAGCCAAACTATGACCAATTCCTTATGGGAAGTATAACTAAAGAAGGGTGGAGTTTAAGGGAAAGAGAGATTCCTTCCCAGTGTTCCTGGTCAATCGGGAAGGAGTTTGTAGAGGAATTGGGGTTGGAGAAGCCATCAAAGAAAGGGTATAATGTTGGTTGGTAGAAGAGCACTTTGCAGAAAGGGAATGGCATGAACATCATTTGGGGTGAAAGAAGAACACTATGTGCTTAGGTAAGAGAGTTGTCTAGTGTAGCTGGAGCATGGTTCCTGTAAAGGGAGAGTAAGAGAGAGGGCTGACAATCTGGCTTGGAATGACAGCCTTGAGAGGATACATTTCTATTCAGTAATCAGTGAAGAAACTTAGAATGTTTTTGATTTGGGGGAAGATCAGGGTTGTTCTTAGAAGGATTCCAACATGGCACATGTATACATATGTAACAAATCTGCACGTTGTGCACGTGTACCCTAGAACTTAAAGTATAATAAAAAAAATTTTTAAAAAAGAAAGATTGCTCTGGTAACAAGGTATCAGAGAGACCAGAAATACAGACTGGTTGAACAGTCATTGCTCTTGTTCAGGTCGTGAGCATCTCCTCCGACATGCTCATGTCTGAGGCAAAAAGGAGAATGTGGACACAGGATGTGATTTGGCTCCCCAGATAGATGGCATGCTGAGTGAGGACAGGAACCATGATGTTTACACCTGTGTCACCCACAGCACCTGACATGGCAGAGGGAAGCACATTCAGTGCATGTTCAATACATGCATGAAGCAGATGTCATTTGGTAAGACTAACTTCCATACATAAGTAGGGAAATTAATTTCATTTATTTCTGGGAAAGTAAGGCATGTATTTGCTGATTGACTACCATTTTGTTAATTCATTGTTTAGTGGTGGGATAGATGGTTAGATGTATACACCTCAAAAAAAATTAGGAGATGACAGTTTGAAGGATTGAGTTCAAGACAGGCTAGAACATCCTCCAGCCTCTCCAGCTGGTGCCTCCACGCTGCATGCTTTCCTTGTCCTACAAACTGCAGAGAACATTGCTTCTCAGAATGATGCAAAGCACCACACTAAGATGAGTTTCTTTAACCTTCATGTATTTATTTTGTTATCAGGGCTTTGCACACCTCCCCTAGGGTGGAAGAGGTAATGAAATTTTAGTATAAAAGACTTCCTACCAGACATCAGTCTTCATGGGGGAATAAAAGTAAATAATAGATAGCAAGGAATATCAACCAATGATTAGAGCCCATTCTGCTTAATTAGTTCAAAATAACTTCAAGGCAAGATTGTACAGATTTGTAGATACTCTAGAGTTGACCAGTACAGAATAGGATTCAAAATAAGATGGAATTTATCCTCAAGAGATACTATGGGCTGGGAAACAATGGGAAGTAGGGTGTTCCAGGTTATCTTTTTGGCTTTTTCAGTAACTCCTGAAATAACCTGGGTAAGGCATATCTCTATCGTTATTCTCCAGTCCCATTATGAATAAGAGTAGAACAATGTGGCCCTTATATTCTGCTTGGGGAAATTTGGGGGTTAATATACATGATGTCCGTAGGCATAATAACACAGCAGAAAGACAGCATGGGATTTGGAGCCAAACTGCCTCACCCTTGGCTTTGCCGCTTCCTAGCTGAGTCACCTTGAACAGATGACTTGGTAGGTCTTAGCCTCAGTTCCTCAACTGTAAAATGGAGTTAAAGATCATCCCAGCGTTTTTGTGTGTGGTGGTGGGTTAATGCACATATTGAGCACAAAGTAGGTGCTCAATATGTAAGTCTCTAATATAAGTCACTATTCCTATTATTATTTTATTTAGGTGTTTTTATGTAACACAAGGCAAATATATAGATGATATTGTCCAGTAACTGGAAAGTTCTTAAGACACAGGCAAAAATCAACTTTGTTACTAGTCTCACAAACAAAAATTCTGTGAGTAGCCTTGAGAAACAGAAAGGATTTAGACAGATAAGAGGTGGCAGGCATTCCACAGGCAGCTGACAAATCTGCAGGACTGAATGAGCCAGTCGGGTTTTGTGAGAAGGGAAGGGGCCTGTGCTGCCAGAGATGGGTTTGCTTTGCAGAGCAGTAGAAATATAAGCCCTCTGAGCACAAGGACCTTTGTGCCTCCATAGCAGCTCCCTAGTGTAGTGCCATGAATATGGTAGACACTTAGCTAAAGGTTTATTGATCAAATTGGACCAAGACTGATGAAAATTACTGGCAGTGATAAAATCAAGATGCTCTTCAGTGAATTGGAGTGCCAGCAGGGTTTGATGCTGTGAAATGTTTCTGATTCCCATTGCCTCCGTCAGTATCCCTTGGTTAAAGGCATCTGCCCAGGTTGATGTGTCATGGTAATAGAATTGTAGAAGGTTTAATTGTATTTTTTAATCTATAAACTGGCTGCCAAATTATAAGACTGGTATTCAGATCTACTTTTGCATTCCTGAGCAATTACGTTTTTGCTAATTTTTTTGTATAAGTACGGGTGTGTGTGTCCTCTGTGTATATATGTGTGTTACATACATACACATTTGTGTGTGTGTATGTGTGTGTGTGTGTGAAGGTAAACATTGTTTTAAGCAAAATTTTAAAGAAGTCTTTTTGTCATTGACGTTCCCTCATCCTTGCCGTTTTGCTAAATGTTTATTTTTTTAAATTTCTGTTTTTATAGTCCTGAGCTCTCTCCCTGTTTTCATCTCGTTTCTAACTAAAAGTTTTTCTGAGCTCATAATAATTGATAGATAAAACTACAGTAGGTGAACCAAAAACCCAAAGACGGATAGATCCAAAGGAATGACTTGGTAATCGTGAAATTTCAGGTTATAGAAGAGGTGTTTTGGTGTAGGACATCCTTCCCCTTAGGTGGCATTCTACTCTGACCATGGAGATATAGGTACTTTCTGCCTATTTGTATATCTGACCCTCTTGATAAAAATCATCAGAGATTTTTCTGACTTACCTAATCAGAAAATGCTACTACCTAGTACTAGAAGTTCTGCCTATAAATTAAGTTCCTTTCCTCTCTTTCATAGGTCACCATCACTTCTCTCTACTAAGACATAGCTCCTCAAAGAAAGGGGCCATGTGTAACTCATTTAAGTTTGCCTGGCTTACAGTAGCACCTGGCACATATAGGTACTCAATAATTATTTGTTGAAAGAATGCTTTACAGCACATCAGGGTCGCCAAGACTATTCACCCAAAGGCCCCTCTGGGATAGCCTAATAGACTATGAGCTGTTGTCTCCTTTGTCTACATATTTTATTTACACCCCTCACACCTCTTCTCTTGACTTTACAGAGTGTTCAGTAATGTTGTGGACAAAGAAACAATTTTATAATGAAAATAATCTCTTTCCTCTTTGTTGGATGTCTTCTTAATATTCTCTGAGTAATGGTTGTTGACTATTAAGAATGTCAAATAAGTAGCAGAGAAAAATTTTTGCTGAGATATTCCAATCAGTCATTCCAAACAACTTTTTACCTCTACTCTCTTTGGCACTGATCACAATGTTCAGTAAACAGTTGAACTAGTGAATACGTGGAAGATGGTAACAACTTTGTATGTTATGTTTCTTATAAAATTTTAATGGGGCATCAATGTATGAGGAATTATGTAAATGAGGACACTTAGAATCAAGGTGAAGGGTGTGGTGGAAAAGGACTCTTAGAATACAAGTGTCACTTGCTGTAACACTCCTCATGATGATTTCAAAAGCATGGGAACAACTATAGGGAGAAAAGTTTACCATTCAATTTGCATTAAGAAGTAATGCTGTATAAATTTAGAGGAAAAAGGCTTACGCCATCATTTAGTAAAATTAAAAATTGCTATAGCTTAATAAATCATTCTGGTATAAATTATTCTGCCTCTTTCACTTCTCAAGACAGGCAGGTAGCCTGCTATCTTCTTCCTCTGTGAACCTAGTATCCATTCCTGATATAATATTCCCACTCTGTTTTTTGTAATTAAAACATCATTTATACTGAGAATAATTAAGACAACTGTACATTTGATTTTAAAATCAGTTTTGAGTATTGTGCCTTGTCAAGCTACGAGAATGGTTCCTGCAGCTTTTACAACGTAGCATTAAGAAGCAGACAGTGACCGCAGGCACCTGAGTGGAAGGTTTGACAGTTTGATAAATTAGGAATGACAGTTGCCAAAATGGCTGTCCTTCCTGCAGTCTGCCAGTGGAGCATTTGCACACTGTTAATTGAATTGGCAATTTGTGTAACAGTGCCTGCCCCTGAGCTTTTGTAACGCCGGATCTGCCATTTAACTCTGATAATCCAGGACTTGGGAATAAGGACGAAAAGCTTCACATGATATTACTGCAGATTTAAAATGACAGTCGGGGACCTTCTTGCCAATTTCCCATTAAATGAGAAATAATTAACAATAGCAATAACAAAGTCTTATAAAGCTGGAAAGTTAAATTGACTTTTCAGCACTAGTATTGTACAAAATTGCTTCTAGTGTGATTATCGGATTGCCCTTTCAGGATTATATACCCTAAATAGTATCATATGATGAACCAAACGCAGAACCGTTTTGCAAGCTAACCTGTTTTATTACTGCGAAAATCTTTTGATTATCTACAGGGATTGTGTTGTCACTAAAATTTTGTTTTATGCTGTAAGATTTCATAGCGATAGAAAATAATAGAGATTTCTGTTTCTTTACTTTTGATAGTTAATTATAGCTACAGCAAAATTTGAATTAAAAGTTTTATGGAGTAGTATATATGGCTCTTTTGGTGTCCTTCTTTGATGCTTCCCAGAATTTTGAGAACTCCTGAATACTTGTTTTTGTGTGTGTGTGTGCTTGTTACCATCGTATTTAGAGTAATGATTGAGAATAATACAGATTCTCAGTGTAGAATTCTTTTAAAAATTCAAAATATGTTACGTGTCCATGATTTTCAAAGCCCTGGATGTTACAGCTCATCACTGTTATTGTTTGTTTAGTTCTAAAGTTGTCTTTTGGGGTTGTGCCGTGTTAGTTATATTAGCATGAACAGGGATGATATTTACCTGGTATACTCTGGGTGGCCATGCCCACCGGGTACAGTCATCTGTAGTTAAATAATTTGTCACTTTCAACTATATACTGGTATGTGGATAGCGGCTAGGTAAGGAATGAACACCAGATCAGCTTGGGAGGGTTTGATGAACCAATTTTTTTTTTAAAAAATTAATTTTTAATTTTTGTGGGCACATAGTCCATGTGTATATTTATGGGGTTCATGAGATATTTTGATATAGGCGTGCAGTGTGAAAGAATCACGTCATGGAAAATGGGGTATCTGTCCTCTCAAGCATTTATCATTTGTGTTACAAACAATCCAACTACACTCTTTGAGTTATTTTAAAATGTACAATTGGCTGGGCACAGTGGCTCACGCCTGTAATCCCAATCAATACTTTGGGAGACCGAGGTGGGTGGATCACTTGAAGTCAGGATTTCGAGGCCAGCCTGGCCAACATGGTGAAACCCTGTCTCTACTAAAAATATAAAAATTAGCTGGTTGTGGTGGTGGGTGCTTGTAATCCCAGCTACACAGGAGGCCAAGGCAGGAGAATCACTTGAAACCCAGGAGGTGGAGGTTGCAGTGAGTCAAGATCGTGCCCTCAGCCTGGGTGACAGGGTGAGACTCCGTCTCAAAAAAAAAAAAAAAAAAAGTACAGTTAAGTTATTATTGACTATAGTCACCCTGTTGTGTTATCTAATAATAAGTCTTATTCATTCTATCTGGGTTTTTTTTTTTTTGGTACCCATTAACCATCCCTATTTCTGCCCCCAGCTCCTCACTACACTTTCCAGCCTCTGGTAACCATCCTTCTATGATAAGCCAATCTGATGGCAAAAGATCACCTTTTCAAATATTTTGAAGTTATTTTTTACTTGAGACTTTCAGTTACCAAAGTATAGTTATATTAGTGTTCTTTAAAGTGTTTGATCAAGAATGGAGAAAAGAGTTTCCTTAAATAATTAGGGTACTCAAGAATAGGATGGAAACTTCTGTTTTATTTGTTATGGTGGTTAGAAAATAAGACAGTTGTTTTGTTTTTTAGAATTTGCTTTTTCCCCCCAATGAGTAAATTTTATTAATTTAAGGTGATGATACCTTAATTTAAGGTGATGGTGTGTACACCATCATACAGTGTATGAATGGGAAGAGAGAGTGAGAAACAATGAGCCGCAGTGCAGGACAGAGACAGGGCTCATCCATGTAGAGATTATATTTAAAGCCTAAAGCTATAGTGAAAGGGAAAAAAGCAGAGAGACAAAGTATTATAAGCATTAACAATTATGGCTTCAGAAGGGAGTTGAAGTCAGTGAAGGAAACAGAGAATGCAGAAAGAAATAGAGAACAGGTGGAACCAAATTTTAAAAACAAAAGCATCGTATTTGGAGTCAGAACACCTGGCTATTTTTATACTTTAGCTCTGTCAACTTCGGCAAGTTAGAAAGTCTTTCTAGGGCCTCCATCTCCTTATCTGAGAAATGGGGACCAATAAAGCTTGTTTTCGTTTACTTTTTAAATCTCCCAAGCTTTTTGTGCATGTGTGACAATAAAATGGATTATTATATGCAGAAACAGTTTGCAAATTATAGAACGTGAAAATCTAACTGCCAATGTAAGTATCAATACAGTAAGAGTATAATTTAGAGAGAAGTGGTCAAAACTTTGAAAAGCTGTGGCACTGGAAAGGAAAATGAACAGGAAGAATGCCCAAGAGACGTGGGCAATGGGAAATATGATCTCTTGCACCACCACAAGAGTTTGTTTCTGATACAATGGCAAAGACAGACCACAGGTTCCAGAAATTTCCAGAGATACTGAGCTTGCAAAGAAATGTCGGTAGCAGGTATACATGACAAGGCGGTGGTGGACATTCACTGTTATTCTCAGAATAGTGGGGATGTATGTGCAAAGGGTTGATGAGTTACAAGACAAGAGAGGGACATGGCATGGAAATGCCTGCATTTCTGTAATTCAAAATGTCTCTGAAATTGTAAATATGTGTTGTAATTGATGTATATATTTAATATGATAGTGTTTCTTTTTTTCTGGGCAAGCTGATAGTAAATTGATGACATTTAAACATTGATAGCATTTTAGAATTGCTGCAATTTGGCAAAATTGTTAATATAGATATAGCTTGCTAACAGCTGGTTTTGATTATTTAATTACTCAAATGTTTGAAAGGCTTCTGTACCTTTCCTCATTCAATGTTAGATATTATTTTATTCACCACTTACTGAATGCACTGTCATATTGAGTGCATGCTATGTACGACACGCTGTGCTAAAAGTTGTATGTACGTGATCTTATTTAATCTCAACACGAGGAAGTAAGAATTGTTTTAGCTCCAGCATTCTATACGAGGAAACTGAGCCTCAGAGCTTGTATTACTTAAATACCTGGCTTAAATACAAATTACTTAAATACAAATTCTGATGCTAGGTTAGATGTTGTGAAGAAAACAAAGATACACAGGAAGTGGTCTGTTCCTCTGGGATATGGTGCAGGAAACTTAAAGCATATATTCAGAAAACAATCATGCAAGAAAAGATATATTACATTATGGTTCTGTAAATGCCACAGCAGAGGCACAGGCAGTCTAGAAGGATTCTAAGAAGAGAGATATTATTTCCAACTAGGAAATAAGGGGAAGTTTCTTCATAGACAGGAGTAAAATTTGAACAGGTAGAGATGAGAGGGCTGTTATTGCAGGCAGAAAAAAATTAGATGAGTAAAAGAAATGGAAGCATTAAAACACCATGCATGTTAAGGAAACATAAAGTTACTGCAGTTGGCTGGACCGGAGAGTGCATGAAGAGGAATAGTGAGAAATCAAGACAAAATAATTAATCAGTGCATTTCAAAAAGATACCACCCATTGTTTTATTAGTATAATTATGAGTCCACCAGTAATCAGGTTTCTTTTTTTCTGCCAGTTGTTTTGGTTTTATATCTCTAGCCACATTGTAAAACCATCTCTGGGATTATAGCAGCTTTTAAATTTCTTCTCCATTATTTTATGTTTTCCAAATACTCAGCAATTCTATTGGCACTGGAAATAATCATGATGGATGTATTTGAAAAGTGTAATGGGCATAAAAAGCTCATTTTAAGAAGTTTAGTGGAAAAAAACTTATTTTTTAATAGTGATGTTGAGATATCATTTTATGTTGGAAACTGTGGGATGAAATTGCCTGAGCTGGGCCCCAAGGGATCCGAGCATGGTTCCTCTCAGGTATAGAGCTTCTTTTGTGGCTGTGGTTATTACTTTTTCTTTTCTTAAATAATATTTGTATCTTTTTAATTATGTTTTCTTATTGAGGTTAGGCTTATCTTCGTATTCTTATTTGTTCACTTTATTAAAATAATTTTATTTGTTTTTCCTGTTTTTTCTCTATTTTATTTATTGATGTTTTTATCTTTCTTTTCCTTTTCTTTTCTTTTTTTTTTTTTTTTTTTTTTTTTTTTTTTTTTTTTTGAGACAGAGTCTCGCTCTGTCACCCAGGCTGGAGTGCAGTGGCGCGATCTTGGCTCACTGCAACCTCTGCCTTCCTGGTTCAAGCGATTCTCCTGCCTCAGTAGTTGGGATTACAGGCGCCCGCCACCACGCCCGGCTAATTTTTTGTATTTTTAGGAGAGACGGGGTTTCACTGTGTTAGCCAGGATGGTCTCCACCTCCTGACCACGTGATCCTCCCGCTTTGGCCTCCCAAAGGGTTTACCTTTATTTTCTACCTTTTCCGTTCCTTTGGGTTTTCCCAATTGTGACTTTCCTGAATTCTTGAGATGAATACTTACTCCTTTAACTTCTGTGTTTCCTGAAATTTGTATTTATAGATATATATTTCGCTTTATGGCTTTAGTGGTGTCCCACAAATTTTAACATAGAGTTTTTCCAACGTTACTCCTCTCAGAATTGTTTGAGATATCTTATTTGATTTAATATGTAACTCAAGATATTTTTAGTAGCATATTATTTAAGTTCCTAACATGTAAGGACTTTTTTCTCTATTTTTTTTGGCATTAATTTTACTGCTGTCTGGACATTCCTTATCACTCAGGTAAATGTTACCATCAAAACTCCCTAAATTGATAGCTCAGGTATGATGTTTTGCTACTTGCCTTATGGAATGGACATCCATTCGCAGAGCAGATAGTTGTTGAGCATATGCTGCATGGCAAGCCCTGTTGTGGGTAAACAAGACCACCCTGCCCCCAGCCCCACCCCACCTGCCTCTCCCTGCTCCCTGGCTTTCATGTAGCTGGAGTGGGGTGGGAGGAACAGACAGCAGCGAACAAGCAACTGCGCTACCAGCATGACTTGGGGTAGTGATAAGTACGATGAAGAAATGAAGCCTGTGCTGTTGTGATGGAGGTAACCTACTAGGGACAGATGTGCTACTTTTGACTGGGTGGCAGTGAAAGCCTCTCTGGGTTGGCGTTTGGATTGAGGAGCAGAAGGAGCCAGCCACAAGAAGTCTGGAGACAAAGCAGCCGAGGGGAAGCAGCAAACACAGAAATTCTCAGGTGAAAACTAACTTGGTGTCTTCCAGGAGAATTGAAAGAAAAAGGAACCAGTGTGGTTTGAGAGTAGGAAGTGAGAGGATAGTCTCAGAGGAGGTTGGTGGGGTAGGCAGGGGCACGATGGGGTAGGCAGGGGCATGATCCTTCACCCTTCTAGGACAGGGTGGGAGTTGGGTTCTATGCTAAGTACGATGGAGAAGCCCTTGTTCTAAGTACAGAATCATAATAAACTTTTAGTAAGTAAGCCCTTTTCATAAGCTTGTTTTGAGGATTAAAAGTGGAGTGTGTGTGTGTGTGAGAGAGAGAGAGAGAAGTGCTTAAAACAATGCCTGGAACATAGTAAGTGTTACATTAATGTGTATTACTGTTCTGTAGCAATGAGCAGTCTTTTATCATCCCTCGTAAATGCTTTGACACATATTAGGAAAAATAAATATTTACCTGAATAAATAAAAAACACACTGCCTGGACTTTGGGAGGCCAAGGTAGGCAGATCACTTGTCAGGAGTTCGAGACCAGCCTGGCCAACATGGCAAAACCCCAGCTCTACTAAAAATGCAGAAATTAGCCAGGTGTGGTGGTGCGTGTCTGTAGTCCCAGCTATTCGAGAGGCCAAGGAGGGAGAATCACCTGAACCTGGGAGGCAGAAGCTGCAGTGAGCCAAGATCACGCCACTGCACTCCAGCCTGGGTGACAGAGTGAGACACCATCTCAAAAACAACAACCACAATAACAACAACAACAAAAAACACTGCACGAATATGCTTACTCTACCTCTTCCCCCTCCCCTTTAAATTTGTTGGTTCTTAAAAACATTTGTGTTCTCCAAATGAATGATCTCCAGATTCATTTTAGTGCACTTCCTGTGGGACCTTGGGCAAGTCACTCTTACAGAGCTGTTGTGAGGATTAAGTGAGATAACGTCAAGCAGCAGGTGTAATGCCAGGCACATAATAAACACTTGGGAGGCCATATTAATGATCTCGTTAGAGTTCAGTACACTCTTTAAGTTCATAATTTCTTAAATTTGCAATATAATTATTTAGAAGGCTAACTCTATTCACTGTGTACTAAATATCTGAAAGTATAAAATAAGACTAAAAATTACTTTTCTGTCTCCATAGGTGCATTTTTATAGTTATTGGACGTCTATTCCAGAGGCCTTCTCAGAGGCCGGCAGATAAATTGATAGTCACTTAACATTCACTTTGGAGGGTCAGGGACTAGATTTTTATGGAAAGCATTAATTCAAAGAGTCTGTTTTTCTTGGATTTATTTGTTTGTGAGGACAAAGAGAGAAGCTTGCAATTTATAATTTCCATTGAGCAGTGACCTAGCCTTAAAGAGATGTTTTACTTATTTATAAAGAATAATTATTTGCTGGTGTGAAGGAGGAATGCATTCTAATGAAGGCATATATTTTAAAGGTTGAGGTGGAAAAGAGGAAACAAAAGTTGCCAAAATTTAAACTATTTACACTTGGGTGATTTAGTGTGAAGGAGATAAAACATTCCTCAAACTGGTATAGTACTTAGGATAGCAGTGAGCTGCGATTTATAATAACGTTTTATATGCTGCATCGTAACTCTTGAAATTCAAGCTTGTAAATCAGGAATCATCTTATCAGGGTAAGATCTCATCAGTACCGAGACATTTTTAAGGCTATAAAGTTGTTCGTAATTTATGCATGTGAATATAATACATGTGCAAGAAAACTTCAACTATCTGGAACTTAAAGGAAATTATTTTGGATAAAGGGGGGCCGCTTCTTTAATCACCAAACTTTTTCTTTTTTATTTAAATCATTTTGGAAAGAATTTTTTGTGTGGAAGATAATTGAGCCTTTTCTTTATGACTTAGCAGCATCATTATGTATGCGTTTCATTACCATGAAAATAATATGGTGTGATATCCTTAGGGACCATTGGACTATGAGAACAGCTTTGACTATATACCAAATTGGCCTAGATTATAGTGCCTTTTGAGGGCTTTTTTTTCCTGTTGTTTATCTCCCCCCACCGCTTTTTTCTATTCCCCCTTACTGTCAGCTATAACTCCTCGGTGCTATTACTGTTTCTGGGACTCCTCTTTAATTCGCTGCTTCAGATATGCTTTCAGCTGGGACACCTAGGTTTGTTGGAACAATATATAAGCTAAGCATAAACAAAATCTGACAGAGGACAAAAGGGCTTCTCTATGAATAAAATATTTGAACATGATGACATCATTTTTGACTCTTCAGAGAGACTTTTCACAGTTTTCTTGGTTACATCTGCATTTTAGATGAGTAAAATATTCTTACGTAAGGCCCAGGGCCACGCTGTAGAATAAGTTAACTTGTCTGTCCATATGTGTGCTCTTGGAAGTGTGTTTATATCGGATTCCCTGACCTATAGTGATACTATGCCAAGACGAAATGCTCATCGTAATGATACCTTTAGAAACCTGGGGAAAACACCTACTTGTCTAATTTCCTTTGCAGTGCTTGCTGCTGAAAATTTTTTAGCCTACGTTTTTTAGACTGAATATGTAAATAAAATCTTTGATGGTTCTACATAAAACTTTCAGGGAGCAAGCCTCCCCATTTAAGGTAATACAAGGTTCTGGGTACTCCAAACTTTAAATGTAAACAAAATTATTACGGTAGTAAAATTCCCAAAGCGATTTTATTTCTTTCGCTCACTAAATTTCTTAGTGTGGTTCAGTTGCTTGGCTTGACCTCTTAACTAAAATAAGTTTGCCGGCATCTCTCCATAATGATACTTATCTTTACAAAGATAAATATGGCCGTATTTCTAAAAAATTCAGATTAAGGATGTAGGCTACCAGGATTTATGAAGACTATTTTTCTTTTCAAATATTTGATCAGTATCATGGAATGTAGTTAGACACCTTGGAAAGCCATTAAATAGAAATACTTCATGAGTTTTAGGGGAAGAAAGGCAAATACATAGAGGACAGTGTGTTAGATGTTTCAACCATGTACACAACTGATCATTTGGGGCCAGGGAAGCTGATTTTTATGTTTTAAAATTAATCCAACGTAGATTAACCATGTCACGTCCCCTTAACCACAGGCGTATGAATCTCAGGGTAGACAGCTGTTTGGATGTCTCATACTGGGACTGCTGCCCTCAACAAACGCTTCCGATTTTTCTACATGGTCACTTGGCAGCATCTATGTGCACCCATATGGCTGGATGGCATCATGCCTGTTTACAAGTCAGTTGAATTGTTTCACTAGGACCCAGGTGCCAAGCAAACACGGGTTGGTCTAACTGGCTCCTGAACTATGCAGCTTCTTTCTCAGAAATAACAACAAAAAATCCTTTATAATGACCTGCAAGGTTATGCCAATATATTTATTGGCATTTCATTGCTTTCCCTAACAATTAGATACTTTGTCTGTAAAGACAACAAAGGAAAGAAGAAGAATGCAATTCTCCTTCAATTACTGAGCAAATAATACAGAATGCAGCAAAATGTACAGATTTGGGCTGCCACCTGTGGCTGCAATATGCATACAATAGTCAGAGCATCTGCAGTCCTGGTTGAAGACAGAAAACAGAATGGGGCATTGGTGGGTATTTCATGTTGCTGAGACTGGTCATTTAACTTTTCTTTTTAACCAGTTTCACTATTTGAAGTGCAAACAGTAGTTTTCACATCGAAATTTTGAACATAAATGAGATGATACATATGAAGTGTTCTGAGTGCCTTGAAATAATTTTATGGATTTATGTGTCTACTATATGCTTTGATAAAGAAGAAAATTGTGCAGTTGCCCTGGAATTAGCAAACAGATGTTTAACATTTTCATGATACTTTTCTTTTGCTCTTTCTAAAGAGCTGATTTTTATATACTACTTTAATTTATAAAGCACTTTTACCTATATTGTTATATTTAGTTCACATGCAAACCTTATGAAGTAAGTAGGTCAAGTATTATTTTTAATTTCATTTTACAAATATGGAAACTAGGGCTCAGAGCAGTATTTTGACTTATCCTGAGGTTGTCTAACAAGTTTAAATGAGAAAACTGAGACTCATACCCAGACTTTTTTTTCCTGGGAGTCCATTGCATTTAGTATGGAAGAATCCTTGAGAGAGTGTGCTCATTTGGGTGGATTGGTTTCATTTCATTATTAAGTAAAGCCTCCAAACAGTTAAGAAGTTGATTGAAAAATATATAACATACTCAATAAAAGTTACTTGAGTAGAATACTCTAGATGTGACATAACTAAATCTGTATCACTTCTAACTAATTCCCACTTATAAACACTGGCATGGCTTCAAGTCCATTTTATTGAAGCAATTTGGAAGAAATCAGAAAAGTCATAAGTAAAGGAGTTTTGAAGGAGATGTGGCCTCATTTGACTATAATTTTCCTCTTTTAGATAGGATATGTGTCAAAATTCTCCCCTGGAAAATTTTGAATCAAAGTATCATGTAAATGGAAGAGAGAAATCTTAGGTAGATTATAAAATAAATTCTTAATGTTGAATATGAATAAAGTGTTGAAAAGTTGACTTGCCATTGAGTCAATGTTTGACATGTGAATATTTGGAAATAGAAAGTCAGTATGGCAGGTTCACTTTGTCTTATTATTAGCACAGTACAAACATCCTACTGTTATGTTCATATTTATAATAGTGTTTTATTATGACCTCTTTTTTCACTTTTAAGAGCTTTGTTGAAGTATATTTTATATACTGTGCAATTCACTGATTATAAGTGTATGGTTAGAAAATTTTTAGTAAATTTATAGTTATGCGACCATCACCACAATCCAGCTTTTAAAACACTTCCATCATCATATAAAGTTCCTTCATGCCTACCTGCAGTCAATCCCTGCCCCCAACCACAATCCCAGGCAAACAGCAATCTACTTTGCATTTCTCTGTAGTTCTGCCTTTTCTAGAAAATTCATGTAAGTGTAATCTTATAAGATGTAGTCTTCTGTGCTTGACTGCTTTTACTTAGCGTAGTGTTGTGGGGGTTAATTCAAGTTATTTTATATGTCTGCATGTTGGGGGTCTCCAGTAGTCTTATTTAACCAGGTTCCCCAGGGACATCTTTCACCTTCAGTCTGATTCGAGTCAAAGATGAGTCTTAGGCACCATCTGATGTTCAGGCAGTTTATTCTTTTTACAAAATTTTAATTTTAATTTTTTTTATTTCAGTAGAATTTTGGGGAACCAGTTGTGTTTGGTTAGTATTGGTTTTTGAGATTTTGGTACACCCATTGCTTGAGCAGCGTATACTTTATCCAAAGTGTAGTATTTTATCCCTCGCCATCCCCCAACCTTTCCCCACAGTTCAATGTATCATTCTTATGTCTTTGCATCCTCATAGCTTAGCTGCCGCATGTGAGTGAGAATATGTGATGTTTGGTTTTCCATTTCTGAGTTACTTCACTTAGAATAACAGTCTCAAATTCCATCCAGGTTGCAATGAATGCCATTATTTTGTTTCTTGCTATGGCTTAGTGGTATTCCATTGTGTGTGTGTGCGTGTGTGTGTGTGTGTGTGTGTGTGTGTATCACATTTTCTTTATCCTATTGTTGATTGATGGGCACTTGGGCTGGTTCCATGTTTTTGCAATTGCAAATTGTGCTGCTGTAAACTTATGCATGTTCAACTATCTTTTTTGTATAAAGACTTCTTTTCCTCTGGGTAGATACCTAGAAGTGGGAGAGTCCTTAAAGAACTAAAAGTAGATTTACCATTTGATCCAGGCAGTTTATTCTTATAGTGATGGACTGCAGGATCAGGTTTAAAATGGCATGGGCTAGGTACATTCAGGGGTCAAATGACTGCCTGACTGAGAGTGTCTCTTGGTAGTAACTCTTCTCAGAGTTTGGGGGATTCTCCCTGCTTTTATACCCATATTGAGTCTGAGTCAGATGTCAGGCATTTTGTTTGTAAGAGAATTTAAACTATTCTTGTAAGATAAGCTTTAAGGTTCCTGAAAGTTGCATCTGTTCCGAAGTGGCCTTGTCTCCCTCCAGGGCAAGGAGAGCTTTTAGGTTCTGTTTTCATAAAGACCCATTAATCCCCTGGTCAGGGTTGGAAGTTCCCAGGCCAGTTTGCATCATACTGCTAAGTGACACATAGTTTAGGCCTTGCGGGACGTTTGAGTGGGCCTTTTGGCTGTTAGTAATCTTGGACGTTTGAGTGGACCTTCTGGCTGTTAGTAATCTTATAATATGCCCCTTATAGCATACTACAGTCCATAGTTTGTTCCTCTTATTATTGCTGAGAAGTATTTCATTGAATGGATGTACCATGTTTTGTTTATTTATTTACCAGTTGTTGGACATTTGGATTGTTTCTGTTTTGGGTTATTTTGAATAATACTGCTGTAAACATTCATGTAGAAATCTTTGTGTGAAAAATGTGTTTCTGTTACTCTTGAATAGATTTCTAGTAGTGAAATTGCTGAGCTGTGTGGTAAACGCATGTTTAATTTTTAAAGAAAATGCAAAACTTTCTAAAGTCATCAGATCAGACCATTTTACATTCTCACCAGCAATGTGTGAGGGTTCCAGGTTTTTTGTCTTTTATTATAGCCATTCTATTTCATGTGTACTGTTATCTCATTATGGTTTTAATTTGTATTTTCTATTAGTTTTTCTGTTGCTGTGTAACAAATTACCACAAACATAGCAGCTTAAAACAACATTCTTTTTATTCACAGTTTCCATGGGTTAGGAATCTGATTATAGGTTAACTAGGGTCTCTGTACAGGGTCTCACTGGGCTGAAATTAAACTTGCATGGGACTGCAGTCTCATTTGAGGAGTTCCTCCTCCAGGCTCACTGGTTGTTGACAGAAATCAATTCCTTGATTTTGTAGGACAGAAGTCTCCATTTTCTTTTTGGCTATCAGCTAGGGACTGCTCTTAGCTTCTACAGGCCACCCTAGAGGGGTCCTTGCCTTGTGGCTCCTTCCAGAGGAAGTTCACCACCTGGTTGGTTGCAAAAGAATCCTTCTCACTTTTATTCTCTTTCAGGAAATACT
Source organism: Homo sapiens (assembly GCF_000001405.40). Taxonomy (NCBI): domain Eukaryota; kingdom Metazoa; phylum Chordata; class Mammalia; order Primates; family Hominidae; genus Homo; species Homo sapiens. Next base: position 33,336,554 of record NC_000014.9, read on the forward strand.
TGGACCCTTTTTTAAAGGGCTTACCTGATTAGGACACCTGCCAAGGATGATTTCCTTTTTGATTAACTCAAAGTCAACTGATTAGGGACCTTAATCACATCTGCAAAATCTCTTCACCCTTGCCACATTATTTAACCTAATCCTGGGAGTAAAATCCCATCCTATTCACAAATATTGCCTACACTCAAAAAGAGGAGATGTACATGATCTGTACTCCAGAGAGTGAGAATCTTGGAAGCCATCTTAGAATTCTGCCTACCAAAATTTTGTTAATGACTGATACTGTGGACCATCTTTTCAGGTACTTATTAGCCTTCCTTATATCTTCTTTGGAGAAATTCTATTCAAATATTTTGCCCATTTTTTATTGGGTTGTTTGTCTTTGTCTTATTCAATTACCAAAGGCCTGTATATACTATGGACTCAAATCTTTTGTCAGATATATGATTAGCAAATATTTTCCCCAGTCTGTGGCTTGTGTTTTCATTTTCTCAAAGGTGTTTTTTGAAGAACAGAGGTTTTAATTTTAATGAGGTCTATTTTGTCATTTATTTCTTTTATGGATCATACTTCAGGTGTCATATCAGAGAAATCTTTGCATAATATGAAGTCAAAACAATTTTATGTTTTGTTTCAGAATTTTACAGTTTTAGCTCTTCAGTTTAGGTCCATGATCCATTTTGAATTAATTTTTGCTCATGATATGCCCAAAATTTACTCAAATGTCCATGTTTGTTTATTTATACTTTTGACATACATGTATCCAATTGTTCCAGAAACATTGTTGGAAAGATCATCTTTTTTCTATTGAGTAGCCTTGACACCTCTGTTGCATATCAATTGACTATACACATGAGGTTTTGTTTCTGAACTCTCTCTTGTTCTATTGACATATGTAGACACATATGCCAATACCACTTTGTCTTGATTTCTGTACCTTTATAGTACATTTTAAAATCAGGTAGTGTAAGTCCTATGACTTTGTTCTTTTTAAAAATTGCTTTCACTATTCTAGATTATTTGTATTTTCATACAAAGTTTAGGATAAATTTGTTAGTTTCTATAAAAATTCCTGCTGGAATTTTTATAGAAATTCCACTGAATCTATAGATCAGTTTGAGCATATTTGCTGTTTGAATACTGAGTCTCTCAACCTGTGAACATGGCATATCTCTTATTTATTTAAATCTTTAAAAATATTTATCAGCAATGTTTTGTGTCAGTGTACACACAGGTCTTGTACTTTTGTTTGCTAAATTTATTACTTATCAGTTTATTCATTTTGATGATCATTGTGAATAGAATTTAATTTTCAAATATTTGCTAGTATATTGAAATACAGTTGATTCTTGTATACTGATCTTTTGTCCTGAAACCTTGTGTAACTAACTTGTGGATTATTTCTAGGAATTTTTTTTTGTAGATTTCTTAGGTTTTTTTTAATGTATAGGAGCATGTTATCTGTGAATAAATATTTTACTAATTCATTTTTAATCTCTATAGCTTCAATGTCTTTTTCTTGCCTTATTACATTGGTTAGAACCTCTAGTACAGTGCTGAAGAAAGAGCTCTTCAAAGAGCAAACTGGATAACTTTTGATGTAGCTTCAAGGCAAAAGGGGAATCACACCTGTTGTGTGAGTTGGCTTCTTAGATATAAATTTTATTTCTGAATATTTTAATGATAATCTTCTGTCTAAGCCTCTTTGCTTTCTTCCTAAGAATTGTGCTGAATCTAATTTTTGTGTTAACAATTATAAAAACATTTATGGGGGAATACTGGAGAGTTCTTTTTAAGTCTTAGCCAAGATCTCAGTGGTTCCAAATCCATAGAGATCGTTGTTGCTTTGTGTCTGTAATGTTACTAACTCTTTTAGGTGTGTTTTGGTATACTATCATAACTTGCAGTTGATTACGGCACATTTGTCTCTCAAATCTTTTCCTTTTCTTTTCTTTTTCCAAGGAAGAAATGAAAGGCATATTGGCCTGAAAGTCAGAAGACCTGAAATTTAGTTGCTAGCTAGCTGTTTGACTTTTGGCACATCTCTTGACTGCTCTGAACCTTTTTTCTTTTTTCTATCTGCGTAGTAAGATAATTCTTATACTGCATTATTAAAGACCATTCTGTGTTTTAACATTTTATGGTTATGAGAACATACTATTTAATGCATCTTAAATAAAATTAATCTTTAAAAGACTTTTAATTCAAATTTGTTTGCCATTATACATTTTATTAGGGAATTGAAAAAGCTCTAATTGCAGAAGACATCCCATACTCAAACAAAAATTCTTTACAAACAGTATGGTCATTAATAGGCAAAATTTAGGAATTTGCATTAGGCTTTCTGAAAAATCACATATTCTGAAGCTCATACATCTTCTCTTATTTCTGTTAATAATAACATAACTCATTATTGCAAGCATCTTCAAGGAACTCACCAAAGTTATTTTGCTTACTGGGATTTTGTGCCATATTATATTTTGTGAGTAATAATTTTTCAGTAACGTCGAATTTTGTTTTAATTGTATTTGTGTTTGGCCTAACAGAAATTAACCCCGTAATTAATGTGTAATAATACATGCCATAAAGTTTTCTGTTAGCCTGCCATTTATTTATTATTGTTACGCTAAATGTTATTATAATAATGATAAATCTAAATATAGCACATGATTGCATTTCAACCCTGATTCAAATTGACCTTTCAACTGAAGAGAGTTGTGCTGTCTCATTTAAGATGACAATTATAGGACCTTAAAGTTCTGGGGGTGATCTGTTTTATTTTCCTGGGGGTGGGGAAGCAGTGGGCAAAGCACAGTACAGCAGCATCAGCTTACAGTGTTTAGCAGTAGCTCAGCTTTTTCAAAGCCTCTTTTTTCAAGAGATGCTAAAAGGGTGTTCAAAAAAGATGAAAGCTACATGATTAAAATGAAGCATGCCATAATGTTTAACTGGCAGTTTATGCTACATAGTCTATATACTCTGGTCTAATCATCTTGTATTGTGTCTGACTAGTTTATAGTGGTTGAAAGTTTCTTGGCCAGAAAGGACCTTGTAAAATTAGTTCTTATTAGAAAAAGTATGGATGGCTGCAAAATTTGGAGACAGGCTGATTTTAGTCCTGTCAAATGACATAAATAAATAATCAGCATGACAGTTGAGGTCTAATTTGGAGAAAAAAAATCAAGTGGTGTTTGTCTTTAGAAATTCCTAATGGATAGGATTCCCATCAAAGTAGCATTTCAGTTCTTTGTTTAGATTTGGCCTTAAATCCATGTTTTAAGAAAATCTAATGTCTATATGAGTGTATGTTTAAGACTTTATGTGTAATATATGACACATAAAATATAATATATTGGGATATTTAAATTAACAGTATCCAGGATATCAGTGTGTAAAATTTAAAGTCATAAAACCATGTGAGGCAGAGACAACAAGTTTAACTATTTTCTTTCCATCTGATGGTTGGACTGGTTTGGTTTTGGCATTTTTAGTTTTTTTATTCCTATTGGTGATACCTATGGTTTCCATTTTTTGAATAAGGAAACATATAGTTGTTTTATTCATAGCTTATTACACAGAGTGAGCTTATATCAGAATAGTTTTTGGTTTTTATATATAAGATTTGTTCAGTTTCTTCTTAAGTATCAATATTTTTTCCTGGCTAGGCATAGTGGCTCATGCCTGTAATCCCAGCACTTCGGGAGGCCGAGGCAGGTGGATCACCTGAGGTCAGGAGTTTGAGACCAGCCTGACCAACATGGCGAAACCCTGTCTCTACTAAAAATACAAAAATTAGCCGGGTGTGGTGGTGGGCGCCTGTAATCCCAACTACCTGGGAGGCTGAAGCAGGAGAATCTCTTGAACCTGGGAGGCAGAGGTTGCAGTGAGCCGAGATCGTGCCACTGCACTCCAGCCTGGGTGACAGAGGGAGACTCCGTCTCAAAAAGACAAAATTTCCTTTAATTTTGTGTAACCATTTTATATTTTGTTAATTTATTAGTTATTAACACTGCCCACTACCACTTGAATATTATTTATAGGTTAAATGATAAAACATGAAAGTACCCAAATACATTGTTATGGTGAAAATGATGAGAGTTTTCTGAAAGTTCTAAATTTTTCATCCTAAAACACAGCCTTCCCCGATCAGCTCTGTAAAATTCTACTTTGACATGCTAATGGGTTGTTTCTACAGATACAGTTTTCCTAGATAGTATTCCTTATATCAATTATCCGAATAATCTTTAGACTGTTAGTTCAAGGTGCTTGCGAAAGAAATCTAAAAATAGAGCAAAAAGGAAACAGTTTTATTCTTGTGATCTTACGTAAAAATTATTGTGTCTTTTAGTGAAAGAGCCATACCATACCACTGTCACCTTATACTAAAACAAACAAACACAAAAAAGAACAAACAAATATACAGATGTTCCAAGATATTTTATTTCTTGGTTGCTTTGATCTCACTTTTCATGTGTAGTATGTAATACATAGTTGAACTGTGCCAAACTCTACTTCAACAGGGAAAATTTTCTTTGGCCTGTAAATTGCATGCATGTGTTACTTCCAATTAATCTTTATAAGCTAGTGAAAGGGAATGTAGTGGCTTTGATAGTTTGACAGTTTTAAAAACAAATTATCTTCAACTAGATCAACTTCTGAAATTAGGGAAGCCACACGCCATCTCAAAACTATACATTTTAGTGGTACCTGCTGAGTTTTGGGTGTTTATAACTTGGCCATAAAAATTCTTTCCAGCCTGAAATCTAAAGTCTCAACCCAGCAGGAATTTTAAAACAAAATTTACCTAACGTTATTTCTTTTTTGTTCTGTAAGAACAGAAATAGAAAGCTTAAAGTCCTGGACATGACTTTATGGAAAAATTTTATTTTTTTATTTTATTTTTTATTTTTTTAAACCAAACTGTGTAGGCCATTTGTCGTGCTATGGACTAGTGTCCTTGTAAATTACAGAGAGGGAGAGGGAGAGGGAAAGGGATGCGGGAGGGAAGTGGGGATGGCAGAGTGGGGCGATCTGGGTATAAATGGGAAGGGCTGGTTCCTCACAGGCTTATTGGGTGAATGCGTTTTTGATTAGGAAATGCAGTGATACCTGTACTTTTAGGCTGTCATCTGACAGGTGTTGATTGGCTACACTGATCTCTGTAGCTTCTTGTCTTGGGTTCTGTCTATGTTGCTCTGCATCTTGTGTTGGTTTGAGAAAGATTCCATGTAGCACAGTTAGGTCCATAAAAGGTAAGAAATAATTTTGGAGAGATTAGAAGGGTTCATTGAAAGCACTTGTCATTAGTTTAATTTTGGCCACTTCAGAATCATTCTAAGTAAGGTTCTCTTAAGCATAGTTTATCTTTGAAGTCCTTTTTTAAAATTTCAGTCGTCGTTTCTGGTTTGTTACTGTCTTGTATGCCATTCCGTACCTCATCACGATGCCCTGGGAGACAAGATTTTCCTATTTCCTCTCTTCCTTGGTCTAATCCCCAACCTTTTTCTCACTTTCAGTGTCTTCCACGTGTCCTGACAGAAATATTGGGTCTAACATATCGCAAATAAATTATTTTTAAGGGAGGGAAATTCATGGAGACACAAAGGGGTTGTAGGACAGAAGAAAAACAGTTTGGAGAAAGAGCTTGTGGAAGCCCTCTGTGTGTTGAGGTGATCATAAGCTGTGAATTGCCCAGGAACAGTTCTTCAAATAGAACTGCTTGTTATACTGCCCAGGAATATGGGAGACAAGGGTGTCAGAGGCAAAACTGCTTAAACCTACCAGTGTAAAGCTGTTAAGTGTGCCCATACATCGGTGGCCACAGAATGTGTGTGGTCCTGTTTGCAGTTCACCTTTGCATCTGTTCCTGGAGCAATGTCTCAGATACCTGCAAGCAATTATGCCATTTGGATAGGTTACCTGGTGTGAAGCTCCTCTGGCCCAGCCTTTCCACATGGCAACCTGCTGGCTTTTATTTCTCTGCTCTGCAGCAGGTCAGCTTTAACATCTCAAGGGTGGTTTTGCAGAGTGTGAATTTTAACTTGATAAGCCTGTGTGTTTTTCATAAAGTGTTTGCACTTAATGTATTAACATGATTATTTTATAAATTGACCTGACATTTCCATTGTTTCCTCCTTGTATTATCTTGCTTTGGTGCATGCTTTAATAGTTTTTATAAAGTTTATTGCCCCCTGCTGCTCACTATCTTGGTATGCCGTGTGTTGTTCTTTGTATCCTGCTGGGGTGCAGTTTAATGAATTATTTTTCAATGAGAATGATATGATTTTTACTGCCTGCCCACAGAGATAGTGATTTTAATATAGTATTTGTTTATTCACTACCCTCTCCCATTTTTTAGCCCATATGTGTCATTATTACTAGTATCTGAGTGTCACGAGGCATTGGCTGTCCAAGCTCAATGCCATGCATGTAATGTCTCTTTTGTTGCATGTTTAATTCTTTATCTCTTCTAATCTTCTCCCTGGATTTCTATCTTCAATTCCATTTCAGACAGTTCAGCTTTTATGCCAACATCTGTACATTTGCTTTGCATTGAAATTCCGCAAATAACATCTTTGCTGCTGGTGGTCTCTTGCTCAGTAATTGAATCCACACATCCCTAGGATGTGTTTTGTGGGGTGATTTCGCAACTTTAGGTCTTTGTCAAACTGGGGCTTATTTGAAACTCTATTGAAATGAGTCAGGGTTTGTTTTGTGAGCACTTTAACTCCCTCCTGCTTTCTTTTTTTCTCATCGTCCCCAACATTACAGCATAACTGTTTTATCTTGATCTGATTGAATTGTAGAGATTCTCATTTCTATTTCCAGAAATGTAGTTAATGTTTAGGTGCCACCTCTGCTACTATATCCAATTCCTTTCCATTTAATCTTTTTCCCCTGTATGATTTCTGTACATACATCACCATCACTCTCTTTTCTGTCTGGCCCCCTACCATTCCATGTTCCCCAGTGTTAGGCTTAAGTAAAATAATGTCGGCATTCATGACAAGGGATATCTCAAACCTGGAATGCTTCTGGAACATTCTTCGGATTCAGCTCCTTAAATATTTAAAATGTTCCAGTAATTAGGGGGACATCTTGATATTTGCTAGGCAAGGTCTCGTTCGTGGTTTGAAAACAAAATCTACCAGGTATATCATTTAAAATATATTTGGCTGCAAATAACAGAATACGTAACATGCAGTTGTATAAGCAATACCGTGATGGAATTATCCGTGTAGAAGTTTGTAGGTAGGCAGCCCTAGGCAGTGCAGCAGCTCAGCAAGGTCAGCCAGGACCTAGGTCTGCTCTGGCGTCCTCAGTGCATTGTCTTTTCCACTCAAAACTTGTCGCCTCGTGCAAATATTTCTGGTAGCACCAAGTGTCAGATCCTTACCCAATAGCTTTTAAGGAAATGTGAAGAAGTGTGAAGGATTCCCTGAAAGTTGCACAGGAGAGTTCCCTTTACGTGTTGTGACGCAGAACTGGGTCATATTCCCATACTTAGAGTGATACAAATATGGGGGGATGAAATTAGCATGAGTGGCTTAAAACTGATTATTATTCATTTCCCAGCAATGAGCACATTACCTGCCCCCAAAAATGATGATTTTCTTTGCAAAGGAGAGAGGATAGAACAACAAACTTGGTTTCTTTTGGATAGACAACATATTTACGTAACCAGGGATTGAAAGATGTTGAATTAAAAAATGACAAATTCAGTTTCATGTGTAAAGATTATCTGTATTCTTATAGAATACCTTCTATTTGCAATTAGTTATTTCACTGTGGGAAGCATTTCTCTTTCAACCCAGTGACATCCATATTTTGACATTTTCAGCATGGATAGTCATGTATATGCCATAATCAGTGCTGTGTTTCTAGTTGAATTTCATTTGCTGTAATCCCAATCCAAAAGCCTGTAATCTCCATGAAGGCAGGAACCATATCTCTTTTTATTCCTAATCATTTCCTTAACACCAACTGAGTCTCTGATCATAGTAGGTGATCAATATGCACTGTGTAAATGAACCTCAGGCTTATGGAATGACATTCTATACCTTCATTTTTAACTCTTATTACTTGTTCATAAAATAAAATACTGTATACTAGAGTTGAAATTTAACATTTGAATCATATAATAAAGCAATTTTGTCAATTTATATCTCTCTTTATCATTGAAAAAATTTAATAGCGTACAGTTTCCTCACATGCCTTTTATAAGTCAGTAGGCAACTCCATCCCACTCCCCTGGAACTGCTGTAAGACCAGACCATTTCAGTTAATGCCATGATGCAAAGCCAGAAGGAGAGAAGGAAGTCACAGGCATCATGCTGTTGGTGTGTGTGGCTCTGTGGAGTCAAATGTCACCCTGCCTCCCATTCCTCCTGGATATGCAACTGGAAAGGGCAAGTGCAAGGATAGTGAAGGGCAAGGGTCACCAGTGAAGGGAGTAGAAGGAAATTGCTTGCAAGCTCCGGTCTACAACCTCCTTTTTATTCCTTCTCACCTGGTCAAGTGGTTAAGGGTATTGTTAACAGGGATGGATGTGGCAAAGGAGTGTGTTCCAGAATATTTCCATTTTTCCAAAAAGAACACAGGAATAACTAATTTACTCTAAACGTAAAATACATCAAACTAAAATACACATAAACCTCACTTAAACCTGTGCAAACTTATCTTCTAAACTTAGCTTTTATATAATGAAACTTGCCCTAAAAGATATGAACCGAATGTGAGAGGCAAGGGGATGAAAATCTGGTTTCAAGGGCCCAAACATCAAATTGCCATTTGTGCTGATTTTCAGATGTGATTTAAAAATAAATGTAGAATGTTCAGGTCATAGATATTATGGAAGCTTTTTATTGTAATCCTAGACAAAACTTTATTATGCCACTAAGAAGTCAGGAGTCTTCAGTGAAAATTGTAGTCGACAGGAAAATAAAGTCAATTGCACTGAAAGTTAAGAAGTATTCTAGGTCAGGAGATCCTTATATGTATCTTTTACTTTAGAGTGCATTTATAGCCCATGGAAGGAAGTAGATTGATATTCTTGAAGTTAACTTCCTTTTCTTGTGTTCACAAAATCCGGGTTAGCCAGGTGGAAGGATACAGAATTAAACTTTTATGACTCTGCCTGGAGCACATGAGCTGGTGTAACTAGCCTAAGGATAAATGTGCAGTTCAACAGACAAGCTGCCCTCTGCTGAGACCACAAATTTTTCTCCCTTGTTTTTCGCATATCAGCTAAGTACTTACATAAAAGTATCTCAAATGATATTGGTTCTGGGAATTTCATTTCATTCTTCACTAGCCACTCTTAGTTGCCTGAAATTGATCATTATCATCATCAAATATCTATGGAAAGACTATGGGATACATAGAAGTGTTGATTCAGGGCTGGGCACGGTGGTTCATGCCTGTAATCCCAGCACTTTGGGAGGTCGAGGCAGGAGGATCACAAGGTCAGGAGTTCGAGACCAGCCTGGCCAATATGGTGAAACCCCGTCTCTACTAAAAATACAAAAAATTAGCTGGGCATGGTGGCACGTGCCTGTAATCCCAGCTGAGGGGAGGCAGGAGAATTGCTTGAACCCGGGAGGCAGAGGTTGCAGTGAGCTGAAATTGAGCCACTGCACTCCAGCCTGGGCGACAGAGGGAGACTCCGTCTCAAAAAAAAAAAAAAAGTTGATTCCGGTGGTACAGTGGCTCGTGCCTGTAATCTCAGCACTTTGGGAGGCCAAGGTGGGGGGATTGTTTGAAGCTCAAGTTCCAGACCAGCCTGGGCAACAGAGTGGGACCCTGGTCTCTACAGAAAACAGAAAAATTAGCCAGGCATGTTGTCACATGCCTATAGTCCCAGCTACTTGGGAGGTGAGGTAGGAGGATCGCTTGAACCCAAGAGGTTGAGGCTGCTGTGAGCTTTGATTGTGCTACTGCACTCTAGCCTGGATGACACAGTGAGACCCTGTCTCAAAAAAAAAAAAAAAAAAAAAAGGAAATGTTGATTTCAAATTAGGATAATTTCAAATGTGATCTTTGCCCTCAAGAAAATTAGGATGTATTAGTTAGTTTTAGAAACACAAATGTTTAGCTTTCAGTTTATAAAGCCATGGGGAAAAAAAGTGTTAAGCAGAGCTTGAGTTCCTAGGTGAGTCCGCAAAGCCTGTATACCCATCATGGAACCCAGTGATAAAATGGAGAATCCTTTCATGTATTACAGTTCCTGGGAACAGGATGCCTTATGGTCCTGAGGCAGGAGGAAATATCCTTACCTCATCTGGGCACTAACATGGTGGGAAGCTGGGAAGCATTTCAGAATAGGTCAATATTGTCCCAAATACCCTTCCATCAATGTTGCTGATGCCTCCTTACACCTGCCAATATGTTTCCTCCAGGCCACAAGTACCCATTTATCCCAAGGTTACTCCATGTCCACCATCTTAAGTCTGCCACTGGGATAAGGGAGATAAAATAACCTTTACCTTGAAAGAGTTCCATGCTCAAAAATGCTCTTTTCCTCCACATTATCAAAATTTCAATTCTCTTGGTACAGTTCAGTTCCTCTAGGGATTAAAAGAAAAGCAAACTGGTGGCATCAATTCATGCTGCTTTTGTGAATTATTAACAATCTTTTTACCTACTCAAAGATTCACTTTCTAAACAAGTATGTTTGCTAAGTCAGACAAATTTCTAATGGGGTTATTTGTATAATATCAGACACTGTATCAAAAGGTAAGGAAAAGAACTCACAACATCTATTAAATGTTTTTAGAAAGACCACTCGTAAATATCTATTGGCACTGTGGGTTGTAAATAAGAATAGTCATCACAAATTAAAATGTGGACACACACACACAAGAAAATTATGAACAAAATATAAAATGGCTGCTAGAACAGTGTGGAATATGTTATAAGTGCTTAAAGCAGACTAAGATGCTTTTCCAACTATTCATTGCCGGAGGGCTTCACAGGTGTGGCTGCTGAATGAGGAATGACAGGATTTGTATAAAATGAGTTGAGGGTGACAGGTAGTCGGAGCCCAGAGAATAGTACAGCCCTTCCTTGGTATCCATGGGGAATTGGTTCCAGAATCTCCCCACAGATAACAAAATCCTTGGATGCTCCAGTCCTTGATATAAAATGGTATAGTATTTGCATATAACCTAGGTACATCCTCCCATACACTTTAAATCATTTCTAGATTACTTATAACACCCAATACAATATAAATTACATGTAAATAGTTGTTACATTGTATTGCTCAGGGAACGATGACAAGGAAAAGTCTGTACATGTTTAGTGCAGACACAACCATCCTTTTTTTTTTTCAAATATTTTCAATCTGTGGTTGGTTGGATCTGCAGATACAGGATCAGCCAATGCAGAGGGCCAACTCTATAAGTAAAAGCAGCACTGGAAAGTGAGTCAGTAGGAGCCTGTCTTCCAGGAAGGTCCCTGTTTCTCAAGAGTTCTTTTCCTGCAGGGGGAGAGAGGGTTGGATGTCAAGGCAGGAATGTGTGGAGTATGCTCACATGTGGTATCCTTGAATTCACCTAACAACCCTATGAACAAGCATTTTAGAGAGGAGGAAATCAAGACTCAGCAAGCCTCAGTAACTTGCCCCATATCCCATGGTTGCTAAATAGCAAAATCATGATTGAAATCTCAACCTGCCTGATTGTAGAACCTGAACTCTTCTTGTCATCCAGCCGCTCTCTCCCTTCCCACCATGGGGACCCCTCAGCACCAGCAAAAATGAGGGTGAGGAGGCAGGGAGGATGGAACCTTCTTAAGCATAGGTAATTTGTCAGTTGAAAATCGCACATGGATAAATGTCTTTAAACCCTATGTAGATAGGGAAAACTCTTGATATTACTGAAAAGTAATATCGACGTAGCAAACCTTCTGAAGAGAGTGCTAGTCATGGAACCCCTCATTTGGAAACTATTAGAACAAGTGAATTATTTTTAACCATCTTTTAGACCATTCAGAAACAGAGTGAATTGTCCAGGACAAGATTGTTTATTTTTTGAAAATGTATCCAGTTTTGTCTGTTTTTTAAAGATCTTCTTGGTAGAATGTGGCAGAATTCTACTACAAAAGCTCCTTTGTTCACGTAGTAGTTCCAGTGTTTCCAGCCATTCCTAGAGCCCAGGAGCCATGCCAAGGCCTGGAGCTCCCGTTCACATCTGTGCAGTTACACACAGAGAAGCTTCCTCTTCTATGGGGTTGTAATCGTTTATTTACTTGTCATTAGGGATGTCGCAGGTTTCCTGTTTTGGGAAGAGGTGTTCAGGGTTAGAATTTTATTGAGGGAGAGGGACTTAGTTTGGTGTCACTAAAATGCCTCCATTTGGAGTTAGGTCCCGGCTCCCTCCTGTCATTTCCTACTTGAGTTTTCACTTTTGCCCTTGCCAGGGTCCTCTCATTGCCCGTGAGCCCTTCCAACCACGAGTGGGCATCCATCAGAAACTGGAGGAACCAAACGAGTACAAAAGCTCATGGGGGAGTTCTGTTGAGGACGGAGGTCAGAAGCATGTTTCTAGGAAAATGAAATGTGGGGATTAACTATGGCTTTTCTTTATTTAGGCTAACCATGTCTATAATGTCATAATTAGGACGAATTCTCTGCACTTGAATGTGTTGGTAGGAATTTTATTGTCAAAAATATAACTTAAATGTTTTTCCTAGCCTATTTATACTGTTAAAAAACAGTTTCGTCCAGAAATGGAAATAGAGGGGTAGGTCCCTGAATTCAAACCAGGCTACTAAGAGACATTATCGTCAAATTCTTTCTATGATAGAATTATTTCAGTTGCTTATGAAAGCTGAATATGTGTAATCATCTTTCCAGACCTGGTTGACCGTATTTTATTTAACAAATTAACTAGCTGATGGACCAATCCTCAAACAACCATGATTGTTATTAACCACTGAGGTTTTTGCTGATCTCTGGATGTCTCTCATTCAAATTCTAAGAAGTGATTTTTCATCATCAAAGAGATTTGCAGTATCATTATAGTTGTTTCTGCTCATCAACTTTTTGATTTTTTTTGGCTTGTTTGAAAACTATTCTGACTGGCTACTTTGTTCCTTTTTTGTCATTTGATAGTCCACTTTGTTAGTTAGGAAACCAAATCATTTTGTACATTACGAGTCACTTGCTTATTAGACTCACTTTTGTTGGAATTGAATTTGTCCTTTTCCCGTCCTGATGGGAATATGAGCTTCCTGTGTTGGATCCCTGCTCAAAGGGAGCGAGGATGCTAGTGGCATAACTGGAGGGAGTACCTTTATATCCTTTTGTACAGTCTCTGGGCGGAATTGTTGAAGGACAGGAAATTCTTCTCTAGCAGGAGAAGGGCGTCTCCCACTTCGGTACAGAAATCTCACACTCCGCGTCCTCTGGCACATCACTGAGTGCTGGAGAGCACGAAGCCAGTGTTTACTGCTGGTCCTTGGGTGTTAAGCAGCCCTCCACTGCTTTTATTGTACCATTAATTGCACTTAATGCAGCTGCATTTCTCGTACGCTTGGCTAGGCTCTGAAAATTAAGTAGAGGGTACTTTGTTATCAAATTCACTGTAATGAGCTCTGGTGGGACAGGGTCCGTTAAGTTTGAAATTACCTCGGGCCATTTCTAAAGGACTTCTTAAAATAGTTCACATCTATAAAAGTTTGTAACTAGATAAATAGCCATGGAGAGTGTAAGACCAGGCAGAGGGAAATCCACATTTCTCCTCAGTGCATCTTTGATAAAATATGGATGTGTAGAATATTTAAGAGTCATGTTTATTTTCTGCATTCTCCTCTGCCTTCCACATTTGCTAAATTTCAGCTTTTAGGCCGGCAGTGTGTGCATTCAGGTTTAGTTGTTTCACACCATGGTTTATGCATACAGACTGCCCCCCTACCTGTTTGCTTCCTTTTGAATCCAAATCGTACATTAAACTAGAATAAAAAGTAGGACCCCCCTCTGGGTGTATGCAAATTGGTTCAAGAAGGGATCACGCCTCTAAGAACAAACGCACTGAAGAGACAGCTGTAACTATTAGCCAATTAGTTTCATGTTACAACTACTAGCGGAGGCCTGAAACGGATTCGTGATACCTGACTAATAGATGCTTAAAATGACTTTAATTCCCCCAGTATTCTTAGCCCATATGACTGACTGCTGTAATGCTTTGCGGCTAATAAAATTTCAGATTGACTAATTTACTGGGTAGCTTTACCAAAACATCCAAGTAATCCGTACATACTCATTAGAGACAGGTCCAGAACACTTTCCCTTAGGACTGATTTGAAAAACCTCACTGGGATCAGCCTCACTGAGCTTTAGATGCACTGGCACAAATCAGGTGAAGGATCTTCTACGGTTTTAGTGCAGCAATTTATCTGAGTTTTGTGGTTAAAGTTTGAGCATGAGGTAATTAGAGCCCTCCAAGCTTGAAATTCATGAACCTTATTCCCCCTTTAATAGACTCTATACAAGCTTGCCAAGCTCAGTGTTTGACTGATATATATGGAGGCTTTGTTAAAAGCCTCTGGTCAAAATGTAGTTTTAAAAAACTCAAAATCAGTTTTTCTTTATTTTTAGCTCTTACAGGTGTAAACACGGAAGATTGCCTCATGTTATAACTGAGGGCCAGTCAGCAGTCTGTTGTGCCCTTTGGAAATATACACTAGTCAATAATCAAATACCCGCAGCCGTGCAGCACCACACCTGCTGCCCAGATGGGGTCGACGACAAACATGACATGACCGATGAGGACTGGGGAACAGAGGGGTAAAATGCTGCAGTCTGTTTGGTTTCTTCTACTCTGTATCCTCCTTGGAAAAAAAATGGAAGATAACCTTTAGGCTGCTACCATTTTTGTAGTAGGAGTGCTTGGGTATATATGTCTCTGCATTAGGCAGTCATAATTTAACCAAGCTTCCCAATGCCTACCATGTATATATGTCTTTGGAAGTTGAAAATATAAGTTGAAGATTTAAAAATGTCTAGAGACACATGCACACATGCATATACGTGTATGTACACGTAAGTGTAAGAAAGCAACCATGCCATACCGCTTCTTTTTGTGTACTCTCACAAAAGATCATTACACTCCAAATCCATAATATAGAATCACTATTCAGCTATAGTCTTGAGGATTTTCATATATGCCAAGATACTCCATCTCTAATAAATGTTGCTATTATTCCAGTTTTGAACAAGGGCATGACATGTGATTTACTCTATAAAATCGGCAGTTTATGCATGTTCTCACTCATAAGTGGGAGTTGAACTATGAGAACACATGGACCCAGGGAAGGGAGCAATACACACCGGGGCCTGTTGGTGGGTGGGGGGCTAAGGGAGGGATAGCATTAGGAGAAATACCTAATGTGGATGACAGTTTTTGGGTGCAGCAAACCACCATGGCATGTGTATACCTATGTAACAAACCTGCACGTTCTGCACATGTACCCCAGAACTTAACGTGTTAAAAAAAAAACATCTGCGGTTTAAAAAAATTTACAAATGACTCCAAGAATACACATCTTTGAGGAAGGGGAAAGGAGCTAATGTTTAGCAAATACCTCTTATGGGTCGGATATTGTCTTAGGCACTTCATGTATGCTATCTCATTTAATTCTCAAACAGCATGCTAAATAAAGCAGGTATGTTCACCTTTCTGGTAACCATATTTCTCTGAGACTTTTCTAACTGGCCCAAGGTGGCACAACCTAGAAAATGACGGAAAAGTCATATACACCACTTTGGTGACTTTCTTTAATCTTCGTCGTCAAAAGCATCTTGTCAGCACTCATTTTTGTTTTGCTACAGAGAGATTAAAAATTAAGATTGAATGAAAATGTATTGTTTTCTCACTATTTACTAGGTATGTGCTAGAAAACTGTCGCACATTTAACCCTTGCCACAACTCTTTGGACTGGGTATTATTATCTCACTCTACAGATGAGGAAACTAAGATCTGGATGTCAGATGTCTCATCCAAGTTCACCAACTAGTAAATGCCAGGGCTGTTATTTAGAAATAAATGTTTCTGACTCCCAACAATTGTGCTTTTCATACTAAACTACAGCTGTCTTCCCATCTTTTTAAGTGTTCCTGAATACTTCCAGAATAAACATTTCAAGATTCTTTGATGGATATTGTAGAGGACAGAGCTAGACATATGCTGATACTAACAATGGAAGAAATTATTTCTAAAAAAAGTAAAACCAGTATGAGAGGGGAATAAACTTGCAACAATATATAAAGCTTACTTCATCTCAATTTTGGGTAAAAATTTGAAGAAAATAGTGACTTAACAGCAATGGTGCAAGTGAATAAAAGTAAGTTAGTTCAAGAAAATGAAAGTGACTATATAGGTCTTATCAGAATCTGAAAACCTCAAAGCAGACTGTCTCAGAGAGGAATAAAAATGAGAGGAGAGCTAAGGGGAGCAAGTTGAGGTCAGCATTTAGTATTTTCTTCTGAGTACTAAGGACAAAGTTTATATAAACATTTTTGAAATTCCAGAAAAAAAAATCTCTTTCTCACTTGCCAGATAGAAAGTTCAACCTCAGTGATGATGGAGGCAATGGCTTCTGTAAAAAAAAAAAAAAAATATTGGGAAACAAGGTCTTTTTGTCTGCCACATATAGCAGTCTTGGCTTTCTCTTTATTGGCATAATCAAAATTCATTAAATAATGCATTTTAGTTTCCTTTGATGATTTAATATTCTTTTAGCTCACACCTGTGTATATTAATAATCACTTGCAATACTTGCCTGTGGGTATTTGACAGATCTTGGCTGCAAGGAAGAAATACTTGTTGCTTTTGTGATCCAGGAGTTGTAGGGACTCCAAAAGCAATTCCAAGTAACTCCTCTATTTATGACATTTGGAGAACTTTTGCCATGGCAAGAGATACAAAGACAGAAAACTTGGAGCCAATTGGACCAGGAGAAAACATTTTTATTGATGAGCAAAGTGATGGATAGTATTGGTAGCATGAAGTAAGTAGGAAGCCTCAAAACAGCATCATCCCAAAGTGGGGTCTTGCATTTTTTGTAGCATATTGGTATCTTTGTAAATCTCTATATATGAAGTTTCATGTCTTCATGAACCTGGTAGGAAAGTCACTCTAGTAGTGGAGACTGGAGTCCTTGCAAAGGATTTCCTATTTACGCAGAGGAGAAAACGAAGGTGAGACAGCTCTGATGTAGCCTGCAGGACTAGCAGAATGGAGACTCATTAACAGTGGGCAAGAAGGGACAGAGGTTTTGGGGGAACAATGATGGCTTGGGTTTAGATATATTCAGGCAGCTTTCCCTATCCGATTCTAGTTCTGGATGTGGATTATAGATCATTATGTTGTTTAAACAACATCTGGAAGAGCTGGAGGCTGAGATCCCTATTGTAGTGGCTGGGCACCACACCATGGTACATTAAGTTTGTAGAGTCAAGTTATAGTGAAATATTGAAAAAAAATAGTGTGTTGCTTATTTCTCAGCTTTATCTAAACTCCTGGTAATTTTGTAGCTTTTTAAAAGAGTTTTTCATCTATGTCTCATGGCTTTTGCTTGCCGCTGCTTCTCAGGGTATAGACATCCAAAGTCACTTTAAAAAATATCCCTTAAGCTTGGGTATGTTCCCGTTACTCTCCCTTCATAGGAGAGTCATCCCTTACTCTCCTTTCTTTCCCTTCCAGATTTTCAGAAATGTTGATCTCTCATTTGCTGCTCAACCGACTGCAGTGCCCCTGCCCAAGATCTTCAGGGCTCTCCCATGACATTTGACAGAGTCCATAGTCTCTCCTTAAAATGTCCTCTCTTCTTTCTAGGACATGGCTGCCGCTTTATCCACCCTCTGCTCTGGCTGTCTGCACTCAGGCTTTTGCTGGTTCCCCGCTTCTGCCTCTTTATAAATGCAGATTTTCCCTGAGCTGGGTCCTCAGCCCACCTCCCATTTTGTCCTCCCATGGCTTCTAATCCCACCTGTGTGCTAATGACTTGCAGCCAAATCCTCATCTCTGCCAAAAACTCAATTCTGCGCCTCAGGCCCTTTAGGCATCAAGATGGGCTTGTCCTAAAGACACCTCCCTTCAACTTCCCATCTTCTCCTTAACACCTCCCTGCCTTACTCAATGTCCTATCACAGGAAAGGAAGAAACCATTATACTGTGTTATAACTCAGAACTCATACTGCGCTCTGGCTTTTCCCTTATGAGGTAATCACAAAGCTCTCTCAGTCCTATCTCCTAAATACCTTTAGAATTGAACCCCTCTCTACGGTCTTACTTAGTTACTAGGGTCAACTCATCGTCATTTATTGGCTAGACTATGCAATAGCCACGTTTTCAGCTTTCCCCCAAACACAGTTCCACCCTCTGCACCGTGCCTCAGGTGATATAGCACACACACGTGCTCATGTCCCTCTGTGCTCTAACTTTTCAGATGGATGCCGAATGCCGTGTGTGAACTGAGAACTCCTTTGCAGTGCTGATGGGGCCATTTGTGACTGGGCCCAACATGTCTTCTTCATGCATGAATGAAACTCCCATGCCTTGCTCAGCAGTTTGTGCCATTGTGTGTGTTCTTCTCTCTACCCAAATGCTCCCCTCATCCCCACCAATCCGTAGCTTGTTTGCCTGGAAAACTAACACTCATATCTAGCCCAGATGCTCTCTTTTCTCTTACATCTTTGAATTTCACTAGAGTTAGATGCTCCTTTTCCTGCAGTCCTCCAAGTAAACCGTTGCTCTTTTTTTTGAGATGGAGTCTTGCTCTGTCGCCCAGGCTGGAGTGCAGTGGCGAGATCTCGGCTCACTGCATCCTCCGCCTCCCAGGTTCAAGCGATTCTCCTGCCTCAGCCTCCCAAGTAGCCGGGACTACAGGCACGCACCATCATGCCCGGCTAATTTTTGTATTTTTGTAGAGATAGGGTTTCACCATGTTGGCCAGGATGGTCTCGACCCCTTGACCTCATGATCCGCCTGCCTCGGCCTCCCAAAGTGCTGAGGTTCCAGGCGTGAGCCACTGTGCCCAGGCAACCTGTTACTTTTTTACAGTTTGTATTTCTCTCTCCCCAGTCTCTAAATTCCTTGAGGGTACTGGTTCCCTGTCATTTCCTGAACCTGAGAAGTTTCTCTCATCTCAGGGCCTTTATATCTTCTCTTCCCTTCACCTGGACATCATGTCCCTCCTTCCCTTTATTCCTGTCTCCACTCAAATATTATAACCTTGGAGAGGCTTTCCTTGATCTTCCATGGAATACAGAAATCTCTGTCCCTACTTTTCCCTTCCCCTTTTAAAAATGTTCTTTCATACTGCTGCTTATGTGGAGATGTGCATGTGTTGTTGCTATTATTGTTGTCGTCTGGCTCCCCACTGGAATGCCAGCTCCATGCAGGCCCATTTGTCTGTCTCCTTTGTTCACTCTTTGGTGGTCCATGGCCTGGCACTTAGTAGGCCCTCAATGAATCTTTAGATGAATAAGTGAATTATATCCTTTTCAACTAACAGTGCCTGGCACTGGGTAAGCACTCAGTAAAGTTTTATTAAAATAGGGAATACAGAGTATACATTGAACTGTGGTTAAATAAGTTCCCATTGCCTGAACTTGCCACACTGAAGAGACCAGTGGCTTCCTGGAAGAGAGAAGCAAGACAGCTGGAAAACAAATAAAAATGACTGGCTAGTGGCGAAGTCCGTTCTCATCAGAATTCTGGTTCAGTTATTCAGTTCAAATTTTTGGCAAGTGATGCAGATTCTTTTTCAGAAAATGTTGATTGATTGCACAGTTGTACCCACTTCATTTGCAAACCTTCATTATCTCTTTTTCCTTTCCTCCCTCTGTCTGCATTTAGAAGGGGAGGAGCAGTGTATAATTCCACAAGGCAGTTTTGTGAATAAACCAACTAACTGGCTGCTGCTTTCAGTCCCACAGTCTCCTCACAGAATACAAGTATCTGACTTAGTTGTGCATTCTCTCTTGACTGGATCTCCTTGCATTCATTCATTTGAGTATTCATTTGGTTACTTACTCATTCACTCAGTGAATCAGTTGTTCAGTCCCACTGATGACACAGGGCATCTGTGGGGGGTGCTTGGCTCTTGTCTAAAGCAAGAGTTCTTGACTTGGGGTCTATGGCTGTGTTTCAGAAGCTCTCTGGAATTTTTGTAATTGCATATGCAAAATTTTGTGTTTGAATATTGTCTTATGAAGAGGGTTTGCTTAAACAGCCCTGTTATTCAAAGAAAGAAACATATTAAGAACCTCTAATAGAGAAAGGCTTGAACTCAGCCTTGAGTCTAAATAATAGGTCTTCAAGTTAAGTGTTTTTTCCTCAATTCATTGTATGGTGGTGAAAAGTATAAAAATATTGCTTACATATGTTCTCGATTCTAGGTCAGACAGTCTTGTAAGCCTGTTTACTAATCTGCATTCTCCAAATTGTGCTCCTCTTTCTTGTTTATTTTCTAACTTTCCCTAAATCATAGCCTCTGTAGGTATCCAAAAGTCAGGCAGCAATGGTGATGCAGACCTTGATCAGCTAACATAAGTAAGACCTAGCTCCTGCATAGTTACCGTTGAAAATTGTGTGGGCTTTTGTTTATGTGAAATTAGAGGGAAGATGGTGGGGTTGTAAGAGCTGATTTCAGTTTGCAGTGGTGGTGGCTATGTACATTTATCTCATCAAGTTATGTCTGAGGCATTCAGCATCTTAAAACCAATGCCAATTACTGCTGGAATAGGGCATGAGTGAATCCTTCAAAAGAAAATTCAGTGGGCAGTTGCTGACACTCAGTGAATTGCTGGCTCTTTGCCCAAGTGTGTGTGAAATGTTTGCACTGGTGTGAGGCCCTGATTGCAGTTGGCTCGCAGGGTTTGTGGTGACACTATAGATTTGATAGCACACTGTAGGAAAGGCAGAAGCTGGTGACAACTTACAGGGGAAAAAATTCCTAATATTCCTGTTAAAATTGGAATAAAGATAGTTATTGAGAAAAGTCATCTTTGGACCGGCCTCTGCTTTTCACAACAAAGAGGAGAGAGCTGACATGTGCTTAGCGCCCCCGCGGGCTGGGCCCTGTGCTCTAGAGTGTTCGCTCATTCACAAGTATTTATTGTGTGCCTTCTGCATTCTGGTCCCAATTCTAAATGCTGGGGTTTCGGCAAAGCACAGAATGACTCCTCTGGCTTGGGAAGGTGACTTGCTAGTGGGAGAGACAACACTATGCAGATAAGCTCCAGGAGAACAATTAAATCAGGGCGGGACATGTCACATGTCCTCACAACTGCTGTGAGAGGCATTAACCCTTTTGACAGAATGAGAAATTGAGGTCCATGGAACCTAATTTGTCTAAGACCACCCAGCTAATTAGAGAAAAATGGAGGATTTAAAACTTGGTCTGCATGACTCCAGAACCCCAATCCTTTAGTCTGTGTAGTTGTCTCCCCATAATGTGACCCCTCCCATTGAGCTCCTTCTCCCAGCAGAGAGGACAAGCACATCCTGGAAATGGAGCACATATTCTACAGTAAGTGACTGGAATCACAGCAGTGCACTTCAGAACACGGAGGTGATACAACAGTCTGGTTAGTGACTCGGTTGCCCAGCACGGTGCCAAGCCAGATGCTGCGATGCAGGTGTGCACGTCAGGGTTTTCATCTAAGCAGTGGTGTTGAGGTGGAGGGGGAGAGAGAATTGTAAAGTTGGGGTTTTCAGACAGTGCCAAATGGACATTGGTCTACCAGTTGTAACTATGTGACTGTTATGCAGTATTGAGCCCCAAGAAGGCACTGTAGGTGGGGTCCCAGTCCTTCAGGTTTCTAAGAATATGACAGTCCATCGTTGTCGCGGGCAGGATGATGCGCCTGGAACATGCATCTGTAGCTACGTTAACATGCTTTTGCCCTTGCCTTCATGTCTGATCAGTAGATCCCAGGGTCCTGGCCATGATAGTGCACTGTTCACGTAACTTCACTCCATACTCCGGTTCTGGTTCTGGCAGTACCTTATTCTAAGGCCTTCCCTGACTCCACCTCTCCCCACCTCCATCCTGAGTTGAGAGTTGTACTTTTATTGCATATTGTTCATTTGCTTATATGTCAGTATCCCAGTAGACTCTGATGATCTGGAGGGTTAGGAGATGCCTTTTCAATTTTATATTCCCTGACACAGTGTCCAGCACAGATAGGGGCTCAACAAATATTTCCTGTGGATACTTTTAGCTTTCTTCTGCCAACGTATCTATAAGTGGAAATAGGAGCCTGGCTTATATCCCTAGCACCTTGGTCAACAGGGTTGATACCCTTCCATATTATAAGGCTTCACTACATTTTGGATGAATAAATGTAATTCCATAGCTTGAGATTGTTGAGCTTTGGAAATTTATCAGAGTGACCTTTCAATAGCAGGTGCTGTTATAAGCAGAGTCTTGTGTCCCTTGGGCCAATACCCCACTGCTTCACACAACTCTTTATGTTGACTCTTCTTCTGGCAGGAAGCAAGTTACTGAGCATAATACCAAGAAGTGATGTGGCCCAAAAGCTAAGGAGAGAGAGACAGTGAGAGAGAGAGAGGATGACTGAATATATGAATGGAGGAACAGGAGAGAGAAGAGGGAAAAGGCAAGAGACTTTGTATTCTTTCTCCCACAGAAACATAAGCTGTTTCCTGCAGAACCAACGTTAGTTCCCTGTCGTATCAGTGGCCTAGGAAGGCCTAGAGGGTGAATGGAGCATTAGACTGGAAGTAATAAGGTTGTGCCTGACTTACCTCAGTATTTGTAGCAGATGTTACAAATGTCATAACACGAAGCTTTGGGATCAGACTGAAAACTAAAAAATCAAGATACCAGATGTGGACGTCTTCCTTTTACCAGCAACTGCAACTGACACTGCACTATTTCAGTGGTAATCTCCACCCCCTTCCTACTGGGTGGAATCATGCCATAACTGTTTGCTTGCTGCTGAGGTCAGAGGAGGTGACAACAGTAAAGCGGCACTCATTGGAAAGGCTTTTAAGACAGTTTGCAAAATGAAAGTGTAATCATCCTTTCCCCTCTTGAGAGAGTGTACCAAATCTAACCCTTATTAAAAATTTAACTGCTCAAAAAAAATTTTAGTGTATTTGTAGGGAAGATAATTTCTACCAATGAAAAGTCAAGTATTAAACTTTGCAAAGTTAGTGCTGTATTCACATCCCAAATTTGGTATGTTCTCTTTGTCCCTCCCTTTGAGAGCCGTTATCAGAGAGCTCACGGTGTCTTTCTGTGTACTGTGGGCTTAATTCGTGAGCGACACATGATATCCCTGCCTGACATACATGCAGTAGGTGTTTTGTAGAGGAAAGTGTTCACTGAAAGAAGAAGAATTTAAACAACAACAGAAGCAGTTCAAAACTAGAACCTGGAGATAGTACTCAGAAAGCAGAGCACCTTCTTACGTCAAGAATGTGTTCAGGCTTGGAGCCTGGACAGGGATCTGTGCTACCCACTCTGAGTGGCCCACTGGCCTCCGCTGACACACAGGCCTGCCTCGCCCAGTGGACTGGATCCTCGTCAGCTTCGCATCCCGAGTTCCCAGCAGAGTGCCTGCCTCAGCCTGAGACTCAGTACATATTTGCCACCATAGCCCTGATGCCAGAAGAAATTAGTTTCTCTCTTCTTGATCTGTTCATGTTAGATTAAAAATCAAGACTTTCTAGCCCTCAAAGATCCTCCTATTCTATATTCTTTATTCTGAAGTCGCTTTATAACTGTCTCACTCCCCAGACTTCCCCAAATTGGGTGGTGGGGGCGGGAGGGGGCTGGTGGGTTCACCCCAGCACACTCCATATCTCTGCTGGGAATTTAAAGATAGGAATTAATTTTGGGTATGATCTAATTTTTTACCTTTTATTTATTTTGTAAAGAAAAAGAGGAAATTCTCATTTCTTTCACTGTATAAAGGGAATTAAATAGTTAACTTTAAGCTTTACATCCAAAAGCAATCCCTGTGACATCAAGTGGTTGAACCCAATAAATACTTAGGAAAGCCTTGGATGTTTTTTCAGTTGTTAAGGACTAAAGTCCCACCCCCCAAAAAAGTACTCTCTTACAATCATTGTTCTTCTGGAATAATTAAGCAAGTAAAATTGGAATGACTGTGTACTAACTACCATTTTTTAAAATTAGTAACAGCACTTTTGGAGTCTCAGGTATGTCAGGGATGTCCTCTTCTTTTAGGCCAGTCCACTCCTCAGGACCCCTTGCATCTCTTGAGGATTTCCCTCATGTACCCTACTCTCCACGCCTCGGCCCAGGCTGTGGATCACGCCTGCATTTTCCTGAGGTTCTGTCCTCCGAGACGTTGACTGTCAGACGTTGACCTCATTCCCTCAAGTGCTGTCACTCCAAACAGCAGCTTAACCCACTGCCTTAAGGGTTTCATTGTCAAGGGGAAGTGTGGGTTCTCTCACGAAGAATGTTAATCACCCCATATGTAGCCCGTGTGAGGGACATACAGTATTCTTATAGTAACTACCAGATTGTTGGAGAAAGGCCATTTCCTCCTTTCCCAGCTACAGAAGGAGAAATATCTGCCTAGGGATTCTCATTTCCCTCAATGGAAAAGAAAGGTGGGTAGGCGAAGTGAATCTTTAAAATGGAAACTTCGTACTAAGAGGTCCCTGTAATTTGTTGCTGACCAAATATACAAAAACATTTTCGAGACTTACTACAGTGATATTTGGTTGCCGTTTCACATTTAGAGGACTATGCCATTTTGGTGTAGAAAATGATAAACATTTTCAAAAATCATATGAATACTATTTAATTCTCAAGAAGCCGAGAAGTGCATAGTGAACACCCCCTTGACTAAACAGATCAATTAGACATTGTATGTTTTCCCCTTAGTTCTTTAATAGTTGAAGCAATATAAATACACTTCTTTAAGAAAAGCAGACATGGTTTCTTTTTCCCAAAAGCAGTTCATTTATAAGTATTAAAATTTGCACAGTCGCCTCATCCCTAATTATTTTACCCAATGCAGTCAACCCATACTTAAATGGTGGAAGATATTTAAATATGTATTGCATCAAAAAATTTTGGATCATCGTTAAGACTTCTTAAAATTTCAATTGCATTATTGGATTAAATATTCTTTTTTGTCTAAATTGGTGATATAACATGTTAGTAGGTCTGAGATATGAATTATGAAGATAGTTTTTTTGTTTTTAAAAATCCCCTAAATAGGAATTTAAAAATAAACCCAAAGTGTACTACTCCTGAATACATGAGATTTTTTTTCTGGTATTTATTTGTTATCAGATATGTGATTAATCACGTGCCCAATTAACAATGCGTGTCCCTATTTCTCTTCTACAGTCATCATTTATCCTATATTTTAATACTAGAAACTAACCTTGATGAAAGTACACTGAAAAAGCACTGTGATTATTTGTTTTCATATATATATTTCATGTATGTGTTTTCATATATATGAAAACAATAACAGTGCGTCATGTATGTATATATACATATTGCACGAAAACTTCACATACAGTGCTTTCAACAACAGAATTTCAGTTGTCATGTTGCTATATGGGTTAAGCTGGTACCCAGTGCTATTTCAGTTTCTTCTCCAAACCTGAAAATCTCCCAGTGTCTAAGCCATGCACAGATACTGAGGCGTTTTGTATTGAAAGAATACAATTTGTGAAAACGGACCCCACAGAAGGCAGAGTGATGAGGGCCAGTTTCAGAATAAAGACACAGCCTATATTACATGCAAACTGAGAAATTTTAATTTTGATAGGGAAACAGATACACACACTCATACATACCTCATGAACTTCTGGGGCTCCTGAGAAAACCCTCCCTGACTTCTTTGGCCCTACAGTGAGGAAAGCTAATTGAGATTCTTCAAGGGAATCCCTTTCCTTTTCTTCTATGCCATGGAAAGACTCATTAAGCATTCCATATTCCATTCTTTCTCAGCCGCTGGCTTTGCTTAGCCAAAGCCCAGGAAGTCAATGTCCAGGGATTCCATTAAGCATGCCCTTTAGTGCTCCCTTCCCCCAGGCTCAGTGTGGGAACAGATCCTTGCCCCCTTAGATGGAGGATTCAGAGGGGAGCTATCAGGGGTTACCGGGCATGAAGCCTGCCTTTTTGCCAGGCGTTCCTGAGATACTACCTGCCGAACTTTAAGACTACATTTGCCCGTGATGCCGTACTGCCCTCCACCTTATGGGGGAGGATAAGGAAGTACCTCTGAAATGATGTTTCCTATCCACCAGTGACTGCCTTGGCCTAATAAAACAATCCATTAGAAACCCTGCCTCACAGTGTCACAGTCCTCTTCACTTCAGAATACCTTCTTCAAGTGATCCCTCCAATAGCAAGCCCCTCTGTGGCTCTCTGCCTGTGGTCCACCTTCCCACTGTGAACCATGCTGGCAAGGAGCTGGGGTTATGAAGGGAAAGAGCAGGGCACAAGGCAAGTAGGGCTCGTGACTTTTCCCCTTTCATTATGTGTGTCCACCGAGCTGTCCTGCTTCTGTTTTGTAATGGGTTCTTCCATGGCAAGCTGACCTTTCGGCTGAATAGGTCAAACTCCCACTGAGCGTTAATCCTCAGCCCTCCTCACGTGAGTGCCTCCCCTGAGGTGAGGAGCACTGGTTAGGAATATGACTGGGAGGGCCTGGTGTATTCCCCAAAGAAGGGTTGCCTTTTACTGCACTGAATTAATTCTCAGAGACCACCGTGTGAGGTTATGCTGAAGGATCCAGATTAGAACTTTCCTGCTGACATTGTGGAGGGGCAAAACTAATTCTTCAGATACATGTTTTAGACTGTGGTTCCCCTGTGTATCTTCCCCTTTTTAATGAGAGAAAGGCCAAATGCACAGTCTTAGTGATTCATCGGATCATTTTGGATTTCTGAGACAATCAGAATTTTCCTAGATGATTTTTTAAAAAACCAATAAACCCTTCTCCCTGTATTTCTCTTCCATTTAAAGTCTCTTAAAACTCTAGGTGTTTTATTTTTAACCCTTGTAAAACATGAAATAGTAGAGTTGTGGTGTGTGTTGATAATTATATACTGGACCTACTTTTGTTTTAAATGTCATAAAACATTTTTTGGACTATTTATTAAGTTTTGCAACACTAATTCCCTTATAGTAGCTAGAAATTTTCAACATCAAATAGGCATTTAGTCATGTTGAATTGAATTTTAAGTTGAATTCCTGTGGCTTGGGCTTTCTTTTTTATACTAGTTTGTATAAACTGTTCAACTCCTATAGCTCTTACGTCTCACTCTCAGTGAGCTGGTAACAGAATCTTCACAGACAAGTGGTTGCACATTCCATTTATTTAGCAATGCCCTCTGTGTGTGTGTGTGTGTGTGTGTGTGTTGTGTGTGTGTGTATAGGTTAATTTTGTTAGTGTTCTTTAAATTTCAGAAAATAGTCTTTTAGTTGAACAAACAAATAAATGAAATATGTCAGTAGATCAGATGAAACTGTGACCCGTTCGGCAATAGTAAGTATACAGTGTGTCTGGGCTACCAGATGGTTTTAGAAACTGTCAATTTCCAAAATACAGAAATCTGAGAGAGCTTCATAAACAATGTATTGCTTTGCTGAAGATGACAGATCCCATTGAGGAAATGCCCCTTTAGTTGTTTTAGATCATTAATGATACTCTATAAACATAATAAGATTAACACGGAGAAACAAAATACCTGTGTTTGCAGTATTCTTTAGTTATCAGATTATTGTCTCAGTTCTCAAAATGCCAAATGTGATAGGATAAGTGCAAGATAAGAAGTACATTTTTAACATCTATTCAGTTAGCATTAATGCTCAAGTTAAAGCTGGGCTCCTACCAGGGACATAATGGGCTCCTGTTTAACATATTTATGTTGGTTGTAAAATTAGGAACTGTCTTTGCAGCCCACATCACCTGCATAAGTGCAAAACATATAAATCAAGAGAAGTTCCAGTGACATAAAAATGCCATCGAATAGAATAGCATGAAACTACTTGCAAGATACTTGTATATTATGCTAGGGTGTATGGGGGTACACACTCAGATTTCTAGGGGGTTTGGAGAACAAAGAATAACTATACAGATAGAACTCATGGATGAAGACATTTCCTCAGAGCACAGCCTGAACCCTAGTGGAGAAACAGCGGGAAAAGAAAGGCCATCAGTAGCCAGACTTGAATAACCGCCCCACCCCCCACACCCCCACTGAAGACAACAGCGTCTATGCTTTCAGAAGGCATTTGAGCAGCTTTATGTTGTTACTGGAGCTTGCATCTTGGGCCTCCTAAGTCAGTGAACTTTTCTGTGATGTTTTAGGGTTCCTTATAACCTGGTGGCTATTACTCCCTTGCCCCCTCATAATCCAGTTCTTTGTAGAATGATTTCTGTTATCTAAAATTAGTCCTTTTTTCTTTTTTTGGGGGAGGGGGGAGGGGACGTGCAGTGATTTATTTTGAACTTTGTAATTGGAGTCCCTGAAGTGCCCCCCCAAATTATGAGCTATTAATAAGGAGCTTTCTGAATCCTAATTACTGTCTCAAAAACAGAGTGGACACTTGAGAAGTTTTTCAACTCCCCCGCTTCTCCCTCCCAAAAGCCACCCACCCCCATAATCTCAAAAAAAAAAAAAAAAAAAAAGGCTGCAGATTTTATTCATGTGGGATCATTCACACCAAGCTACCATAATGTGCAATTAACACTCTAGAAACTGAAAACAGTATTCAGCAAGACAGCTGCATTATCAAAAATGCCAAAGGAGTTTTGAAGGGAGTAATGTGCATGTTAGAATAGGAAATTAATCAGAAATGTGCACACCCACATACACACAGTAGTACTGTCTTAAGTATATCTGAATATTAAAATTGTAAAAACCCTATGTCTATATTTATAATAAAGATTAATCTCAGCATAGTAAACTGATTTTTCTGTTTTAAGATTTTTAGTTGTGTGTTTTGCTTCTGAAGCAAATGAGGAGGCTGGAGTAGAGATCTCTAAGATCCCTTCCAGCTGGAATATTCTTTTGATAATGATCACTCTTCAATTATATTTTATAAATTTTCCCATTGAAAAAAATGCCTCTGTTATTTTTCTCTTGTCAGTAATAATGATACTTAACACACACGCATTTTCACAGTGCCTTGCAGACATTGCAGATACAAACTCACATTTGCAGGGGTAAACTCCCTACTTTGCATAGCGCAATAATCACAAGTGCATTTATATTATAATCCCTACTAAGCTGTGGAGCCCACTCACCAACTTAGTAACTGAAATGCAACAGAATTACCCCAGCAGCATTTCACTGGAATTTTCTTGTCAACTAGCTGAAAGTGTTTCTAGAAGTAAGAAAGTAGGGGATTTTGATTTTATTTTCAATTAGTAGTAGCTGGGCTTGAGAGAGCAGAGGTTTGTAATAAAATTTTCAAAAAAAGCAGGAAGATATGGGGAATTTACTTGTTAGAAATATAGAAAGCATCTGAATATTTTCTTTAATAAATCAGTGTAAAGCAAATGGATTTTTTATGATGTCCTCACTTTTGATTTCTGTACGTCACTTCCCTCTTTTGTCTATAAATTTGTTCTGACCACGACGCATCCCTGGAGTCTCTCTGAATCTGCTGTGATTCTGGGGGCTTCTTGATCTGTGAATAGTTCATTGCTCAATTATACTCCATTAAATTTTTTTAAAAAAAGAAAAAATAGGCAGAAGAACAGGTTTAACATAAATTGGAACCCCACGTAAAAAAAAAAAATCATAAACAGATGACACTCAATTCTGGATTCCACAGTTATTATTGCATTAAACCCACTTTTGTTAAGGATTATGAGGACTCCTTGTGTGGTAGGCACCTGCAGGCAAAGCAGGTGAAGCGTGCCTGGAAGAGGACCGACTCTTAGTGAGAAAACAGGAGTGTTCGGGAACTCCAGATAAGAAACAGTCACTGACCTGGTGAGGCACATGCTGGCCAAGGATCTACCTGGGCTTCTTGTCAGTCCTATAGGAATAGTTTCACATGAATATGCAGTAAATGTGAAATCCAGCCATCTTAGGATGCTTAACACTAGTGCAAATGATCATGAAAAAGAATGTCTTATCCAATATGTTGTGCTGATTAAATTGTGATGAAGTTATTGCATTAGAAAATACAAAAAGTTTCCTGTTTGCTTTTTTCCTAGCCTAGAAGATGTAAGAAGTTTAGTTTTCTCTGGGGCGGGGTTGAGGGGAGATAAGGCAGTATGCAGATGCTTAAAAAAATCAATACCTTAATTTTAAGAAAAATGGTGTACTAATTTATTTTAAAGGAACCTGAACATTCATATGTTTTTATTCCAGTGTAGGGAAAGCCATCCAAAAGGAAAATTTTTAAAGTCTGAATGTATTTTTTTGATGTTTCTAGAAGTCGATATTTTAGGTTGAAAATTCAACCTAGGCTATGTTTATGCTTAGACAACTCAGAACTAAAATTAATACTGGGTGGTGGTTCAGATCTCATTGTAATACTAAATAGTCAATGATGCCATTCAAGAGAAACTAAGCTGAAGATATGAATCAGAGCTCCAACTTAATTGTTCTGTTTTCTTTCTTTCTTTTTCTTTTAAGTTATAGGTGCACAGCGAAGGAGAAGCCCCAGTGCACTAGCCATTGAAGTATTTGAAGCACATTTGGGAAGCCACATTTTGCAGGTACCTTTAAAACAAAAAGAAGCTTTCTTATATTTTACTAAGAAAAAACCATATGTTTAGTCTTTTTTTTAAAGAATTTTTTTTAAATGTCAGCTGTATATTTGACTGTTGTGATTTTATCTTGAAATTCCGAAATTCTTATGAGTTTATTTTTTTCTTTTTAGAAAGCCATCCTTTGAGAGAATGTTAATGAGAAAGGGAGGGCAAGTATTATTTGTGCTGAAATAATTTAGATGAATTGCACTATTTAGTTCATGCGCCATGTGTAGTAACTGGCTGTTCCCAGAATGGTTGTGTGCGTGCTGTATTTGTAAGTGGATCTGTGTGTGTCTTTGGAGCTATATATTGTTTTTGGAAGAGCAAAGTTTTGTTGTGAAAGTACTGTGATTTTTTTTTTTTTGTGTCGCCAAATTTCAGTTCTTTGCTTGAGTTCGTATTTGTGAGTGCTTCCAATCTTAATGTTTGCCTCCCCAAATTAGAAAATTTCTCACGGGAAAATATAGTATATTTAAAAATACTAGTAAAAGGAGACAAATAATAATTGATTTTGCCAGTGAACTTCATGAAAAATAAATGTTAAAGGTCACTAGGATGAAACTGTAGTTACCTAGCCCGAGAGAAAATTCATTGCAAACTCGTCATCTCACTTATTCAAAACTTTTTTTTACTAAGACTTTGCCATCGATTCAACACTTCTGCCTTCAACCATAGATAATTGTGCCACACTGGTCCTGCTCCCAGGATAAATGTTGCCATGGCCACTTTTTTTAATCTGTGGAAGATACACCTTTTTACATAGAATTGGAGAAGCAGACAAGTTTGGGATATGTAGGCCGCTTACTGTATTTGGAAAAGGTAGCTATGTTTTTCTGAGATAAACTTTGGAGTAAAATAAAAGTATACTCCAGATCCCTGTTCATTCAGAGTTTATAAACAGGGCCTTTATGGTGCTTTCCTTTTCTAGGTTGTCAAAAGTAATACTACATTTAGCATATTATCTTTTAAGTATGTGCATTAGGAAACTATTATGTGATTCTGCGTTAAAAAAAAAAAAAAGAAGAAAAAATAGCTCATAGTCAAATCCTGGTGGTTCTCCAAAGCAGTGTCTTTACTGGCAGTTTCAGAATCACCCAACACTTGCTCATAGGATGCATTCTTGGGCCTCAACCTAGACCTACTAAATCAGAGTTTATAGGGTAAAGTCCAGGAATTTGTGGTTTTTAACAGTCTCCTGAGATAATTTGGATGTTCCATCAGGTCTGAGATAGCACCTTTCACATTTGCAAGTTTAAAGCCCTGAGAAGTCTTACTTTACATTTTTGTTTATTCTTATTTCTTGTTTATCCATTAATATCTGTTAATATCTCATAGAACTGATGTTTCTTGAAATACACCTTGGGAGTTGCTATTCTATTGTATACATAAAATTTTGAATTACCTTTGTTACAACCTAGGATTAGTTTCGAGGACACAGAAAGGATCATATTTCTTTCTAGATCTTCAAATTGTTACTTCCTTTTCTCTTACACACATGTTGTTTGGAATCTTCATTATAGGTTTTGTATGGACCGTGACATATAAATTGTTAGACTCTGATGTGACTGAGGACTATTTCTGTTTCTATTCTGAAGCACTCAGAAATTGTTACCTAAGACTTAGTCAATGAAAAATTATTCAGAGACTAGTCCTAGATTATTATCTTCTTAATTCTTTCTGGAAATCATGACTCCAAAGGCCTATGAGTAAGGTGTCTCAGTAATTGCAGTAATTTAAAACTAACACAAACTTAGGAGTTTGAATCAAACATAAATTCAGTATAAATATATAATGTAAAATGGCTCTCCCAAATGCTAAATCAACATTATACTTCATTGAGAGAACACAGGATCTAGAATGGGGCTGCAAGCTCGTTCCCATTTTGGATGGGTCACATTCAGACACCACACTATGGTTGCATCAGCTGTCACACCGACCTAGACAGCTGGATGCCATTTGGAGTAGAATAACCAGACTGGTGAGTAAACTAGAAATCATATTACGTGAAGAGTGGCAAAAGGCCTGAGAAAGTTTAGTTTGGAAAACATGACTTAAAAGGGGCATCAATGCCCTCTCTATTTATTTGAAGGCCTCATTTCCAAAAAAAAAAAAAAAAAAAAAAAGGATTAAACATATTCTGTGTCGCTTCAGAATATGAGAAAAAAGATAAATGGATGAAAATTTAGAATGTTTACATTATGTCCATACAAGAAAACTCCTAAATAGGGCTGGTCACACTTGGAATAAGTTTGAAGCTGTAGACTTTCAGGAGAAATATAGATGGCTTGGTAAAGATGCTTTCAAGAAAGGCATCTAAGCATGATTGCACTATGTAATCTTATAATTGCCACAGAAACTAGAACTTTTGGTATAATTTGATTTTAGCACTAATGGTTATGGAGTGGAAGAACTACTACATAGTATTCTAAATTAACTACTAGAATTACAGGCAAGAAGGAATTGGGAAGTAGTAGTAACAAGAAGAGCCTCCCTTAAGCTATCTTATTAGTTGTTTTGCCTAACTAGCAGGGAAACTTTTGAGCCCATAAGCCTATGTCTGTACCATGTTCAACAATATCGCAATGTTCAGTAAGGATGAGATGGCTTCTACGTTTTGTTTCAGAAGGGTCCATGGGAGAATCTGGTTGGTCCATAAAGACTGGAATGAATTCTGTCTTCCCTTTCCTCCTTCCTACTCTTTCTTCATTTGCAAATAGTTGATAAAAACCTGTGTGGTCAGCAAAGTAGTATAGGCATGATCTCCAACCTGACAGTTTATAGTCATTTAACACTCCCCTTCATCCCCCACAAGTTTCAAATACTTTATAAGAACACAGAAGCCACTGTATATGACTGCTATCTTTAAATAGCTTACAGTCATTCAGGGAAAGAGGAACTAGGAGGTTGCATGAAGTGAGAAATATCACACAGGTCAAGTACTATGGGGCCACAAAAGAACAAGGCTCTGAATTTGCCATAAAGCACCAAAGAAGACTTTTCAAAGTTGTTGATGGATGAATAGAAGTTTATTAGGCAAAGAAAAGGGAAGAATATTCCAACCAAAGGGTACATCAGACACAAAAGCATGTAAACAAGTAGTGGTAAATCTTACTTGGGGACTGTTTAGATGTTTGATATGATGGCTGCTTCACATATGCAGTGGGACATATAAGAGATGAAGGAAGAGAGATTATAGGAGCCATATTACCAGGAGGTGTGGACTTGATTCTCCATGAAGAGTCCATGGAGAGGGCTTTTATGCAGCAGTGACAAGAGAACAGTTTGGTTTATTTCTGGAGTTATCATCAAAATACAACGTCCAGGAAGTCTGTGAGTTGTAAGATACTGATATAAAGAGACCATTTAGGAAATTGTTACCAGAGTTCAAGAAAATGAAGATCTTTTGCAAGATAGAGGTGTGTGAATGAAGAGGCAGCTATGGAATTGAGATAGAATCATTAGCATGTGGCCCATAATTAGAGGTGAAAGGCTAGAGAATGACAGGATTTAATCATCACCACAAGTTTTCTAGTTTGGCTGCTAGCTGTCTGATTCTACTACCTGAGAGAAGTCGAGAGGGATGGTCTATTAAATAGCCAAGTTGATATGAGGTAGGCACTTGGAAACCTAAGTCCTGTTTCTGCAGAGCAATTCTCAGGCTAGGTCTGGAATTACTGATCACTGGTGTATAGATGAATGATAGTTCAAATTAAGAATGGGTTACAGCCCTATGGAAATGATGTGGAGCAAAGAGAGGGTTAAGGAGAGCCCACTGTGGGGTATGTCATCATTTAAGAGGCCAGTAAACATGAGAAAGGAATGGACAGAAAGAAAAAGCAAGCCACAGGATTTGATTTTGGTGGAGGAAGGAATAGTAATAATGTCAAGGTAGCTAAGGATAAATCCTTTAGTAGGGCAAATCCTGAAGAGATGTCATAGGTTTTGTGGATTGAAACAGTCGCTGTGCGGAGTAAGTGTAGAATACAGACCTAAAGAGTGATAGGAGGTAAAGGAGAAGAATCTGAGTGTTCATGGTAAAGAAAGGGTGGGAAATGAGAAGTTATCATCAAGAGAAATTTGTGTTTTTCATGTAGTGAGAGTATGTTTATATGTCTGAGATTTATGGGATCAAGCATTTTGTGCATATTGGAAAAGAGATGAAAACCTAACTCTTGGCCAATTATATGCTCTTCAGCAATCTCCTTTAAAAATCAGTATCTCATGGTCATGTCTGTGCTGAGAAAGGATTGGTTTTCATTATTATTAATGGCTAAATGCCATTCTATACTATGGATGTATCATAATTTATGTAACCATTTTCCTGCTATTGAGTATTTTGATTACATCTAAAAATGTTCATATCTAATGCATATATCAACGTGTCTATGTGTGTGTGTAAACGCAAAGAGAAGATAAAATATTGAAAAGCATATTTTCTAAAAAGAAAAGCCTAGTCTGGATGGATTTCAGCTTAAATATGATGAATTTTTACTGTGTACTAAGTTTCAGATACTGTGCTAAGTTCTCTTCTTATATCATCATCGAGTACCCACAATATAGACCTATGAGATAGGTGCTATGATTACGTGCATCTTAAAATTGAGTCAACTAAGATTTTAAAAACTTAAGTAACTCAAGTTCACATGTCTGTTTAGGTAACAAAGTTGAATTTGAACCCAGGATGGTAACACTAGGGTCATAGCACTGCAAAAAAATGATAAGGGCAATTTTAAAAGACAATGGTAATAAGAGGAAAGAATTAAAACACTTACAGTTGGAGTAAACAGGCTTCAGTAACTAATTGAATTTGGAAACTAAAGTAGAGGTCAGTTCCAAATACCAGTGTGGAGTTCAGAAAATGCCTGTGACTTCACTGCATCAGGTACCAAAGCTTCCCTGCTACCTGTGCCCCAGTGACGTTTCACTGAAGTGCATACTACGTGTCCCTTTGTGTGGAGGATTTGAGAGTAAGGGGTAAGATAGACTCCTTAATTTTTGGTGTGCCCGTTCTCTGAATGTATATGTAATGTGTCTCTGCTGTGCATATCTAATTAGCCGTATATTCTCGTAGGGAAAAGAAAGTTTGGTGGGATCCCTTAAAATTTGATTACTTTTCCACTGAGAGGGAGAAAATAATAAACTTAATGGTGATTTTATCAATGTAAAATCATGTATTACAAAGCCAATTTTCAATACCCGTGTTTGTAGGCAGGGCCAAGGCCCAGGCTGTGTATTGCGAACTCTGGGGCCGCCATTCACAAAGCAGTCTCACCACTGACTGTGACCAATATTATAGTCTCAGTAAACCTATAACTATTTCAGGCATGAATCGCAGGACAGCAGCATCTTCTCCAGGAGAGTTGAGGGTTCAAGGGATGTCAGTCTTGCAATGGCAGGGCTGTGAATCCCAGCCCTAGTGGGCCTGAATCAAGGCATTATAGTTCACTAAATTCTTCTCTGATTTTTATAAATTAGATGAAGAATGGGAAGTCAAGGGGTAAAGGTTGGGATTTGTGCATTTTGTGGCAGGCTCAGTAAAAATCCGAGAACTTGAGGAGATCATTATGTGGGATCCTTCCTGGAAAGTAGATGTGATTAAGCACAAATGTGGTTGCTGCTTTCAACGTTCTCTTAGGGCATTATATTGTTCCCACTTCATGACTTCTTTAATATGAAAAAGTACGCATGTTATTTATTGTTACTTTTCCAATATAAGGACCAGATAGGATATTTGTATTTTACCTTATTGAAGTTAACAAAACACAAAATGGTAGCAAATACTGTCTTCATAAGTCATAAAATTAACTACTGGAATGACTTTCCCTTAGGTGCCAGATTTCTGAATGGAATGTTTTAATGCTTTAATTATTTGTTTACCCTCAGCAGAAAGGTTTAAGTTTCTTTCATTTTCTAAATAATGCTTACATAATTGTTATATAAAGTTGCAATATTGTTTTTGCAAACTCCATAGTAATAATGCTGCTTTACTCACCTCACAGGTGTTAAACAAGTTAAACCTAGTACATGGAAATTGTTAAGGTTTATGTTTGTATTCATTGTCAGCATATTATATTGAACTATATGTGTGTGTGTGTGTGTGTGTGTGTGTGTGTGTGTTACTAACTTTGTAAAATACATGCCATTACTAAGAACTATCATGTACTTATAATTGAAAGATAGTCTTTATTCATCACTCATTTTGGATCATAAAAGTAAGTTTTGTGAGTTGGATAAGTATAATAAGTACCAACATGTTTGTACATAACTAATAGAGAAATTCATTTATTATTTAAACTAAGTATTGAGAGAATAAAAAGAATGTTCTGTAAGAAATGCTGTAAATTAAAGTAATGGTGGAAATATTGTATCCATGTGTCAATTTTTGCTTGGCCATATTAGGTAAACCCTCTTGTATCTATGTCATTGACCCCACATTATTTCTGGCCACAAATGAATTTTTATATTGCTTTTAGAACATTCAAACCCAAACCTGAAAGAGAATTCCATGAGCATACTCTCTGAGGGGACTGAGTAAGAGCCTCCAAGAACATTCTAAGATTATGACCCCTGAGGTTCTCTGACTGGGAGTGGATCAGAAAAGGCTAGGTACGATGGTTGTATGATTGCCTGGTCTTCCTCAACATAAGTGGGGGAATGATTGTTTTTGCAAGGATCATTTATTAGTAAAATAACCCTCTTGTTCAGGACACAAATGTGTCCTGTGCTAATAACCTTAGCAGAACAGTTTTGTTAAGGTATGTATTTTCTAAAAATGATAGAGAAGAAGGGAGCCCAAATGTAGTGATTTTCTGTTTGTTAGTCAAAGTAATCAAAGATTTGTGTGGCTAAGATGGATAATGTTGTCAACCTCAGTGAGCTGTCAGATTTTGTTCATGTGGTTTTTCATTTCCTCAACACCTTTAACCATGGAATACAGGGTAGAATTATGCCTCAAATAAAAGAAGAACCTGTGTTTTACAGAGGCTGTTAAGGATCAGATTTAGAAGAAAGTCAGGTCAAGATTTGCTTTTAAATTTCTACGTTTCTTCTGTTAATCACACTTTGAAGATTGGTAAAGGGCATATCCTAGAATCATGATTAGTTGGTCCATATAGTCTTTTGGTCCTGCAGAGTTGTTTTTAGACAAATGAGAACATATAGGTTCTCTATCTACCAGAAGTTTTTTTTAAAAAAAAATCAGGTTGATGTAATAAAGAAAACAAAACAAATAGTATCTTATTTATGTATTTGTTACTGTTTCAGTATTGCTAGCTACAGCATCTCTGGTCTCTGAGACCCAGCCAATTGTAGAAGACCGAGTAGAAGATTCTGCTGGGGAAAATATGCTGGATTTATAGGCAAAAGGAGCTCTTTATAACAATGTTGGGGTGTGTCGGGGCGGGGGGGGGAGTAGAGAATGCCAAATCTGCTGATAGACACCTTCTTTAATCTCATATGCCAGAAGAAAATGAAAGATTGACTAGTACAATTCCAACATCTGGGCAAAGTAAAGTGAAAATACCTAAAACAGCTCAAAAGCTAACACAAAGATACAAATTATCATTTATTAAGATGCTGCCTAGCCAAGTCAACATGCCTTTTACATTTGATGGTAGTGTTTTCAAAAGACCTCTGTGAAACAGTGATATCTTCAAGTCTATTTTCTACTTTATTGTTGAGTTAAAATTTCACCTTTATTTTATTGAAATGTGTAGATATACATAAAATGATCATCTCTAGGAAGTTGCATCTTCTTATTCCTGATGGCTCTTTTTGCTAAAGTGGTATCCTGCTGGACATCAGTGCTAACGTAAAATAAGGTGATTTCAAATAATAGGAGCATTTTGAATTAATTCCTTTAGCTGTGAGAGAGGAAGGGGAGAAAGTTGAGTGACCCTGTAGTGTCTCTATGATCCAGAATGGTAAGAAAATGTAAAACTAAATATAGAAAGAGAGAAAGTTAGTGAATATATTTGCATATGCAAATTAGCTTAATTGATACTGCTTGCCTCTACAGGGATTTTTCATTACAAACTGGAGTGCTACATTGTTCAGCTCATATTGAGTAATTTAGTAACTAATGAGACCAGTTTGCACTAATTTGCATATGATAAATGAGCTTAATTGCAGTAAATAACTTGGAGGCATAATTACTTAATTTTCCTGTGTTGCACGGCTTTTAAGTTCACGTATGAACAACTCAAGATAATTTTGCATATTTAAATTAGTTGCTTTTAAATTTTCTTGAACAAAAAAGAGGAACACACCTTATCAATTGAGCTATAAAACAATCAAAAGTAGGGATTGCAGTATTTTTATTTAAAAAGAAAGAATGAAAAAGAAAAGTAGAAATTTTAAGTCTGTTGTTCACCTCTCCTATGTCCTCACCTCAAATAAGATATCAGCATTGGCATTTAGGAAAATGTTTTTAAAGTTGAACATTAACTCACAATTTCTATTAGTAGATTGCCTAGGTTTAAACTAAAATATGTATATGAATGAATCGTAAGTTTGGGAATAGGGTTTATAAAAGAGATGTGACATGTCCATTATGTAATTTAGCAAACTAACATCAGAGTAGTCAATTGGGTCTACTGGCAATGTGCATTTCACCTAAGTTGCTGGGCTTTAATGACGTAAGCATCACTCTGACCCTGGCATTTATTTTCTGTTGAGATTAATGTTTCATACTTACGGAATTGGTTTCACTGGAGAATCTTATTGTGGTTTGCCAAGAATTATCTCACTGGTCTTCAAATTATCTCAAGAATGCATGTTTTACCAAAATCTCCATTCTCAAAACAGACACACAGGATCAAACAGAGGTTGATTGTAAACCGTTATTTCCCTATATTGTACTGCCTTTGGATGTTAATCCTAAGGGGAAAAGTATAATTTCTTATTCAAAATTAACTTATTAGGCCATATAAAAATCATATTCATGATTTTGAGGAAATATTATATAGTTGTAAAAAAAAGTTTAACATCTTTTATTTAAACAATTAATGCTGCTTTAACTCATTATATATAAAAACTGATGGGCACATTAGGGCTATTACTTTGTCACAATCTGAAAAAATAGCTCATCAAACTTTTCTCTGAAAAGCTCAAATTCTACTAAATTCAGTATATGCTTTTTTTTCCCAGAGGTGAGCCAGAACAAGTACTAATGCCAGTATATTCAGAGTGTAAAATTTGAGTCCTTCGTTCAATAGGTTGTCAGGAAATACCTGGTAAATAAAAAAATGAACAAAGAAATCTTACCTGGCAAGGTCACAGTTAACCTCAGAGCCAGGGCCTTGTCTCAGCTCCGTGTTAGAAGCTTAGTTTGTATCCACATCTCCAGACATGGGAGAGTATATGACAGATTCATTATGTGCGTGGATTTGGGCATCCAGCCAACATGAGTTTATATCCCCAGTTGTTCATTTATTAACTGTGTGCACCTACAATGGTCTCTTGCCCTCTCTAAGCCTTAGTTTTTTCATCTTTAAAATGGAGAAAATAGTAGTGAAAGTTTTCCTGGCTGGCAGATTGTGAGGACTGAACAAAATAGTTTAGTTGAAAGTGCTTGATACAGAACTTGACATGTAGAACACATTTGAGAAACATCTGCTAGTATTTCTGTTCATGTGTTAGGTAGTCCAGAATAATGTGCGAGTTTTTAAGAAAAATCCTGATGCTTATCAGAAACTTTATTACTTCAGGAATATAAGAACATTATCAATAAAATTCTCTCAGGTTCAAAACAAGATAAATATTCTTTATTGAACATGACATAAATTGCTTACATTGATGTATCCATTTGACAGTTCAGGTTTAGTTCAGAGTAAAAAATTTTATATTTGGTGATAACAATGTATTTTTACCTTGAGAATGAAAATTCTTCTCTTAAAAACCAAAGAAGTTGTCATAATACTCTCATTGGCAACTTAGAAGAAACTGAAAAAGAGAGAGTTTATAAAGGGACTCCAGAATCAAAGTCTCCTTTGGACTAAAGTGTGACATGCCATTACTCTCCTTATCTTATTACGTGACCTCCTCAACTTGCTCAGAAAAAAAATGAGGATAAACACCCAATCAGAAATCCAGAAGAGCTAGAAGGTAGAACCAGCCATCGACCATTGCTATAAATTATGCTGGTGAAACGGTTTAATGCACATATGCTTCTCCTTGTGCACATTGCACGAAATCCATCATCTGCCAGGCCAAAAAGTTCACCCTTCCATGTCAGGGTCAGAAGGGAGAACTTCTCAGAAGGATGTTCATAATGATGTCTCTATATGGCAGATACGTATCCACGGGGATTTTTGTTTACCTTGCTAACTTTGATTTGCAGAATAAACATATGTCATCATTCACTGAGAAAGAGTGAGAGAAGTGTGAGTGAGGGGAAGGAAGCAGTTTGAGGTAACATTTTGGAGGAAAGCCATGGTATTTGGCCACTTGACTGAAACTAGTGCAATAGTAAATGGGGACTTTCTAGTTGCAAAATGAATTACCTCAAGTGGCCAGGTTCTAGAAAAGTGAAACAGTAATCTGAAAGTACTAAGCTTCAGTTCAGTAAATATTTACTCCATGCCTAATTTGCATCAGGGACTGCAGAAAATACTGAGATATGGATAATGAGTGATGATTTTGCCTCTCAGCATTCCCACTATGAGTAGAGAAGAGCAATAAGAAAACAGACCAACATAGTTCAATGTAACATAGGCTAGTGGCTTTTGGATCACTTATTCCTGGATTTGAATATCTGCACTTGGTTATATGGACTTGGCAATTTATTTGAACTGTCTGAGCCTCAGTTTTCTCAACCCCAAATGGAGATAGTAGCAAGTCTTACCTCAAACAGTGTTAGAATTAGATGAGATACTACACAAAGGTGCCTAGTTTAGATGAGACACTGTACACAGTATTAGCTGAGATACAACACAGACAGCTCAGTGAGCACTCAAGAAAAGTTGGCTGTCACAGAGGCTGAACCCTAGAAGCAACAGGAGGGAATCAGATCACCCAGCCTGGAGCAAGTCACTTCCTGTGATCACACACACACAGTTCACCTCCTTCACTCATCACACCCACACACATATTCCCTTTTTAAGTTTGGTGTTCCCTGAGGTCAGGAGTTCAAGACCAGCCTGACCAACATGGCGAAACCCTATCTCTGCTAAAAATACAAAAATTAGCTGGGTATGGTGGCACGTGCTTGTAATCCCAGCCACTCGGGAGGCTGAGGTAGGAGAATCGCTTGAACCCCGGAGGTAGAGACTGCAGTGAGCCAGGAGCGT
Organism: Homo sapiens; assembly: GCF_000001405.40. Classification (NCBI taxonomy): domain Eukaryota; kingdom Metazoa; phylum Chordata; class Mammalia; order Primates; family Hominidae; genus Homo; species Homo sapiens. Next base: position 33,378,593 of record NC_000014.9, read on the forward strand.
GCCAGTGCACTCCAGTCCGGGAGACAGAGCAAGACTCCACCTCAAAAAAAATAAATAAAATAAAAAATAAATTTGGTGTTTATGTGGAAGTCCCCTGAGGGTCTTCACTTCTCAATGACTCACGCCTTCTCTTAGCATAGTCAGAAATGGGGGAGGAGAAAAACCCAGTGATTTCATTATGATCAGGCAGAATTTGTTTGGGGCATGCTGACATAAAGATTGTTTGCAAGGTATGGGAACATATCTGTGATTCTTTCTCAGGCGCTAAGAATGGCCAAATTATTTGGAGATTAATGTGGAACAGAAAGACAGTTATACTACATGTTGAGCACCTCTAATCTGAAAATCCAAAATCCGAAATGCTTCAAAGATGAAACTTTTTGAGCACTGACATGACCGCGAGTGGAAAATTCCACACGTGACCTCATGTAATGGGACACAGTCAAAATAAAGTCAAAACTTTTTGTGCACACAATTATTAAAAACTGTGTAAGATTATCCTCAGGTTGTAAGTATAAGGTATATGTGAAATATAAATGAATTTTATGTTTAGACTTGGGTCTCATCTCCAAAATATATAATTATGTATATGCAAATACTCCTCTCACTTCTGGTCCCAAGCTTTTTTTTTTTCTTCAAGTTGCTATTTTACCAAGTTTTTTGGTAAAACTTCAAAACACTTCTGGTTCCAAGCTTTTTTCCTGAGTTGCTATTTTACCAAGCTTTATGGATAAGGGATATTCAACCTGTATCAATTTTCAAAGTTGACAGACAATCATAAGGTTACATGTCAAATAGTAATAGTAAAAACTTTCTTATTGTGTAGGTTTTTATACCTCTCTGGTAATGTGTGTAAATATCTGCAAATCTTTGCCAGATTACTGTGTTCTTCTTGGCTTTAGAGTAGCCCTTGGTGGTAGCAGACATCACATTTTTGTTACCGGCATCAGCTAGGAATGACGTGGAATAGGGTGACACCAGCTGACTATCATTTATCTTGGACCCAAAACTCAGTCAGTATGGCCAGTGTTCCTCTCCCATCTCAGTCTCTAGAACTTTGCAAGCCTTTTAGACTCATTTTAGGCTTGAGGAAAGATTGTGAATGGGTGGGTGGGTGATAATGTGCATCGTTTCTCAAACTAAGTTGATTGCAGACACCAATGAGATGAGCATCCTGGACTAGTAGTAGTCTGTGGAACACACGTGAGGAAAGTGGCTTAGAAGAATCAAATCAAAATTATTTTGAGAAAAGATCTCTAAATACAATAAGAGCCAAATTGAACACATAATTCAACAATTATATTATAATGTCACATCTGTATTCTACTTCACTAGCTTTTTAAAGACAAAGATTATTACAGAAGAATCTTAAGTAGTTATCCCTCGTGTGTGTGTGTGTGTGTGTGTGTGTGTGTGTGTAAATACCTCTTTAAGCTGCACAAAGTGGGGGGGAAAAAGAAAATGTTGAAAATAAAAAAAATACAGATAAGCAAAGAGAAGAAAATAAAAATTAGGTATCTGACTTTTTGTAGATCAACCAAAATAAAATTCTGACTCTTGTCTCTTGAAAACAGTTGTGGAAGGAACAGCTGATTTTAAGAGGTAACTTCCAGTGTACTTCATGGCTGATACATGTTTATGAATGGTTTTCTTCTTCTGAGCCTGGCCTGGGTAATACTATATTCATTAAAGAACACAGAAAACCAAGACCTGTGGGCACCAAGCAACAAGAAAGGCACTGTAGGGATCCTGCTTGGGGGAGGAGGGGTGCAGGGTATAGGACTCGCTACTATCTTCTGTCATTTCTGAACTGTAGCCATGCACCTGTGGGCAGACCCAGGAGCTGGGTCAGATGCCCTAGTCACCTAGTCTCCAGCTGTTTTTTAATAGCTGTTTTTTAATTCCTTGTGAATATCACTTCTCAGACATTTGCCAGTTTGGGATCTGATGATTTATGATTGCAAGGTAAGTAATCCACGGGACAGTGTTATTTTGTGACAGTGCAGTAGAACCGTGTCTAAGAAAAGAAAATGTCATGCCATTTTGCTTTATGTTTATTGTGTATTTGGGAAAAATAAACATTTGGGAGAATTAGTGAAATTATTATAAAATTTGTTGTTCTGGATGAATAAAATGTGTAACTAATGATTGGACTGCCCTCACAGAGGAGCCTCGTTGAATTCCCATGAGGCTGGGTAACTGCTACAGGAATTGTCAGGTCGGAGCAGCTCTTTCCCTCAATTCTAAAGATATAAAAAATGCAGGTGACCCTTTAGGCCACCACAAAAATGCCCTCTGAAGTAATCTACTCTTTTACTTCATTTTAGGTTGATACAATGTTTTAGTAAATTTCATCTGGTATAGAGATTAGACCAAGGGTAGAATTGACCTAAAGAAACAGAAAATTCTTTTTTTTTTTTTGTAAGTGGGAAGTCTGCAAGTTCTACATAAATACAAAGGCAAATGATAATATCAATGACTATTTTAATTGCATCTTTAATCCATAAGGATAGTTCAATGACATTTTAAATTATACTTTTAGAATTGTAGTCACATAGGAGATAAAACTCAGTAACTATTTAATAATGCATAGTAAGATCAACTGTATCCTCTCTTGAGATCACATTTAGGTGGACTGAATGTAAAAGCCCAATCCAGCATTTAGACAGCATTTAATCTTCCGGAAGATATTGTTACGTCTTTCTAAATATAAAGTACCCAGGCCTGGTACTTTCAGTTGGTACCTATTATCTCTGCTCAATGATTAGTTTCACTGGATTCACAGCTAAGCTGTATTATTTTTTAACTAGGAATTGGATTGCTGTGGATCAAACTATTTTCAATATTGGAAGGTTACTAATCAGTTTGGGGAATTTATATGACTGATTGGTAACTAATTGCTATCATTTAACCTGGCTTTACCTGGAGACTACATATAGTTAGGTTGTTTTTGGTGGGGGAAAAAGTAGTAAAGGGATTTGCTTAAGGTCCCATGGCTATTAGTAACTAGCTAGCACAGCTGGGATTCGAACCCTGAGGTGGAAGTGAGAGAGTGACAGAGAAAAGAATTATAAGGGAAATATTAGGTATTAAATTATTTTACAATGGAAGTTTTTCAAGTGACATACTTTAAGCTGTGGTTTCAATGGAAACAAGAGGACATGCGCTTTTGTTTAATAAAGAAATATTTGCCCTGAGCAGAAGACAACATTTTAAAGCTTGTCATTTCATTCCTGGGAAAGTATTTGAGGAAAATGACATGGCTCAGCCCTGTTTGCTGACCATTTTGTTGTCTCCTGCTGAGACTTGCCATTTCCATAGCCGGTGGGCTGTATTGAATCAGACAGAAGCAATAGGTCATTAACAGACATGGAGACTTGGGGCAGCCTGCAGAGACTGAAAGAGGGGAAAATCATTTGGGGCCACATCAACAAAACTGCATTTAATAGAATCTCATGCAGCTATGTTTGGGAGGGGGGCAGTTAGCCTGATTTTCAGAGAAACTTAAGAAGCTTTAGAAAGCACAAAGTCATTTTCCCCCCAAAGAATGTCATGCCTAACATGAAAACAGAGGTCGGGGAGGGTACTCACTTCTACATGCTGCATTTTCTCCTGCTGAAAAATAACTGCTTACAATTCATTGCATTGAAAAAAAAAATCCAGGTTTTATTTTCTTACTGACACCTCCCGTTAACCTTGAGACCTTTAACTCACAACATTAATCCAAAAAGAGATTATATTATTTCAATCGATACCTAAATTATTAGATTGGGTTTCCATGATCTTTGGAGATCCTTCTGGATTATTGTAATTGATAGGTAGGGCTGGGGGGACAAGTTTTTTTCACTGAGATTGCTACACATTATTTTGGCATTTATGAGATTATTCATTTTAGAAAGTATATATAACCAGCCTCCTCTGAAATGCAGACCAGTTTAGCTAGGGCGGGAAAAATACAGACCCTGTTTATTGGCAGTAAACAAGCATTTATAGCTTGTTATATATAAGGCTCATCAAATGCAGCTTTGGGGAATATGTAGATATTGTTCCTTCCCTCAAGAACTGTATTAATGAAATGTTGTATCCTTACCTGGGATAAAAGGTGCAGGTGTAGAGACAGGACCTAAAATTCCAATAATTGCATTTACAATTAAGTAAAATTTAGCAAACAGAATATCATTTTCACATTATCCTGTCACTTATATTTTTAAAAATTCCAGCTAGGCATGGTGGATCACACCTGTAATCTCAGAACTTTGGGAGACAGGTGGGAAGATTGCTTCAGCCCAGTAGTTTCAAATCAGCCTGGGCAACCTGGCAATACCTCATCTCTACAAAAATAAAATGAGCCAGGTATGATAGTGTGTGCCTGTAGTACTAGCTACTTTGGAGGCTGAGGCAGGAAAATTGCTGGAGCTGAGGAGGTTGAGGCTGTAGTGAGCCGTGTTTGTGCCACTGTACTCCAGCCTGTGTGACAGAGCAAAAGACCCTGTCTTAAAAAAAAAAAAAAAAAAAAAAAAATCACCTTTTAGATATACATGCATGCACCCATGTGTGCTTTTTTGTGAAAAAATTTCAAAATGGTTTCATGTATGTCTTAGTTTTCCTGTTAGATTGTAAGCAACTTGAAGATGGCTGTCATGTCTTGTTCATCTTCGTGTCTTCCACAGTTTGGTGGTCTTAGTAGGTGCTCAGTGCCTTTGTAGAATTGACTTAAATTTGTGCAGATAATGCATATAACTTCCAACTGATTGATGGTTAATTGTCCCTTTTGTTTTGGGCAGCATTATTAAAAAGTCAGTGATAGTAACTGATTTCAGGGTGCATTCTTATCACTTGAAGAAGACATTTACATGCTGGGCTCCTAGTAGGGTTAATGCATTATGCACCTAAGTCCCCATGCACCAATTCGAGAATGTCCTTCTCAGCCAAGGGGTCATTAAAGAAAACACAGTCACATTATAATGTCATTTGCCCCTTAATTTTCTGATTACTTACATTTGGTTTGGTCCTAATTATGAATACCTTTAATTGCTTTATCACAGTGATGATTAACTGTGCCCAAGTCAAACCCCTTTGAAAGAGAGGACAATTCCTTTTAAAGGCTTTGCATGAATGCACCTAGGAGGAATATTAAACAAAAGAATAGAGATTTTCCAGCTTCCGGAAGTCTGGTCAGCCTTCTAACATTTCTAGTGAATGTCTTCCGAAAAAAATCCCAGGAGTAGTTTTCATCTTTGTGTTTTCCAGAACTGGAAAACCTCAGTCCTCTAAAATCTCGAGCATGTTATAATCTGCCGCTATATTTGCATGAATTATTCTGCCAGGAGACACTATTAGAAATAATAATATACATGCCAGCTGTTCTCTAGAGTATAAAAAATATAAAAATAAAAAACTTTGAAATCCGCATGATATTCCTGAAGGAGTACATGGCTGTGTTTGGCTTTGTTGTTTTCCATTTATGTGTTTAAAGTAGCAATGATTGAAATTTGTCATGTTTTATAAATTAAAAAGTTTAAAACACCAATTAGAAATGATGTCTTGCTGAAGTTAAAAAGAAGCAATCAGCTTCATTTTAAGCAATATTTAATAGCTAATAAAGGAGGGTCCGTTTTATTTTAAAATGAAGGCAACAACCTTAGGATATAAAAGAAATAAAACCCTGAGATTTTGTATTTAAATTCTGTATTTTAATTCAGTTTCTATAAAATGGACGGATTTTGAGATTTTAGTTTATTTTAAGATTAAATCATTTTAAAGTATTCACACAGTATTATTTTAATGTTTCTGTGTGTGTGTGTGTTTTTAATGTTTCTGTGTTTTTTTAAAAAAAAAAAACAAATACCATTGAAGGCCAGGTGCAGTGGCTCACACCTGTAATCCTAGCAGTTTGGGAAGCCGAGGTGGGTGGATCACCTGAAGTCAGGAGTTCAAGATCAGCCTGGCCAACATGGTGAAACCCCATCTCTACTAAAAGTACAAAATTAGCTGGGCATGGTGGCACATGCCTGTAATCCCAACTACTTGGGAGCCTGAGGCAGGAGAATCACTTGAACCCGGGGAGGTGGAGGTTGCAGTGGGCCGAGATCGCTCTATCCCACTCCAGCCTGGGCAACAAGAGCAGAACTCCGTCTCAAAAACCAAACAAATTTTAAAATCCCATTTTACTATTTTTATTTAAATCTTTTATCTATTTTATGTTCTCAGAAATATCAGTTTATGTATCACAGTGACATCTACCACCCAGGAATCTAGTTGATGAAGTTTGTATCAGTCAAACAAACTTCATTTTCTCCCAGTTCTTTACCAGGGAAGCCCGGGCCACACGTTGGGGATTGAGATGGAGAAGGCTGCTCATCTCTTGGTAAGGGTAGGTTGGTCTTGGGAGGTAGAAGGTTTTCGCTTTAGGAAAGCTGGCGCAGGTGAGCAGGAGGACACGTCATTGTGAATTTATTACCAAGCTATCCTTTTCCCTTGAGCAAGGCTTTAGCATTTTTAATCTATGATGGTTCACATTTGCCAAGTGTCTCTTTTTCTTGTTTCATTTTGCGGCTCCCAGTTGGAAGGAAAAGTTCATCCCATGGCTTATTTGAAAAGGAGCAAGTGAAGAGAGGTGATGTGTAGATGACCACCCTTCTTTGCCTTTTTGGGGGGTAGGTGCCTTTGTTCACACAGCTGTTCTCGTGCTGTGGAGAAACTGCCACAGAATCAGAAAAACAGACACAAATTATCTGCCACGATGCATTTTCTTTTCATGCTAATTTTCCCTGTTGGAAACTTAGTGTATATAAATGCAAGGTTGCTCATAGCTGTTTTAGACCCTGCACCCTATGTTTCTATTCAATGGAGTTAAAACAAACAAAACTTTAATAATTAAGAATTAGAGAAACAGCACCAGTAGTTTTTGTTTCCCTTGGTAGACTTCAGTATCTAAAACTGACAAAACAGGTAAGTTCCTGGAGTGCTGCAATGTAAGGTAATTATGTATCTCACTCTTTTCAAACACACTGAAGTCTAGGCAGTGCCAGTGAGCACATCAGGGTGGCACCAGACTGATCCCCAGCAGAGAAACAATCAGGTCTAGCAGAACATTCAGCTGTAGGGCCAGGAAAGAAAAGCTGACATCCAGATGCCAGTGCTTTGGAAATCTTCTCTGGAGTTGCACATATGGGTCCTGCATCTGCTCGGGTTATGTCACTAGTCAGCGTCCAAATTGACACAGCTACCATGGCATGAAGAGACAGAGGCACAGCTAGATGTCTGGGTCTTTCTGCTAAGACAGCTGTCAAAATCACTGACGCTGGCCTTATGAAAGCTAATTTTCAGAAGCCCAATCCGGGTACTATGAGTGAAAGGTTTTGAGTATACACATTGACTTATTTGTGAAAGTTGATTGTAGGAAGGAAGTTGTAGTGATGAGGAATGTATACGTACAGATAAGTGTGTGTGCACTTGAACACATCTGTAATTGAGAATTTTTTTTTTTTTTGACCAATGTAGTAGTGCTCAGGGAAAGTTAGGACCAAATAATTTTAGATGGTGATTTACATCAGTGCAGTATACTCTTGATATATTTATTCTATCATGGAGATTTGGCTAACAAATTTAATAGGGACAATAAACTGTTTTCTACCCTTTTACATGAAAAAAGGGACAGAGACACAAGTCTATGAACTATGAGTATTTGCCTTTCAGTAAGTACTTTTTTATCTCATCAAAATGGCCCCAATGTCAAGGAGAATGATTCAGCACAAACAATTCACCATTTCATCTCTTTCATTCCACAGAATCCTTCTTAAAGAGAGTGAGTAGATTTATCTCTTGTTATTATCTCCAGCAAGTATCTGAAACAGCAATGACCAATGGGCAGATGTATGTACTGGGGTCCAATTTATGTATCCACTTTCAGTTTCAATCTTTTTTTTTTTTAATGTAGCCTTCTATCTTTATTGAAATCATCAGTTCCTAATGGATAACAAGTTAGGTAGAGGAGAAAAGAAAGATTCGTGATGTTTGTTCTTTTTTATTTTTCTCAGTATTGGGAACCCATTTATCAACAGTTTTGGAGGCTCAGAAGTTTCCAAAAGTTGCTGTATTTCTTGAATTTTATCATTATAATAGATTTCTATTAAATTATAAAAACATTTACAAAGCTTTAAACATTGTTACGGAAGTTCACAGATTTTGCAAGGTAATGCCTAACAGTGATTGACGTTAATGAGAATCAGGTGGGCGTCTTCATGCTGTTCATAACTATGTATTCCAATTTCTCTTTTGCAACTAGATGATCTAGCATCGAAAGTATAGGCTCTTAGCATTAATGACATTTCTAGGTCATTCTTAAATGGTTTCTGTCAGTTTGGGATGTGGCCAAGGCTGTGGTATTCCTCTTGATCTAAGGGAGGAAGTCAGAGTTGATTTAGTCAGCCCCTTGATCCTAATGTTGAGGCATTTACATTGAAATGAAGGAACCCACATGGGACCAGGACTTTAAGTCACCTACCTCTCAAGTTAGGACAGGGGCCTTCATAATTTTGACTTTGATACCACCCAAATTTTTACACATTTATATTCCTTTTGCACCCTGAGTTTAGTCTGTTCAATGTCAGATGAGTAATAATCATTTTAAGCTACCTCAGTGTTGTCAGCCCCTCAGGGGAATGGCTGGCCACACTTCCACAGAGGCAGCTTGGGTATTCGAGGTTGGATGTTGGGGTGGCACTGGGCCCTAGTGAAGAAAAATTCCTCTCCTCCAACTCCATCCCCCAATGCTGGCAAGACTCAGAAGCCCGGAGCTTAGCCAGGGAGAACCTTTATGCTGCTGTTCAGCCACAGTATTCAGTTACCCATTTTTTTGGCCTAAATACCCGTTACTTCTGTTACTTTGATGGAAGATTTTCCCAGGATATTACATGCACTTTGGGAGGCCATCAAAGCAGGTTCCTGTCCTTATTCACCTCACACATCCAGATGTAGAAATTTAACAGGTAGGGGGCTGCCTGCACTTATCCTTAAGTCCCACAGAGAGGGCAGGAGAAGGACAGAGCTGTGGAAAACGGGCAATGCCAGGGTAAGGCCTTCCAGTCCCCGGAATAAAAGATTGGAGTGGTGGTAGGTCTCATATCACAAGGGCCTCTCAGTGAAATAATGGTTTGTTTATTATGCCCTAAATTGAATACTAATTCATCAAATATTGATTTATGTAATTATTTACTGAGTCCTGGACCCTACAATTAGATGCTGCAAATACCAACAAATAGTCACAGTCTTTGTTCTTGTAGATTTCTTCAGTCAGGCTAAGGAAGCAGATATAGAAATAAATAAATGTGATAATATCTACTAGAAGCTAAACTAGTCATGGTAGAGTCAAAGAGTGAAGGAAGCCTCTAAGGAGAAGGCTTGAATTCTACCTTGTAGAATGAGAGGAGGTGCCATAGGGGTGTGACCTTGAGTAGGACCTTCACTGGTGAATGTGGTTTTACCAAGTAAAGATGGATAGACACACCCCAGGAGAAGTGAATGGCATGATCAATGCACAGGGCTTTGCAAGGGTATAGGAAGTGGCCCTGTGTGAATGCAGTGAAGGAGCTGTAGAAAAGTTGGCATTGGCATGATATTCATTCTAATTCAAAAAGTATTTTTGAGTGCTTATTCTGTGCCAGCATGGAGCTATTAACAAGTAAAACATCCCCTGCCTTCAAGAAACACAAAGAAGTAGAGGGGGTGCAGATATTCCCAGAGTGATTTCAGCATGATGGGCAGGAGGTGAGTATAGAGAGAATGTCAGTCTTGTTGAGGTCAAATGCCAGTGCTTAGGATTTGGGCTTTACCCCCAGGGAAATAGGCACTCGTGAAAAAAAAATTAATTTGGAAATATGATTGGGATTTCTGTGGCAGGTGAATGGGGGCGGGGGGCAGAAATAGACTCTGAAGGCAAGAGGAAGAACCAGGTAGTGGTTGTGATAGTTGTGGGGAAAGGTTATATTAAGTTATATTAAGTTATAACTTGAGGCTCGAGCTGGGCGTTCTAGTGAGATTGCAATGGAGAAGGAGCTGAGACATGTTTCAGAAAACAAAAGCAAAATGTATTATATTCTTCTTTCCAGATTGGGAAACTAAAACTTAGAAAAGCTAAGGAACTTATTCAAATTTACAGAGATAGGAAATGATAGAACCTGAATATGAACCTAGCAATCTGTTCCCGATACTGCTTCATGGCAGTGGTTAAGAGACTTTCCATTGTGCCTATTTCATAGGAGTGACACGTGAATTAAGTAATATAATCCACGTAAAGCCCTGTGGATTGTGCCTAGCAAATAGTAAGGGCTTCATACTTGATAACTTCACTGCTATTTTCATCATTATCGCTATTAACATGTTGTTCCCTTCTCACCTTTGTGGCGTGCACTACCTCTAGGTATGCTATAGACTCTCAAGCTTTACAGAGGCAATAAAAGGCACTGTTCCTACAGAAGGCACTGTGAGTATTCCAAAAAGATTGGTATCTTGGCATTCTGTGAGATATATCACACACTCTTGGCAAGACTTTCTAAGGAGGTAAATAACAATAGTACTTCAAAACAAGTAAACGATCATTATTAAATCATTTGAACTATACAAGTGTTAGCCATTTGGAACAATTATGTCAGGAAGTTTTCATCATCGCGACTGCTTTGTTTTGGAAATTATATATGTTTCCTTTAAGGTATTTTTAATAATGACAAAGTCATTTCTTTTAAGATCTGTTTGAAACCAGCTTTACCATGGGGAAAACATAAATTGCTGTGAGAACACAATCAGGATAATTCACTAGTCTTCCTAATCACCCTCAAAATATTTATGTTATTAGAAACAGAACTCTATTAAATATTATGTTCAACCTCCTAAGTGGTAGAACTAGACACTTAGGTTTTATCCTTTCCTTCAGTATAGTCATTTACAAAGTGACACTAATGCAGCTCTCATATATTAAAGGGCTTGAGTGAGTTTAGCGGGGGCTGTTGCTTGAGGTTGAAGCCACAATCTTAATTTTATTGAATAAATTTTTAGTACACCATTAACATGAAACAGAGGATAAATTCATCTTTATTATTTTTCATCTTGAGAAAATTATCTTAAAATTTGTTTTTTAATTTTATAGCTAAAATGTGATTAGCTTTCTTTTATAAAACAACACATTTTCAGATTTTTACAAATCAAACACAAATTATTTTTGAATGAGGAATGTTGTTCCTCTCTTTATGTGTGTTCATATTAAGTGCTGGTAAAATTCCATTATGTTTTGACTTGAACATTAAATATTACCTTGAATATACACTCCCCAGCAGTCGCATTCTGATAGTGACATACTGTACTGTCTGAAGGGTGTCATATGGTCATCTGTCAGCCGAATGTTGTTCCATGGAAAGAATTTTATTCTTCAGATGTCATCTAGAATGATTTGTGTTAAAAAAAAGAGAAATACAGAAGTATTCACAGAATCTGTATGTGAGGAAATTAGAGATGGGAAGGATTGTGCTAAGGATACTGGAAAGAGATTCATTCTTTAAGAATACAATTGCTTTGTAAGAAAGGTGAAAATGGTTATATTTGTGAGTATTTTTCATTTGATATGATTGTATTTTATAGCAGAAAAGAGAATACTTTTTTTCAGAACTTTTGGAACCTAGGTCTCCTTGTCTTTTGTCATAAAGACAGTGGTGAAAACAAGTTTCTTGGTAGTAATAGGAGAGAAAGAGTGCTGCCTCCCTGCCAAAAACAGCAGTCTGAGAGAAAGGTAGAAGATGATGGCTTACTATATCAGGGCCTACAGTGATAGAGAAAAGAAGAACGTGTTCTTGCTTCAGAATAATTTAGCAGTCAATATTTCTATCAGCAATATTTCTTTCAGCAGGAATTAAGATGCTGGCCCTTATCCAAAGACACCTCATCCCCCTATTACATTATAGATCTGATCCAGCTGTGGCTGCTTCTGTAGAGAGAGATGAGGGCAGGTCTAATAGCCAATTTGTAGAGTGTACTGCACCAAGTATATGGACGATGGATGTTTCCCATCTAAATGCATTTTCCTTCCTTTAATCTTTGCCTGGACTATACCTAGGATTTTGTGGATGCTCTTAAGTTCCCATCTTTAAAATGTGGGGAAAAGTATGCATCTGTGCTTGTGTGTTACATTGCACTTTTAGGGTCTAGAATCTATAGTTATATTAAGAAAAGAGATACTTGTGTATTTTTTATTTTATTACCATGTTTCATTCCTGAACAGTCTCAAAATTAAAATAGGTGTATCCTGCCCATGTTTGATAATTTAGAAACTTCAGTTCTGTCTTTTGAAAAAAAAATTAATAAGGCATGCTGTGTCCTGTACTTTCTTTTACAAATGTGTACCTTGGAACATTGCAGATTTTGTCCTTTAGGTATCCTAACTATTTGTATTATGTATCCCTTTGAACTACTGATGTCCATCAAGGTAACAATAAGGGGAATGCCAAGGCACAGAAGTCTGAAATAGTGTAAAACAAAAACAAATAATCAAATATTAAGAGACAATAATAGACATTTAAACAAAAATCCTCATTCTTTGGCCCATATCTTTTTTTTTTTTTTTTTTTTTTTGAGAAAGAGTTTCACTCTTGTTGCCCAGGCTGGAGTGCAATGGCGCGATCTCGGCTTACCACAACCTCTGCCTCGCAGGTTTAAGCAATTCTCCTGCCTCAGCCTCCCAAATAGCTGGGATTACAGGCATGCGCCACCACACCCAGCTAATTTTGTATTTTTAGTAGAGATGGGGTTTCTCTATGTTGGTTAGGCTGGTCTTGAACTCCCTACCTCAGGTGATCCGCCAGTCTTGGCCTCCCAAAGTGCTGGGATTACAGGCGTGAGCCACTGCGCCCAGCTTGGCCCATATCTTAATTCACTACCAACGTTACTGATTTTATATTTCATTCAGGCTCAGCCTATCTCAAAAACCTCTTTAATTTTTGATTAAGAGGAAGAGAGAAAGAGAGGTAGAGAGGGAGAAAGAAATGGAGTGGTGAAAGAGAGAGTGTGTGTGAACAATGTTTTTTTCAGGGATGAGAAGATATTGTGTTGAAGTTTTTATGATCAGAAATAGAAAACGCACAAAGTGAGGCCAATGGTAATAACCTTGTAGTTAATCCTACTGGACACCATGTTATTCTTCTTGGCGTTTCCAGAACTTCAGAGACATGCTCACCCTTGGGTATATTGATGACAGACAGTAAAAGGTCTTAGATCAAACTCCCAGATATACTTAATTTCTAACATACGATGATTTAAAAATGACTAATCGAATTGCAAATGAGTAAGAGAATGGTATTGATGAAGATAATCCCCTTACTGAATAAATATATTTCCTAATAAATCAGCAACAGAAACATTTCTGGAGCTGGATTTTCAGATGATAGTTGACATTTTTAGTTTAAAGAAAATGGGTTAAAATGACTAAAATTTCTATGAAGTCATATATTGTAAAAGTTAGTTTGACTAATAAAACAGAAGGATTATCTCAGTAGTTAAAGGACATGTGGGCATCATCCCTCTTGTCACATATTCTACTTTTTATAGACATAAAATGTAGTTTATTTTTGCCGCCCTTAAAATTACCCCTGGATTGTAACATGTATTCATTAAACAAATATAAGCCAGAAGGAAAGGAAAGAATTAATATTTATTGAGCATTTATCACATGCTTTACAACTGATTTCTTTACATTCACAACCTCCCAATGAAATAGCTATTAGTATTCCTACTTTATAGATAATAGAAAAAAGTCTTAAGGTCACCTAGCTAGTAAATGATGAATATAGGATCTGTACCTAGGTCTGTCGGATGCCAGTGACTATGCTTTTCTAAAATTGACATATAAATTTTAATGTAATCAAAATAATGCAGTAGTAGCTTAAGAAGAAAAGTACTGACGCTCGGAGTTCAAGTAGGAATTTATCAACATAAGACTTGAATTAATATTATGCTTTTTTGAAATTAGTGCATCATTCTTTTGTGTTCAGTTATGACTATTTCCATATTTCCAAAAGAAGTCTGGAAATCCCCTGAAAGCTAACAGATGAAATGGTGTTATGGTGTGGTGTTTGAGTAGTGTCTATCAGAACAAATACAGATTTTACACATCACCGCTCGTGTTACCCTTACTCCAGTTGAATTTTGCCCTCTACACAGTATTTTTCCTTCCTGTCCTCTCCCTCTTTTCCTCCAGTGTTTTTTCTTCCTCTGCTATCCCATGTCTTCCCATTCATAAAATGTGAACTTGGTTAACAGCAGAGGTGATCCTCTCATGGCCATGGCTATGGACTGTGATCTGCTGAGCAACTACAGGAAATAATGTTTGCTGGGGTGAGCTCTTCCCATAGACATAAAATTTACCCCCATGACCCTCTTTTGTGATACTGCTGAGAAATTTTTCTCTCTCTAGAACATATTTTTCAAATACTTGTTCAAACTAAATATGCTTATTTTCTAAATTGTTTTCTACTAAATGATGTGACAACATTTTGTACCTGTTGAGGGAAGTGAGGGGTGGGACACTAATGGCTAATTAGCAGGATAATAAAGTGTGCTTGTATCAAGAGATTTACTTAATTTGGGGAGCATTGTTAAGCCATTGAAATGATATTTGTTAAGCTGTGGTCACCGTATTTGCTGATAGTTTTTTATAAGGTGGGTGGAATTCCTTACGAACACAGTTAAAGGAATAAGGATGTACTACAAAAACAGGTGCCACTGATTCGCATTTTTATGGATGGTGTACATTAGACAAGGAGAGTCATTACTCACAACTATGCACTACTTCATGCATGTTTCCTTGGAGCGCTTGCTCCATTTCTTAGGTCCGGAGCCTCCTGCTTCCAGGTTTTTCCACTTCAGCTGGCCGCCACCAGTTACATGTATTTTAGGCATATACTCTTCCTTCACTGTTCCCAAAAAAGGTCGGGGGAGAGGAAACTTTAATTACTCATGTAACAAACTGAAATAGAGTTAATTTCCAGGGTTGCAGCTGAATTATTAGAGATTACTGTGTTATAAATGGCAAAAGAAGGGCCCCTTGCTTGTGTGGTAATGCTGTCAGGGACCCCGCGGCTGTTGGCTCAGTTCATGATATATGATACTGCTAGCATTTCAGTGCTCTCAGGGGATCTCTGGTCCTACCATAAGGTCAAGAGTTAACTACTTGTATTTTAGCTGTGTACTGCTATCAATATTGCTCCTATGGAAACCTCACTTGACGTCATTTTTGAATCTTTGCGACTATAGTCAAGCTTTAGTAAAAGTCAATAAGGACATTAGACTGTTGTCTATATTATTACTTGCCACTTCCTGCCAGCAATCTACCAATTCATTAGCAGAGAGTTTTGGAACTCTCGCTTGATTATTTATGCAGTCAATAGCAAGGCTTGTCTGCATTCATAATTGTTTGATTTTATGGCCTCTTCTTTAAACAAACATTGTCTATGGTAATGTGATGCCCTGATGGATGGGAAAGGTTTTGTCTGTGAATATCATTTAGATAATTAAAAATGACAGATGAAATCGCCTGCTGTCTTGACCTGTACTTTGTTCCCTCAGTGATGCTGAAGAGATGCTGATTGCTGTCAATCAAAACCCATTGGAGGTTTGTAAATTCTGGCTGCTGTGAACTCTGACCCCCACTGTTGATCTGAAATAGATAATAACCTTGAAATTCTATTAGAATTTAAAAACAGTTTTACTAAAGGGGCACGGTATATATTTCTTTTCCTCCTAGAACACAGTTACTTAATATCACTCTTTACAATATCCAGAATTAAGGTAAAATATAGTGCTTAGCAAAGCTTAACGTATCAAATGAGCAAAGATCTTATTCTATAATCCCCAAAACCTGATGAGAATTTATAGCCCCTGGCTTGTCCTATTCAGCAAAACTTCAGCTTTTGCTGCTTCACTGATTGTTAATAGCTAGAACTTTTTTAGCTAATTTTTACTAATTTTGTTGTTCAATGAATTATTTTCATGTTAGCAGGATCTACATGTATCATTTTTCCATATTTATCCTAAACATTTTAAAAATGCTGTTTTCCCAGACCAAAAGAAATATAACAATTAGATTTTTGAAGTCAGTTGAAATCCAAAGGCCAATTTCTATGCCCAAAGTTCTCAGCAAACATTATCAAAATCTTAGGTCAAGAGATCGATCAGGTTGATAAGTGCATTTGCCTTGCATATTGTTTTTTATCTTTACCCAGATGCTTAACATATATTCCAAAGCCCCACTGGTATTTAAAATATGCACTCAGGTAAATGGTGATGGGAGTGGAGGAGGAAAACAAACATTTATCAATATTAGAATCATCAAACTTGCCAACAGCCAAAAACCATTAGTAAATTCTACAAGCTAGAAAATTATAACAATTAGGCTTTAACAGTTTTTAGTACACTGGTTGTAGCAAAAGTATGTAATAGGAGCACTGCAGTAAGAGAATTGCAAATAGCGAGGATCTCTTGAAAGATAATTGAAGTAGTGTTGGTTTTTCTACTAGAGAAACTTCTTCAGAGAGTTTAATGAATTTGTGAAGGGTCATATGAAGAGTTATTATCATTGTTTTGCATTTCGTAATCAGCAGATACTTTAAAATAATATTAGTTCTGTCAGTGCCTCAGTGACAATGGAAAATAAATATTATCATTTATTTTTGGCAGTTGATGAAAATATCAGAAGCATAGCTGTTAATTTTGAGGGTGTTTATCCAGAATGAACCATTAACTATATAAAGATTATTACTACATCATAGTTCAAGTTTTTTTTTTACCTTGGTAAATAAATTCTTTGTAAATATCACCACTTGGGATACATTTGTTACAGCCTGATAAAAAGTTAATATACTAAATATAAACATGAATTATCTATCTGAAGTATGCATACATATGTGCACGTATACATACATACATATATGCGTGTATACATACATACATGTATATATTATGTATATGTACAGATAGATAATTCATGTTTATATTTAGTATATTAAATACAAATTTTAAGCCTGTTCATAAAAGCTTAACCCAGTTCCACTATTTCAATAGCTCCCTCCTTGTTCTGTCAGGTCCCCTGGGGTGGCCTAAACCTCAGACATTTTGGCATTTATTATATATTGCCTTATTAGTGCTTTCATTCATTCATTCACTCAGTCATTTATTTTTGAATTCATTAAACAAGCATTAATTAAAGACCATTTAGGTATCAGGCACTTTCCATAGCACTAATTATTCTGCATTTCATCTTATCTCCCCAGATAAATTATAAGCAAATGGACTTGAAGGCCCAGCGGTTCCTTCCTAGACCAGGTGCCTCCTAGTTCTGGATGAGTATCTTTGTCTCTCTTAAGTGGCTTTGCCCCCATTCCCTCCAGCCCCACCCAAAGTAGTCAGGACATCCAATTAACCTTTGACTTGGGCTTGTTTCAAGGTGTTGTGGGGAGGAAGCCTGAGAAAGGGATAGTGAAGACTTTGTGAACCTCATTGAGATAAATAGCTGACAGATAACTTTTAACCCAGATTAGCAGACTCTGGCAATATCTATAATGAAGGCTGAGTCTCAGCTCATTTGAGTTGTAAACATCACAGCCATTGCTGAATCAAGTACAAGATGATTCAACTCTCAGATTTTGATGCAAAATTCTTCTCTCTTCCCTGTGCCTTTAACATAGTCCCATTTGATTTAATGGTCCTGACTCTGAGCAGTGCTGAGGATTAAACGTGGGTGATTTCAGTTCAAGGAAAATACCTTTGTTATCTTATTTTGACCTTAAATACTACAGCGTTCTCTATTGGCTCCTCAATCCATTAAGTTTTACATGGTAGAACTATTGTTTGTTTCAGAATTTATTTATTCCACCTCTGTTAATATTTCAAGTCTATTTCACCAGGAAAAAATATCATCTAGCTGCTGAAAAATCCTCACTATTCCTGGCCATTCTATTCCTGCATGGTTCTCTATGATATCACATTCACAAATTATGCATAATCTCCTAAATACTAAGTTTCTTTATAGGGGAATTTTGTGCACATTTTAGCCAATTTCCTTTGGAATTTTTATGTTGCTTAGGATACAGTTGAAAGGATTTCAATTGAACTTAATACCTTATATTCATTTATATATACACTTATGTGTATATGTGTTATGTGAATATATAAGTGAATATAAGTGCAATGTGTACATATATTATATCTGTCCATGAAAACTAGCTCTAGTCTGATGGAGCATGCACAAATGCTTTATTTATGGAAATTTTATAACATATAAACATATTCTATGATCACTTATTCCATTGTGACCTTCTTTATATGCTTTAGACCTTCCCTGTGTCATATGATATAGACACAAATATAAAATGGTGGTGGCATTATTATAACAGATTTTCACAGTTTAAGGGGCCTGTCTATCAAATCCATGGGGAATGGTGAGTTTGGTGCTGAATTAAGAAGGCTCTTTCTTAGCTTTGTAAATCAATTGTAATAATGACACCTAAGAGGCCAGTTTGGGCCAAATTCATACCAGTCACAGATCCAAAATCTCCCCTTGACTTGGTTCTCTGTCTCTTAACTCCTGGAAGAGAGGCTTATAATTGCAGCTCTGCAGAAAGATTGAGTTTCCACTAATAACTTGTTAAGCACTTACTAAGTACTAAGCCACAATACTAGGCACTTTGAAACAGACACTATCTCATTTGTTCTGTGTTGATAATTATTATTTCTGTTATTTATATGAAGAAACTGAAGTTCAGAGAATTTACGCCATTTGCCCCAAGTCCCACAGTTACCAAGCCACAAAGCTGGAGTTCTAGTTTAATTTTCTGAATCTAAATCCAGGGTTCTTTATGCTACTGTACAGTACTTCTTGGTGGCTCTATTACACCAATGCTTTATTCTAATTAGTCAATTGCATGAGGTTAATGATAAGAATTTCTTATTGTTGCTAATAGTTTCCATTGCACTATGTGCACTATATGCACCAAGTTTTATACTGTGTGGACTTATTTCAGTTGGTTCTCCCAAGACATGTAGGAGACAGGTATTATCTACATTTTGGGGATGAGAAAACCGATGTATGGAAAGTAACACATCTAAACTACAGTGTCCTAGCCCGAATTCAAATCCAGCTGTGCCTCCAGCCACAGCTCATGCTTTTGACCACTGCGCTCTGAGTAGCAGCACATACACAGCAGAGAAGGCACTTGATCGGATGCTTTTGATGCCAGCTCTAAGAGCATCCAGTTCTACACAGATCAGAAATAGACACATAGGTCCTCTGGTTATTTAACTGAATTCAGTCCATTTGGGGCGTAATTTTTGTTTGGCTTCATTTTACTAAGTTCAGCCAAACTGATTTATATGAAGCCTCCAATTATCTTTTCAGTACACCAATGCCAAAAATTTTGTTAGGGAAACATTCTTCTCCTTTCTCCCTCTCAGGGAGAGATGATTAAGAAAAATCAAGTTCTAGTGGCAGCTGGGTCTTAGAGAGAAGGTTTTTCCTACCTGATTATCCAGTTGTTTTGGGGATGGCAGTTCACACTGCTTGGAGCAGAGTCTAATTTCCCGAAGATTAATAATATTAAAGAAAGTTAAATGAAGCAAACAGCATGCCACACTGTGCAGAGCCCCAGTCAGAACCACACTGCCCAATTCCCTTCTGCTATTGGGAAGATAATTACTGAATCTTTGTTCCTGTGAAGTAAATGAATTTTGAATCCTCTGTATGTTTAATTATCCAAAATTGAACCTTTGTTATTTTCCTTTAAAAAAAAAAAAAAAAGTACAGGTAAAACCCAGTGATATATTCTGAGCACTAATTACTTCCCCAAATCTCATCACTGTTTTAACTTTTTCTTAGTAATATGTCCTAAGAGTTATCTGGATTTATTAACATGCTTTTGTATGATGGATAGATAACAAGGATGTTTATTTTGCCAATCTACTTCTTGGTTAAGGTTGACTTTGTCTCTAAATGTACTCTGGCCCTAAATAAGTACAGATTTTTAAAGATATGTGACATAAGTCTAAAAGAGTAAATCTATAAAATATTGAAATTATGTTTTTCCATGAAAAGTGCTCATCTATTCTTTGGAAATGAAATTTTACTGCTTCAGTTATCCCCACATAGTAAGAAAATGCTGATTGTTGATTTTGAAGAGATTAAGTTGGTTTTGAATTACCAAAATTTATTTAAAACACATAAACTCTCTATTTGAGTACAAAGTCATTTTTTTTTATTCTAAGGGGCTCCTGAGGTTATATTTTGCTACAATATGAAAATTAATTGTGACAATAAAGGCCATGATTACAAGCCTTTCACACTTTCCCACTGTGACAATTAGCTCCCAATGGTTAGACCATTTATTTATGAGAACATTAAGAGTTCGAGCCGTCTTGACATGTAACTGAAAATGGACTATTATTGAGGTTGGTTATGAACCCAAAGGACACACCATAATGTGCTTTATTGGTTGAAGAAAATCGTACATTTTAGGGTAATATAGCTGGGTTGCTTCTAATGATTTCAGAAGCATTGCTGTAAAAGGTATCTTAACAGGTGACTCTTCTCTAAACTCTGTCACATACACTTGCTTTTCATTAGTGAGAATGAACTTTTAAAATAAGTGTATTGTTCATGGAGAGAGTCTGACATTACAGGCAGCATGATCAAAGTGATCATTTTTTTTTCTTAAGGAACATGGAGTGCTTGCCTCTTCCGGTAGAACAAGGTAAGGCAGATGTCCCTGAAAGTATGCAGGCTGTTTCCTAAAGAGCAACAAGGAGAATGAGGAAAAAGCCTCCATTAAACTTTCAAAGAGACATATGTTTCAAACAGACTTGTTCAGCACTTACTCCCTCTGTAAAAGTGTGGGAACTCTATAGATGCCTCTTTCCTGTGGATAGAAGACCACTGCATGCCACAAGGAAGTAAACATTACAGAGATCAACAATTCATTTACTAAGTCCTTTCTACAATATTGTCCTGAACCCTTGATTAGTTGTAGATGAAGCTGGGTTTTTTTTTTTTCTTTATGCCACAGAAATAAGCCATTTCCTTTCCTTTCTACGTGGTTATTTTTACGTATTGTGATTTTTAATCTCACTACTCTTAGGTCAAGGAGCTTTCTTTATATTTAATGTAACTCTAATATTCAAAGACAATATGAGTAGTGTTTAAGAGTGTGGATTCTGGACTCTGATTTCATTTAAAATTCAATACCAGACTCAACTGTTAATTAGCTGTGTGATCTTGAGCAAGTTGCTTTAACTCTGTACTTCGGTTTCCTCAACTGAAAAACAGAAACAAAACTCATATTTACCAGACACATAATCAATGCACTGTACACATTATCTCACTAGCTGCTATTATAATAATTTTTTTACCCAAAACAATAGCTTTGGCTACTTAAGAAGTTTTTGAGGCTTATCAGCCAAAAATGTATTTACAGCTTCTGATAATTAAATGTTACTTATTATTTTCCTTCATCTTTTAACATTGTATAAGAATTTTCCTTACATTTTTAAAGATGCTTTTCAAGTTCATTTTATACTAAGTGCCTTTTTAAATTCATCATACACACTTGTGATTAAAGGGATTAGAGAAATACCCACATCTATGCACTTATAAACCCCAGAAATAATATTTGAATTCCAAGCAAAGAAAATATCTTAAGGGACATAATAGCAAGTGTTCACCTGCAAGTGTGGAAATTTTGCTCACACCTTGTCCTCATGGAAAATTTAAGTCAAGTTCTGACTTGTTAGGGCCATAGAGAGAAAGAGTAAAAAAATTTTCTGGCACTTTATGGGTTTCTTTAAAATCTCAATTCTCACAGCATTAACTAAAGGCGAAGACTGGTGGTTGGTCAGAAAATTAGAGGTATAGTCTTGCTGTGAAATTGTTCTGCCAGATAAATTAATGGACCTAATTAACAAAATATAAACAGTTCTAGGAATAATATAGACCAGAATTTAGATAAACAACATAACCAGGGACATTTAGTTCAATGAGAAGACAGTCAGTCCAACTCTGAAGGCTTCTTGCCTTTCCTGGACAATTCATTTTCAGTGGCATTTGGAAACATTTTAAACTAAATAAGATGAGTGGTAGTGGGAGTAGTAGGGGGGCGTGGTGGCAGTGGTGGTGGTGGTGGTATTGGTATTGATGGTGTGTGTATGTGTGTTTGCCCATAGAAAAAATTATCCCACCAAGTATTTCAGACCTACCTAGGATTTCAGTTTCATTAAAGTTGACTTGGGTTAGAAACCAACTTACATACTTTTTGTCTTTTTTTTTTTACAGTTCTTTTCTCTTCACTTGAAAAGTGATTCCCAAGTGGAAAGGAGTAGCCGTGTTAGATTTCATACATATTAGATATTGCAGAATGCAAAGTTATAACAGTTCTTTTGTAGTTTGTTAGCAAGTTAGCATACTGAGGACGTTTTCAAGATGTTAGAAAATTGCCTTTTAGAAATCATTTTCCCCTTCAGAGCCTTACAAAAAACAGGCCTGTGCTGTACCTTGCAATATTTATTTAATTACAGAAAGCTGATAAGTCTGAAAATTGTATTTCCATCTTCAGGCATTGGTGGCCAAAGGCCACAGAAGAGAGTGTAGAATGGGGAATCTGCTTTCTTCTCTGAGGTGTGCTGTTACCCTGGCCAGATCACGTTTCAATCACAGATCTCAGTAACTCCAAATAGCATTTCCAGGAAGCTTTCCATATAGCCATCTTATTTCCAGGACATTGGATTTTGTATTGGCGTAGGGAAGTGTTAAATACGAGAACTTGTAATTTGGTGGGTCCTTTTCTTTTGAGAGTCTCTTAGGAAAACAATTAGTAATGTCATGCTCCTCCCATTGTGGACTCTGGAGTCAGATTCCACTGGGGCCTCAGCTCAGCTGCATGCCTTTGATTGTCTTTCCTTCCTCACTGTGAACTGAGTATAATAATTGGACCTCATGTGAAAGGGAGGTGATTTTTAAAGGTTAATTGAAATAATATATAAAAACACTGTTAAGTACTTAATATTGATTACTATAAAATATATCTATTCATTTTATTACCATTACATCTTTTTGGGTCATAACAATACCCTAAAAACACTCTTAGCGTACACTAGCTGGAAACACCACCCAGTACACTGAAGAATGAACAACTGCCTAACACCCATCCAAAGGCCTCCATTGCTGGAGGCTCCAGCAGATCTTTGGTGGAAACATTCTTCCTAGCAGTGCAGCAGGGCACTCCAAGGATAGCGTTAACAAGGGAACAGGCTACATTTCAAGTTAAAAATCACAGTTTTTCTAAGTTAGAGGAAAAGAAATTGTAACTTATCTTCCTGTGGCCTGGAAGAGACGACTGATGACCAAGGCATGTCCCTACAAATAGATATTCATGTTGAAAATCCATGGCCATTTTCATATCCACTATCTGCCATGCAGTCTGTTGCCCAGTAGACATTCTTGGTACAAAGTCCTTCTATGGGTCTGATTTACATATCTCATGACAACTGAGTTTATTTCTGCTTTCCTGACACCTGAGGTACCTTTCAAAAGCAACATTTGCTCAGTTTGTGGTGTCCTTTTGTGCCCCAAGCTCTTCAGAGGCATTTTTCAATTAATCTGAAAAATCCCATTTGAATTATCAAGGATAAATTGATACTTTTCCTCAATCTCTTCAGTGTCAAAGTGAGACTTGAAATAATGTGACCACTGAGAAATGGGTTGGAAAAGCGGTACTTTTTGGATCTGGACAAACTCTAGCCCTCCTTTCAGGAGGTGCTTCTCTAACTCGGATGAATTGAATGGTGTGAGGGACATCATCTGACCCTTACCTTCTGTTATTCTGGCTCTGGACTTGGCTGGCAGGCCTGAAGAGTCACCAGCAGGCTCTCCTGTGAGCTGAGAACATCTCCTCATCCTCTGTGGTGCCTCCACCAGACTTTCAGATCAGAAAGTGAAAAAGCTTAAGCATCAACTAAATGGTCTCTGCTGTGGGGTCCTCCAACTCCACCACCCTCAGGAGGGACAGCCAGTTTTTCACAACTCTGTCATCACCCTATAGTTCTTATTTTTATTCAGGTATGCTTTCCCTCAATGGGAATTTATCACATGCCTTCTGTGTGCCTAAGTGCTGGCTGTAGAGGCCTTGGGCACTGGCCCAGAGCCCCTTGAGTCTATCACTACAGAGAGGCACTGTTTTTCTGACAAGGACTACTAAGCATTTGTTCATGTATGTCAGCTCAGTGAATGATCAAGTTCCAGCAGATAATATGTGGGAGAGAGTCCCTAGCTATCAGTATGTGGAATAATGCTGGGGAGTGGTATCTTCCATGCCTCTGTAGGTGAACATGTTTACAGTGTATGCTGACTTGGCATTGGTAGGGGCTTAAAAATTTCTAAATCAAAGAGGAACTCTTAATGAGATCTATGAACAATAGAAAGTCACCAGATAAAACCTTCAATACCAGTTTTCATTTTTATCAGTATTGCATTTCCCTACATTTGTAACCCTATTTTTATTAAGAGATGTTTCCAAAGCCACAAAGTTTTGAAATATTACAGAGAAAGAAAATGAACTAGAAGAAAGTTTGTTTGCTCACAAGAAAGTTATAGAAAGCTTGTTGTGGTAGGTAAATAGGCATTAAAAAAAAGCATAAGAAATGTGGATCTCATTCTCTGATGCTTAGCAGGAGGCTTGTGGTATATTTTTTTATAATCTAGGCCTAAGAAAAAATGCAATAGTACAATACATCACTGATACAACAGTCTGATAGATTATAAAATGTTTAGTGAGTGTATTTCACTTAGACGAGCAGGAACACCTGCTTCTATTATTCCTTCACTGATAAAATGGTAAATAGTTTATGTCAGACATGCAGCTTTACCTAAAGCCACATAGTTTACATGTGGGGTTGGTCATTTGAATGGAGGTACATGGGGTTTGTATTCAATTTCTTCTTTAAATGATTCAGTAAAATAATAGGGTTATAAATGGACAGTGACATCATTTTAATCTTTATTCATTTTATCTTCTCACCCACTCTTTCCTTCTTTTGATTGCACCTCCCCCAGTATTAACTGCAGGACATACCTTCATGAATGAACTATTATTGTGGCCCACGGTAATGGTGGTGGACATCCATGTGGTCAGTCTGATGCCCTTTCTCTCTCTCTCTCTCTCTCTTTTATTTCCTTCCTTCCTTCCTTTTACAAAAGCAGTTTGATTTCTCTCATCATCAATAAGAACTATAAATTAAAATCTGACAGTCCTACATCCTCCTGCTGACCAATTTAATTAAGCAGTAAGCACAAATATATGAGAAAAAGCACAACCATATTCAAATGTTAGGAAGATAATGCTGTAAAGCAGCAGTAATCGTGATGCACAGCGTCCTTTCAGGTACCTGGGAAGTGGGGGAATGGAGACCAAGGGAAATAGTAAAATTTTTTTGTCTCTAACTGAGAACACTGTCATTCTAGCTGGAAGGACTGGAAATTGCTGCCTCCAAGTCAAAGTAGCATATGGTATTTCATAATCTCTTTGGACTGAAGGACTGAAACCAAGTCCTTCATTGAGGTGTGAACTTCTTGTTGCTATACTACGTGTGGTAGGAATGCTGCTTTTCTGAAGAGGCTAAGAAGGAAAAATATTTTAATGTTGAGTCATTACTCTTTTACTTTTTTGGCTTTGGAAGGAGCCTCTGGTAGCCATGGTGACACATAAGGCACTGAATAAACTAAGATTTCCCTGATATAGTATTTAACACACCCAGGCAGAAATCATCTTTATTAATCAAAATTCTGTAATGGGTACTTCATTTTTAATTCTTTTTTTCCCTTTTTCCTTCTCTTTAGATCTTACAGCTAATATTTGTTTTATTTTAGACAAATGATACCAAGTATTTATCTATTCTTAACTAATAATCAGTCCATCAGTATTTTCACGCTCATGGAGCTACATACTTTTTTTATATTAATGACCTGTTTTACACTCCTTTGGCTATCAGGTCCTTGAATATTAATTAGAGGCCACCTAGCTTAGATATCTACATTTAACAGTGCCTGAAAAGAATATATAATGGACACTTTATGAAAATGACATAGGAGTTTATGGAGAATGACAGATTCTACCCTCTGGAATGAAAATTGTACAGTTTTCTCTGTCAACCAACAAAATCAGTTATAGAACATATTCAGGGAGTTCTAACGCCCAGATCTTCCTCTCTGGGAGACAGGTAATGTGGATGTGGGAGTTTTCCTGTTCTGGTCATTGTTGTCTGTTTGTCCCATGTTGCTCTTGTTCTCCCTTGTCTATATTGTAATGCTTGCATCTTTCCTTAGGGCCTGTTTACTAAGCTTAGAGAATTGTTACTCTTTGCTTTTGTATCTACCCAAGTCCTTGATTTTGACCAGTTGATTTCTGCAGAAAGCCTTGCTTCTAGTATGCTGTGCACATTGTTGGCTGCCTGCTTTACTCTTTGGTGGGAATGGCGGGTAATGGCTGCATGTTGCTGCAGCTCTCTGTCTTAGTTATCTGGATGGTCTGGACTTGTGTTCCTTGTTGACTGCATCCTTTCTGAACTATTGGTTTTTAGTATACCATGGTATAGAACAGGTGTTTTAATCCCTTTAGGCAGGAAGAGGCCATTTCTGAACAGAATAAGAGCTGAAATTGAATCTTCCATGGTGCAAAGCAGTGATGCAATTTATGAGGGAAAGTCTCCTTCCTTTCACCTCAGAAGTAATTCACAAGTGGGTAATTCAAGAGCATTTCCTTCTCCCATATTTTGACTAATACAAATAACAAGTATAAAGCAAATGAACATGAATGAAGCTATAAATTTGACTGCTTCTTTGTACAGTGAGGAACTTGACCAGGTCAAGTCTTTGCTATGGAAGTCTCCAATAAGATAACTCCTAACATCTTTTACTAACTCCAGCTTCTTAGGTTTGAATTGTTCACAATATTTTGGGGGTATTTTGTTTTGCCTTTGGAAAAAACGTTAGCCTCTAGCAAATCCCATTTAAAAAAAATCTCACAGTATCTATAGGAACATAAAATTCATCAGAGTGCTTCTTCTATAATAACAGGTGATTTGGTTTAAAGTATTAAAAGCTATTTGCCCACACCATCCCAGCACTCAGTTTAGCAACCTTCTGTTGGATAACATTAAACTCAGTCTATTAGTGAGGGTGTCTTGCAACTAGCATTATTTTTTCAGAGCTGTGTGTGTTAATTCAATGTCTTAATTGAGTCTATTAGGAACCACTTTATTTTTGTTTTGTATTAGCTTATGCCCTGAGGGGAAAAAAGCGGTTAAATTTTTTTTTAAAAGGAACAAGAACAAGAGATCTCATAGTCTGCCTATTGCAATACACTTTTTACTCAGGAAACATAAGCAATGAAGAAGAAAAACATTTTTCAAAAGCAAATCATCTCAAACTGAAAAAAAAGATGTCATCAGTGTCTTGATAAAAATATACATTCAGAGTTAAGCCTTTCTCCTTGGAACATAACAACTATAGCATAATTGTTACTTCTAAGTTTATGGTTAACTTGACACTGGTTGTCTGTCTTAGAATATTTAGCCATGCCCTGTCTACTCTTCTCCTAAGCAAAATGGTTAACAAATATGAGTATGTGTGGTGGGAAGAGAGTAGAGTGTAAAAGAGATGGGGAGAAAAGGAGAGTAAACTAAGAAGCAGAGAGATGCAGGGTTATCAAAAGCAAAAGAAGAAGAGTTCGCCTGCTTTGCTGGCAACCCCCAAAAGAGTCAGAAATCTGTTGGCCATGGAGGGTCCTGACTTAAGTGTCTATGACTCTAAGAGATGGCATGTGTTTTATCTGTCTCTCAGGGGCATCTAACAGAAGACGGCACAGGAGAAATGGGTAATCCTGGACCAGCTGTTTTTCTTCAGCCATTCATTCATGCCTCCACCTTTACCAAAAAGCATAAGCCAAATGGTCCTCTTCATTTAGTTAATAGCAAAGTAATTTTGCTGAAAACCACATTTTAAAATATGAAATCAAACACCACAGTGCAAAGTTCACAGAATGCTGTTCCTGATAGTTTTTACTCTGTGCTCAAATCTGGGGTGGGGAGAGTAGAGAAATCAGGCACACTAGTTTTAACCAACTACTGCATTTTTCTAACCCAGAACCAAAATTTATGAATACCTTCAGAGATTGTGCTTGGAGGGCAGACCCTTCTAATGGTTTGTTAGCTTAACAGTAAACCACTGAAGCTACTAATTTGCCTGTAAACACCGGATCCCACTGGAATTGCCCTACACAGTACAGTTCAAAGGGCCTGGTAATTGCCCTGTTCTTCTATATGGAACTATTTCAACCCCTGCTGAGACTGAGAAGATTAAGAATGTAAAGGGAAGTAAAGCATCATTTTGTGTAAACTTGGCTCAAGACCTACAAATTATCTGTGGTTGCTAATTGAACTCTTTATTTCCGCTCACTG
Source organism: Homo sapiens (assembly GCF_000001405.40). Lineage (NCBI taxonomy): Eukaryota > Metazoa > Chordata > Mammalia > Primates > Hominidae > Homo > Homo sapiens. Next base: position 33,407,123 of record NC_000014.9, read on the forward strand.
AAGCTCTTCAGTAGGTAATGCATTTACATGGTTTTTCTTCACACAACTGGGTGATCTGTGTGCCAGCCTAGAGGCAGTGCCATCCTTTGTAACTGCCCACAGAACTTAGAAGGCCATTGCAAAGACTCAGTGAATGTTGTTCTTGACTGTACAACACATATGAGAGCCTCTTTTCCACCTCCACGAGTCCTAGGTACTTCTTTTTCTCTAGGGATTTTGGTACTACTTGTAAAGCTCCTCAGAGGAAAAGTGGAAAGTCACTCCTGAACTGATGTGGCATTTCCTTCCAAAACACATCCCTGAATCTTCAGTTAGTCTCAGTTAAAGCAATTCTTCTGCTGCAGTTTTAGGTAAATTTCTTCCAATTTTTAGTATTATATTGATTTACACAATTTACCATTTTTCAATCAGAAACACTGAAATATCAGTGATGGCATATGGTGTAATAGAATAGAAATGGAGACTGGCTGATTCCTAGTCTATCATTCTCTTATGTAAGTACAGATTGATAAATTACTGCTTACTCCTTTCTTAGAAATTTCGGTGCCTTTATTTTTCTCCGCTCTCCGTTTTCCCCACCTTCTCATTTTTTTTCCCTCTCTTCCAACTTCTGTTTGAAATGGGTGTGAGTACTAAACACAGATATCCTCAAGGGTGGTCTTTCTCTGCCTATCTAACACAGGAGAGAAGTTAATGCAATCCCAAATGAACACTTTACCATGTTTTTTTTCCAGCCAGGATACATTCAAGAAATGCTTACAGCATAGGTCGGATGCTTCATAGCCTCCAATAATTCTCTCACGTAGGTGGCTAAAATGAATAGAAAAAGAAAAACAAAAGATGAACATCAAAAAACATCTGACTCAGCCAAATAAATGAATTTTCGAACATTGATTTTTGATTAAAGTTGAGTATTGAAAGCAGACAGAAAATATGAAATGTCTTTATTAGTCACTTTGGAAGTACAATTCTTAGCACAGTTTGAAATAAAAATGCTAATCGAGAAGAGTACTTTTCCCCTCATTTTACCCCAATTCATCAGTACTAGATGGTCCTCATTGTGAAATCTAATTATTAAAACTTGGCTGGTTCTCAGGAGTTCACTCTCCAGGTCTTTATGACTATACATTTAACTTTACCTGCCGAAGTTGGGTCCTTTCCAGTCAGCAAGCCCTTGGTTAAGACAAGATGAGAAAACATCTCCAGGTGGGTTGAGTATTTCATCACTGGCCAAATTGTTCCTGATTCCACCTTGTCATAACCTCACATTTGTTCTCTCTCATGCCATACACATGGAAAAGGGGAAAATAACTCTGTTCTTTTTTTTTTAATCTCTTCTTCCTGGGAAACAGCCAAACATCCTTTTATGATCAAATGCCTGTATATCTGGAGGCCATTGGCCACCATCCAAACATTTATTGGTCACTGAACACCTTGCATGAGGTAATTTCAATTATCTTATTAAACCGGAACAGAGATCTGGTTGTGTTTCCTTTGATTATAAATGTAACTCGTGTTCTTATTACTGTTAATAGCAGCACATGTGGGGTGCCAGTAGTTTTCTGGGCACTGTCCCATACGAACTGCTGTCCAGTGTCTTTTGTGAAGGAAGACACCAGGAACAAAGAAGTTGAGGGTGAGACTACTCAGTCTTTGTTTATTTTAGAGGAGGGGAGCTAGGATGAAGAGTTGCATATGGCCAAATATGGTGGTGATGTTTCATAGCATGGCAAAAGTTCTTGAGATTTCTGTGAGTCCTCCAGAGGAAAGTGGAGTATGTGGAATATATTGAGGGAAAATGACTATCAATTATTTTGTTGATACAGAGCTTTATTTTTGGACACAAATGCTTAAGCAATGGCAAAACTATCAAACCAACAGGTGTTATGAAGTATAACACTTCTCCTCCCAGGGCTTCTAAGTTCTCCCACTGATAAAATTATTTAACTGCTTCATGCTTTTGAATTAAATGCTTGACTTTATTTGCAGAATAAATTTCAAGAATAGGGTCCATACTATAAGCTCCAGGTGATATGTTTAAAAAGTATAGCAACTTGTAAGGTTGTGGGGAGGGGAGTTGAGCAGCCCCACTGGGGGGTTCTGAGATGGTACAGAAGGATAGTAACTGATTAGAGGTGCAGAAATATAAATAGAAAATCTTAGTGCCTATAATGGGGATTTATCACAAAAGAATAATTCCTTTCCCACTTTGGTGGCCTTTATACTGGAAAAAATATCCCTTAACAAAAATCTGCTTATAATTTATGTTAAAATAAATATATGTGTTTTAGGATGAAGAGATTATAGGATTTGTTTCATCCTAACTTAGAATTTTAATTGTCATTACTATATTTTATCATTTTAAAAGATGACAAATTGCCTATCTCTATAAACTCATTTTTTGGGAAGCACTAGCTTAATAGAAAAAAATTCATAGTATAATTAAGTATTTCCCTGCCCTCTTTTAAAATGTGGAAAAGTGGGATTTATTCAATTTACTAGCTTAATTTGAGAGTAGAAAGAAAGTGCAGAAAGTTCAGTAAGATTCATTCATTAGCTATGATTCCAGAAGAGTCTGGCCCTGGGCCTTTATGCTTTCTTCAATTGAATACTACACAAAAGAGTAGGCATATTACTACAGAGAAGAGTAAGAATGTAGTCTTCTAGTGACTACGAGAATATGGAATTTCATTGTTTCCTACCATAATTGAATTATGCTAAAAAACCCAGCATAGCAGAAAATGACAGGAGACATCTAAAATAATCTGGTTGGAGACATTGCTAAAACATTGGAGATATTAAGTATTTTGTAAGGAGTTGGTATGTTAATTAAATAGAATAATGTATCAAGCTGTGGATGATTGAAATACTCTTCTGCCCTCTTTGTAGCTCTAACATTGGCAAGTCTCATGTTGAGTTGATTTTTTTAAATCACTGCATAAATAGATTTTTAAATATTTGTAAACTTATTTCATTAATCCTTTGCTGGTCCAGTGTCATGAAGCTGCGTAGGTCCAAGGAATTAAAAATAATAAATAGAATCTCTTGAAAGAGTCTTTCTGTGGTTAAAATTTACCAGATGTGACTGAACTCATATAGTTTTTCTGCCTACAGTTACATTGCAGTGATAAAGTTTCTGGAGGCTTAGATGGAATGCAATACATTTAGCTTATTTAAACTTTTGAGGCTGCTCTTCAATTTTGACACTGTTCATCTGTTCTTTCCATATCTGTCAGAGTATTTCAGGCTCTTTTTCCTTCACACTCAGAAGATTGCTGCCTACTCCTAAATTGTCCCCTATCTTCTTACCTTTAAGTGCTAGTTGATTCAATTCATCCTCTACACTGCCTTTGGATTAATAACTAGAATGCTGTTGTTATTTCAATCAATTCCCTGGCTTATAAAACAGAAAATTCATTACTTCTCATTGCATTCCAGATTTCTTTTGCAGATATTCAAGGCTCCTTCTGTCAGATCATCACAAAAATGTGTCCCAAGCTACATTTTGGCTCAAGAATAGTTGGTACTTTTTGTTTTCCTTGAGATGGATGCTCACTCTGTCACCCAGGCTGGAGTGCAATGGCACAATCTTGACTCACTGCAACCGTGGCCTCCCAGGTTCAAGCAATTCTCCTGCCTCAGTCCCCTGAGTAGCTGGGACTACAGGCATGCGCCACCACACCCGGCTAATTTTTGTATTTTTAGTAGAGACAGGATTTCACCATGCTGGCCAGGCTGGTCTCAAACTCCTGACCTCAGGTGATCCACCCACCTTGGCCTCCCAAAGTGCTGGGATTACAGGAGTGAGCCACCGCATCCAGCTGAATAGTTGGTATTTTTATTCTAACTCTGCTCAGTGTTTGAGTCCTTGTGGCTTTCAATGATATAGCCTCTTGAACCCAGACTTATCAGTCCTACTCAGTCTCTGGGTTACAATGCCCTGTCAACTGTAGCATGCATCTTGGCTAAAATCAAGTTTCCATCTAGATTCTGGCTCATTGTTTCTCAAACAGGGACTGTGACCTCCAGGAGACATTTGGCAATGTCTGGAGGCTTTTTGTTTTTTCGTTGTTTTGTTGTTTTTGAGACGGAGTCTCACTTTGTCACCCAGGCTGGAGTATAGTGGCACAATCTCGGCTCACTGCAACCTCCTGGGTTCAAGCGATTCTCCTGCCGCAGCCTCCCAAGTGGCTGGGATTACAGGCATCTGCCACTATGCCCAGCTAATTTTTGTATTTTTAGTAGAGACAGGGTTTCGCCATGTTGGCCAGGCTGGTCTTGAACTCCTGACCTCAGGTGATCCACCTGCCTCGGTTTCCCAAGGTGCTGGGATTACAGGTTTGAGCCACTGCACCCGGCCTGGAGGCATTTTTGTTTGTCACAACTTCGGGTTGCTACTGGAATCTAGGGGATAGAAGCCAGGGTTACTGTTAAATATCCTCCAGTGCACAGGACAGCCCTCACAACACATTTTCCAGTTTAAAATGTCAACAGTGCTGAGGTGAAGAAACTCTATAGCTCTACCAATACAATTTGTCTAAATCTCAGACCAGCTCTTTAACATGGTGACCTGACAATTTCGAACATGCCTTGCTTTTCTCCTCTTCTTTGACTTTGTTCCTGCCATTTTTGCTTGAAATGTCTTCCCAGCCATCTACAAGTGCTTAGTTTCAATCTGCTAATTCTAACCATTCTTTCAAGCTCAGCTCAGTTTAGATGTCATCTACTCCAATGATCATTTTATTTGACAGTGAATGCTCGCTCCTCTGACAGTGTTTAGCCTTGTCTGGTACTTTCATGGCAGGCCACCAGAGTGGTTATGTCTGTGCCTTATTTCCCATTTTAGATATTGTATAACTCAATGTACAATGTAAAAGCTATACTATATGGCACCCTAACACTTTGACTATGTGTCTGCATAGCTTTGCATGTTTTTAATCATAGCAGAAACACAATTTAGAATTTATGTTTTTTACCTAACATTGAAATATGCTTTTTATTATTTATTTATTTATAGACAGGGTCTCACTCTGTCCCCCAGGCTGGAATGCAGTGACATGATCTCAGCTTATTGCAACCTCCACCTCCCAGGCTCAAGCAATTCTTCTACATCAGCCTCCCGAGTAGCTGGGACTACAGGTGTGAACCACCACTCCCGGCTAAATTTTTGTATTTTTTGTAGAGACGGGGTTTCACCATGTTGCCCAGGCTGGTCTCAAACTCTGGAGCTCAAGTTACCTGCCCACCTCAGCTTCCCAAAGTGTTGGGATTACAGATGTGAGCCACTACACCTGGCCGGATTTTATTTTTTGACAAAATAACTAATATCTTGTTGAATATCTTTGCTCTGTAGCTTTTCCCTTCTTCATCTGCAATATTCCCTTTGACCCAATTCCAAGGAATGATCCAAATGGTTGTCATATTTTTATTGCTAGTGATATATATTGCCAAATTTATTCCAAGGTGATTTACCAGTTTGAATTGCCTGTGACTAAGGCTTAGTGTCTAAGGAAACCATATACTTGAAAGAGTCAGAATATCTAGGTTCAGGTGACAGCTCTACTCCTCACTGGTTACATGGTTTTAGGCAAGCCACCTAATCTGTTTGACATTTTCTTACCTGTAGAGTGGGGATGTAAAACTATATCATACAGTCATGAGCATTAAATCAGATAATGTCTTTGGGAGTAAGTTGTAAACCATAACACTGCCAGTGCTCATTCAATAAATGTTTATTTAAAACCTACTATATGCCCGAATCTGTGCTAGGAACTAGGAATACAGAGATGGACACAATCTTGGGTTCAAGGAATCTTCAGTTTAGTGCTGTGTAATTATTAAAATATTGTTTTAGTTACAAAATTGAGAAGAAATTACTTTTTTAAAAATATAAGGGCTTGAAAGCAAAGGCAGTTCGTACAACAGGAAATACCAGTATGAAAGCTTGCCAATTTAATAAGATCATTGTTAGATTTCTTTCAATAATATCCCTTGGTCAATTTATCTCTAGCCTAAATCACAACAACAATTCCTTGCTGGAGTATTTTTAGTGCTTTTTTTCCCTCTCTCATATGTGAGGACAACACTTTTCTTACTGTTGTACTCAGATATGTATTTTTGTTCCTCTTTTTTTTTTTCTGGGAAAATTCAAAGCTTTTCTTTTTTAATTTCATTTGCTACCGATAGCACTTTTTTATTGTTTTCTGAGCCCCAGGTCCCTGGAAGCTGCATGAGGGCACGGCCCCACTTGTGTCTGTGCTGTGACTCTCCTATCAAGACTGCTTTGCTTCAGAATCTCTGGGAGTATTTAGGAACTGCAGCATCCTCAGATCTATCTTTTGGAGATAGATATTGATTTTCCTGCCTTTGAATATAAAGGCCCAGAGTGAGCCCTTTAGCTGCTTATCTTTGAGCGTGTGGGGCATCGGAAGCTGAGGATATGGAAGTAACTGCAGTAAAATGCATCAGCACTGGCAGCGTGAGGATTGCTAGTGTGAGCAGGCAGTGTGGCTGAAGTTCTTGTCTAAGGACTGGAAGCTACAAGAACAAATTTTCCACGGTCAGGGATAGCTTATTTGGATAAAGATAATTTTAAAATATTACCATTTTTGTGTGTGCCTCTGAAAAGACTTCAGACTGTAAGAATGCAAAGTATCGTTTCTGCCTCATCTAAATTCTACCCTCAGCTACTTGATTGACCTAATCAAATCTGGGATCTTTAGGATTTTAAAGAAAAATTTCCTTCTTTCTGGATGGAGCTCTAGAATAAATTCCATCACATTCCAACCTCTTTCCCATTGTTGCTGTTAAAATACACCTGTAATTCTTGATTCATTCTTTTCATATTAGATCATAAATGAAAATGAGCCTTCCTCTTTTGATGGTTCTTTCTCTTTCCTTCCTCTTTATTTTTCTCAGAATCAAGTAAAATAGAGTATATCCTTAGTTAGAGACTCAGGTTATGTGCATATTGCAATATTTCCATGCATTTTACTTCTGCTTTCAGGTAAAGCAAATCAGAGCAAGCTTAAATGATTGCAGCTAGATAGGAAGGAACGGAGGCATGAGAGCAAAAAGTACCTGCCACAATTCACTTCAACCCAGTAGCAAACATTCGCTTTCCCTCCTCCCCCCACTGTGAGTCAGCAAAATATAAGAGGAAACAAGAGTTCAGTTGGTGGGGAAAAAAAGTAGAAATCTTTGTCAGTGTCTTATTTTTTTCTTTTTCTTATTTTAGTATTAAGATTAAGTCATTGGGCGTCTCTGTGAGATATAATGAAGAAACATCAATTAGCAGGTTTCTCCATTATATCATGAGCGGTTCAAAGAAAAAAAGATAAAATTCAACCTTTAATTGAAAATATTCTTTAATTCCTATACCAAGCATTTCTGCTCATTACTCCTATCTTTTGCCCATTACTGATAAGTTTTACTTCAAATTTAAGAAACAACAAAGGCTTTCATCCACAATCCTTTCCAAGCCTGTAATCTGTTATAGAGCCTTAGTTTAAATTTTTGGGGAGAATTTAATTATTGATTTCTGACAAGTGTTACCACAAAGCAAATACTATAAATATAATACTACCTTCTCAGTTAGGGCCACTTAGCATCAAGGGAGGACAACTTGAAGGCACTGGGGTTAGATCGCCTAGTGGTGGGTAGGGTGGTTTGATTCTGTCACCGTCCACTCCTTGAGAATTACTGGTCAAAATCAGTAAACCTTTAAACAATGAAGGTAGTGCAGAATTGCATTTAGGGTATGAAAGTTGTGGAATTCTAGAGTAACAATAGATAAGACATTTGAATGGTAGAATTCCCTGCTCCCCTCTCCCAATCTCCAATCATTAAGACATGCTGAAAGTAGGAATCCAGTGCCCTAGGTTTTCTTGAGATGTGCAAAACACCCACATTTCATCACAAAATCTATATTTTTCAACCAATATGCATAAGACTATACTTCTGCCCTTATGTTGTTTTAACTGAAGGTGAGCAACCTCCATGCAGAGCCCCAGAATTATAAAGGATCCCAGCTTCCCTCTATATGCTGCACTGGAAAGAGTTTATCTGCAATTTTTATTTATCCTATAAATGGAAGCTTTCTCATTCTGTTAACCTCATGAAGAGATTCCATCCTTATCAAGTATTATAACAAGAATAAAAACTTTTTTCTCTTTCTGTTATTCCTGGATTGGGTATTTTCTAGCCTTTCAGCCTAACTTAACTGTATCCTTGCCATTTTGAGTAAACCTTTTATTTATTTTATGTCCTCCCCAGTCTGTCCTTCTATCCATATCTTATACTTTCTTCAAAGTCCACCTCAAAGTCCATTTTTCCTTCAAGGAGATTTTTCTGATGTTGTTAATCCTATTTTATATTAAACACTTGCTTCAATCTTCTCCCAGTAGTTGGTATGTAAATTGCCCTATATGTAAATCACATGCACCCACAAATGTACCATAGCATACTTGAAGACACAGACTACAGCATCCCATTGAGTATGTAATCAGTGTATAAAATGCCTCTTGTCTTTACTGTGGTTTCTCCATAGCACAGCTCTTCATATTTTCCGTCCAAGACATTCATGGTCCTACATGTAAAAATTTCTCAGTCTGCCAGTTCTGTGTTTTTGACTCTGCCTGTTTCTATTCAGGCAATTCATTTCTATCCTTCTTGACAGTGTATACCCTTTACATCCTATTAGATACTGTTCCAAACTTAGTTTTAGAACAGTTCCCTCGATTAATATTATCTCCTTCCAATTTTTTTATTTGGTTTCCTTCACCACTTGTTGTTACCTATAGTTAAGATTTGAGTGGATTGAAGTATTATATTTAATTGCTGTTTTGGATTGTATAATATCCAACTTAATTTAAGCTTTCAAATTCTATAAAGCTCTGAGGATGTCTTTGTTCCCTGCTACATGGGAGTACCTCTGCAGGAAAACCTCCTCTTATTTTTGTATTTTTAAATCAAGCTTTGTACACATCAAGCATACAATAGGTACTTACAAACCAACTCCATCTTCACAAGTGGAAAGCTACAGAAGATGGCTTAGGCTTTAGCATGCACAATTTACGTTGAACATAAAGGATAAATTCCCTGATAATAAAACTGATTGAAGGTGAGAACAAGGTATTGAAGAACAACAAGAACTCTATTCCCTGGAGATCTCTAAAGGGAAAAAAAATAATTTATCTTGGACAGAGGCGGGGCACTAGACTAGAAGATATACTGAGATTTTATCTGGCTCTAGCATTTTATTAAAATCCTAAACGATAACACTACTTCCATAACGTGTTTCTGGTAAGGGGTTTCTTTTTTTTTCTGTCTTAAATATCTTCAACACAAATAACATAGGAAAGCCTGAATTATTTTTGTAATAAAATACAGTCTTTGAATAATTAAAACATAGACATTAAAACATAGAATTAAAACTACCCATTTCTGATGCTATATTTTTCCAGCAGTATTGAATAGATTTTGTTCTATTGGCTTATCTTCTTCAAAAATTCAAGGGAAAATATTTTAAAACTTTTATTTCTTGCTTAGCAAATGACAGTAATTCTGAGATAGACATTCTATTCTTACTCCATCACAAGAATTAAGTTTCTCATTTTATAGGAATGAGAAAAGATGAAAAAAATGAAACCGATTGTTTATTTCTACAACTTATGCTTTCTACTTATGGACATTGATATTTGTGTCTACTTGCATATTTCTTCTGAGCATTAATTTTTTTCCCTTCTACTTCATTTATTTTTGGTTGTTTTAATACAGTTTCCAATTACAGAAACAGGATTTCTGGGGAGAAAAAAACAATTTTAACTGCTCATAAGATGAGATTCTGTGGCTTTGCTCTTTGCTTTTTTGAATAGCTTTAGCTTTTATATTTATATGATTCTTATTAGGGAAACGGTGCTAAAAGTTGGTACTTGATACTTTCAGGAAAGTATATGCAAGATGATATAATTAAGAATTCTTTGCAGCCTAATTGATAGATATGTATTTTATTTAAAAAATTAGAATATGAATCTTTTATCTCATCTGCAACTATGGAACATTGCCTCTGATAGCTAGAAATATTAAATGCAAATTCCTGGAAAATCCTCAAAAATCACTTATTTATGAAATAGTAGTTTTGAATCAATAGCCATTAAAAACTCTTTTGTAACAAGAATTGTCACCTTATTCATAAAAATGTAGTGTGGGCTAAATCATGTCCTCTAAAATATAACTGCAATGTTATAACAGCCTGATCCGACATGGACCCTTATCTGTTCCCTCAGAATTTGATGTTGGTATTGCATGACACAGGGTGTCGTTATTGTGAATTTGCCATTCCAACTCTGTGATTACGTTCTAAGTGGGAAAAATGACTAGCAGGCCCAAAACAAAATGTCCTATTGAAGTGTTAGAAGAAAGATATGTTTGGATTCATATTGAATCTTTTCAATTATTTTGAGGAATAAATGCACCAAATCTCTTGCTTTGAACTTTGTTGCCATATTAGACATTACCTCTCTGCTCTAAAGTCCCACCAGGTCATTGATACTATTGTCATCTAAAATAGCATCTGCCTTATTCAGGATAACTTTTGTAAGTTATAAAGCAACCTGGGCAATGTGAATGCCTTTCTGAAAAAAAAACATGAGGAGATCTCACTGAAATAAAAAGGAGCAGAAAGAGAAAGAAGCACTAAGAAATAACTCTATTCTTATATCTGGTAACAACTTATTTTTGCTAAAATTCAGAACTATTTAAAAACTTGTATTGACAGAGGACTTCTATTTGTTTTCCACAGAATAGTTTTCTTTTTGCAGATGATTTTGGTTCCCCTGGAATTGCACACACGCTCATTGTTTTAGTGCTAAAAGTTTGTAAGGACATAGATAAATATTAAAAGATAATGAACAAAAGCAATGCAGGATTTTTTTTTTTCAGAAATCTAATTCTAATTGCAAAAATTAGTTTAAGATGAACCAAGGAAGCTGATACTTACCTACAACTTTAAAGTGTATGTCCTCCAAGAGCATGCCCCTACCTAACTTTGTTGATAGGGCCCTACCTAACCAGTAAAGTAATTGGTGTGCATCCCCCATTTGCCCTGAATCTCCCAGGGAAAGGGCTAATAAACAGTGACTTTATAAGCAAGCAAGAGAAGAGGGGCCAAAGGCTGAACAGCTTTTCACCCGGATACCTGCTTTGGAAAGAAACCCGAGTTTGCCATGAAGAATGATAATAGATAGTAGGGAAGCCTCCCAGGCTTGTATGCTGCTGGTAGCAGGCAGTGTATTAACAACCAAGCCAGAAAATTTTCACAGAGATATCTCCTAAGGCACTGAAAATAAACTGCTGTTTATTTTTTCAGGGACAGTCAAAGCAGTCAAATACTTTTTACAAACATTTTCTTGGACTCTTTGCTTCCCCTCTCTTACATTCTTTTCTATAAAAATATTTGTATTTCTCTGTTGATGAGTTTTAAGAGGATATGTTAATATACTAGCAATTTTATTTTTCTATTTAGAATATCCTCCATTTTTTATTTTTATTTTTAAAGGGTTGTAGATGGGAGAGAAATGCTTAGGGAAATTCCTTTTGGAGTTGAAACACTTGCATTTGAATATTTCCGCAATCATTGATCTTCCATGCAGGGCTCCATTTATCACTTTAGACAGCCCTGCTCTTGGTTCTGTTTCTTAATATGTTACCAGAGGCTTGTCCTACTATATGCAAATCAGTTATTTTAGCATAAACTCCCCTTTGTGCATCTGTTAACAGTTATTTTACTACTGTCTACCATGGGCCAGGTGCTATGGATTATAAAGAATGAGATAAAAATCTCTCCACCCACAAGGTACTTACAGTCTAGTTGGGAAGACAAATCAGATACACACAAAATTAATATGTAGTGCTATATTAAGCACCAGCTTAAACTGATACTGTAAGGCACTACATTGTGCATTATAGGAAATTGAGATGAAGCTCTAACATCTGATAATGATAAATAGTTTTTTTAAAAAAGGCTTTAAGAAGAAGTTAGTATGACTGGTTCATCAAGGAACAGCATCTAGGCTGAAGGTAGACTAAGGATAATATGGTTAAGGAGAAAGAGTAGTTAAGGAGAAAGAGTAATAGCTAACATTAGAGAAGAGACAAAGATAAGAAAGAATAATAAAGATGTTATTTAGTTGCAATATATTAGTATAACATCAACGCATTTTTTTCATTGTATACCTATAAATTATGTATATTTTATATAGAGGCATGCTTTGACATTGTAAAACCATAAAAACTGTGATTGTTGTGGGTGATAGGTAAAGAAAGCCACAGGAGGCCGACTTCTTGAAAATATCTTTATGTAGTTCTTCATGAGATGCTGCTGATGAGAAAAGTAAATGCTTATTTACTTGTATTTGTAAGAATTGTTTGTTTAAAAGCATTTTTTAAAGCTTTTGGTGAAACATCCTTGTTTAGTGACCATGAATGAGACTAGAGAAGATAATCTTTTCAGATAGGAAAATAAGAAGATAAAGATAAATTTATTTTTAGAAGGAAACCTACTTTCTGGATAATTAGTGTTTCTATCTGATAAGGAGCTAAGTATAACAATTTCTGGGTCTTACGATAATCTGGTTTGTCTTATATTGATGATGGAAAAATAAAGTGAAATAAACTCACTGCTGAAATAATGAGAGGCTGTGTGGGAAAGAACTCTTGAGACAAGTAGGTAAAGTGAGATTGCGGGAGCAATTGATACCCAAGTGGAGCCCGTTCAGAGTGACAGAATATACTAAGTGCTTGAAAGTGTTTGTGTGGAAAATATACTTCCAAGTTACTTTTTTTGAACAGTGAAAGCTTAACTTTAAAATGCAAGGTATTTGTCAACATTATCTGAAACACCGGACTGGAGGCAAATGTTTCAACATATTTGTTTTCTTACAATTAAAGTTAAGCTGACATGTTGAAAAGATGGTCTTCAAAGATATTCAGAGGCTGCTAAATTTTTGTCAATAATTAGCCTTCACTTTGCTTTATAGACAAGGATGTCATATTTTTTTCTCCTCACATTTGCCAAGTAAGGATTTTCACTTTTAAATTTCCTCATCCTGGTGTTTGCATTTAGGCATTTCAAACAGACTCTTCACCCTCAGCCACCATGTGTAGTATTGCATTTATGCATTCAACTTCTTACTCAAGTGATGCTATTTTTTTCTGCCTCAGCCTGACAGCCACTAATAATAACACATGAGGACAGTCAGACAAAATGAAGACAAATGCTGCTTGTCGCAGCAGAATCATAATGTCTCCAGACTCAGTAAAGACAGTCTAACTGTATGTGGATGCTCTTTATAGCTTATTTAGACCTGTGGTTTTTCCCTGTGTTTTTTTTTTAAAGCACAAACATTGTGCAGAAATACATTAAGGCAACATATGGGCCTGTTAGTTAGCCAAAACAATGTGGAACCATGGAGAATAGAGATTGCAAAGCACAGATGGATACTGTAAAAAATTCATGAGTGGCATAACAGATCTAAAAGGTAAATTTTAGTCAAAATTCAAGTGGAAAGCATAGGAAATACTTAAGAATTTGGCTTTATGAGGTTTTTCAAATCACACAAGATGAAACATTGTGAATATTCTACAGATTTGTTTATGCCATAATGTGAAAATCAGAGCCCATCATTCAACAATAATTATGTCTATATAGATTCATGCCATCAGAAGTAGATTGCTGATAAACAATAGCGCTTTGCTTCTATTTGATGTAAATGCTGCAGTATTAAATATCCATATTATTTCCAGCTCAATATTAGAAAGTGTCAGTCATTGTGACAAGCCAGGCAAGAGGAGCTCATTGAGCCGTCCTCTGTGTAGCCAAGTGCTGTCGAATAACCAGGTTTTCATGCTATATTACTTTGTTGTTAAAATTGAGTTCTAAGCAGTAAATTGGCAAATCATTTTTTCCTCTTTTACATTTGGTTCTTTTAACTATACCTGAAGCCTCAAGGAGACGCTGGATTTGTATGTGTATATAATCAAGATGTACCTTGAATTTTTCAGAACCCTTGTTTTTTGAAGTTGTCCGTACTGTGACTTATCATTGTTGTCTTTTCTTAGAAAAAAAAAGTTATGATCCCAGTATAGGACCATCCCAATAAAGGTGTGTCTTTGAACCTCTCACTACAGCCCATCACATTCATAGAATATCCTTAAGAGCTATTTTTCAACAAAGGAATTTTGCCTAGTGAAAAAAATAATTTGGTTCCTAAATTTTTGCTGGGGTGAGATGGGGGAGAAAGCAGAAAGGAAAGGCAATTGTTCTGTATATCTGGATTTCTAATGACCTTAAGTGACCTTGTAAATGAAAGCTGCCTTTAAAAACACAATTAAGTTCTAATCATAGAAGCATTTCCCATATAGAAGCTTTTTTTTTTGTATGTCAGGTTGAGAGTGATATCATGTGAAATTCAGAAATTCAGATATGTTTTGTCTTTTTGTTGCTAGAAATTTAAAGGGTAGTAAATTATTCTCTGTATGAAGGTTTAGGCAATATTCAAGGTGATCTGCTAGATACTTTAAAATCTTAAACATTGGGTAGACAAGTTGTATTGAACTTACTTTTTATAGTCAATGATACTGTTAATGAATAAATTTAGAGAGGACTCTGTTATATCTTGAAAAGACCAGTACATTATTTAAACAACCAGAGAGTTATTTGGTATTAAGAAGAAAGATGATTAGATTGAAAGATTGAAAGTGGACACTATGGATAGGAAGTAAATGAAACCACTTCTTTAACTGGAGTAGTTTTTAATTTTTGAGTTTTTTTCTATAGGTAACATAAAATAGGGATGGGTTTTGTAGTTGGCTTTTCATTCTTGGCACTAATGCCACTGTTGGGACCTTGAGACAGCAAATTGAACTTTCTGATAGTTGTCCTAATAGCTCTTTCAGGCTGTATTTGGTGTCCTTAGTGAATTAAAGTTTGCATTAGTGAACCCACTGAGCAGCGGCCAAGACTAATTCTCGGCTCTGTATGACATTTCACACATTGTCAGTTCTTAGTAAGTGTTATATGATAACATTTTGAGATTCTCATCTGAGAGTTGATGGGGAAATATCAAATAGTGTATATGAGGTTTGCCAACTAAGATGAGCCCAGTTCAAAAGTATGTTGTAGGGGATAGGTAAAGATGGCAGTGTTTTGTCTCCATTAAATAAAAGATAGATTTACTCCTGAAATTTAACAAGAAGGTCTGAGAAAGACTATAAGCAAGAAAAAAGAATGAAGAGACAGAGAAATAGGTAAAAGTAAAAGGGATACAGGTATAAAGGGAAATTATATTTCTTCCTTACCAATTATACCTTCTGTCCCTATGGTGATTCTAAGAAGGATATGGAAAATGTCAGATATACTAGAAATATGTGTGTATGTACATATTTAAAAGCATATATATGTACCTTCTCCTACTAAAATGAAAGCTTCATGAGGGCAGAGTCCCTTTTATTCTCATCTATCCCTAGGACCTAGAAGATTACCTGTAAGAGTAGACACTCAAAATATATCTGTTGAATGAATTAACTTCTTAAGAACATAATTTTCCATATGTTTCTACTGTTATCTAAGCAATTATAGATATGTTGAACTCTCTTTGAAAGTGTTAGTTTGGTTAATACTTAAGTCACAAAGATTGATGCAAAGGAGCACATATTAGCTTAGAGACATGCCGTCTCAGATGTATGGAGAGAAATGGAATAGTGGAATTTTAAAATTCAGTTGAATGAATTTGTCTTCTTCCTCTGATTAAGAGCCCCATAATGATCAGGTCACTTAGTTTATTCAGTGTGGAAGACAGAGTGGGTGGAGGGACCACCCAGCAATAAACATACTTGATAAAAACATACCTAGTGCTTTTCTAAAACAACTACATGTAGTTATAACATTACCTGCCTCCTGTGTTTAAGTATGAGGAGCAGAATCCGCTGGACATTTTGAAGGCAGGTCGGAATTCTCCGCTAGCAGTTTTGAGGACAAGTTGGGTTGTCTGAACAAGTCTAGAACTACAATTTCACACCTATGTAGCCAGAGATGAAGAAGGACATAAATAGTATTGATGGTCAAGGCTTTTTAAATTGATTCTCCCTGCTGACAGTAGACTTTTTGCTTTTTTATGGGATTCAAATTATTTAATTTTGTTTAATTTATGTACTCTCAGTACATTCACTACAGGGACATGTGAGATGTAGTTGGTTGCATTTGACATTGTCTTTCAATACAACAATTTTACCCAAATATACCTTGCTAAAAGTCACCGAAAGCAGAATCTGTGACAGGAAATGCATGCTTTTATTCTGATCCCATCTTGATACATGTCAGAGTAGGTAATATACATGTTAATATCCATTTTATTTGTTATTGCTGGTACAAAACATGTATGTATATATATCATGTTTTAAGAGAAATATTAAAAAGGAGACAAACGTACTTTAGTTCAAGAAACATATTTTGAACACTTATTATATGCCAGGCAGTGAGAGATTCATTGGGAACAAGAAGAAGTAAAGTTCTTCATGTATATTTTAGTCAAGGAGAAAAAGCAGACTTTAAATAAATAACTGTAGGTGTTGTAAGTGTTCAGAGAAGGGTACTATGGAAGTTTATAGCAAAGTACATTAACTTAGATCAAAAGCAAGTCAAAGAGAATGACAGATTCTAGAAAGTTATGATGTAGTGAGAGGGAGAGAGTGAAAAGAAACCAACCTGTCTACCTACCTCCTTCATTCCCTCCATTTTTTCCTTCTTCAAAAATTGAATATTTAATAGATATTGATTGAATATCTATCATGTGTCCAGCAAAGTGCTCAACTCTGGTGAACAAAAACAAATATAGGTTGCATGAAGGTGACAAAACACTCATTAAACAATCACACATGAAAACAAAATTGCAGCTATAACAAATGCCCTCAAGGAGAGGCAAATGGTGCCACATGAGCATGAATTGACTTGGCCTGGTTTGAAAGGTATGATTTCCTTGAGAAAGTGATACTCAAGCTGAAATCCAAGAGATAAGTTGGAGTTGACTAGGAGCCCAAGAAGGCTAGAGCATATTAGGCAAAGAAAATAGCATGTGCGGGGGCCCAGTGGCTTAGACTTAAAAGAAGGCTAAAGTGGCTAAAGCTGAGAGAACAGAAGTGCCAAGATGAGAGGCTTAGTGAGGACACCTGGAGAACCTTGATGGCTGGGTTCAGACTGCAGACCAAGATGCCCATGAAGGGTTTCAGGCAGAGGTTGTATGATCAAACGCAACTACTTTAACTATAGTCAGAGAAGGAATTAGATGGGGGCAAGCCTGGAGGTCAGGGCACTGGGGGTGGAGGCTACCATTATCTAGGCAATGCATGATGATCCCCATGAGCCTGGGAATGGTGAAAGAATGAGGAGAAGGAATGAACTTAGGAAATATTTAGAAATATAATTTATGACTGATTGGAAACAAGGTATAAAGGATAAGAAGGAGTGATAGACGATGCCCACATTCTCCCTTGGACAGCAAAGGGAAGGTGATGCCAATCCATAAGTTAGGGAATATGGGAGGAGGGGGAAGTGTTAGAAGGGGGTGGGAATAGTGAGCTCCATTGGATCATATTGAGTTTGAAGTGTCTGGAGACATCAAGTGGATGAGAAATCATTTGGACATAGAGGCCTGGAGCCCACAGGGGGATTAGTGAACAGATACAGGTATGGGCACCATCTGTAAACAGATGGAATTGAAGCAACTCAGAGTCTGGGTAAGGTTGAAGGACTATGTGTAAAAACAGAACAGGTCTGATTTATGGATAATGCTACTACTTAAAGATTGTGGGAAAGAATTAGCAGTGATAGAGATGTAGAAGGAAAACCAAGGGAGGATAATGCCAGTGCCATGGAAGCCAAGAGAAAAAGAGTGTTTCGGGAAAAACAGACAATAAACAGCATCAAACACTGTGGAAAATCAAGTAGGACCAGGCATGAAAACATCTATTATAATCAAGAGGATTATGGTGAGACCATGGTGAAAACATTTTTGGTGGAATGAAAAGTATGCAAGGCATATTGAAATGGATTGATGCGCCAATAGGAGATAAGGAGATGGAGGGCACTTATCATTTGAAGAGTTTGTATTTAAATGAATGAGTGAAATAGAGCTCTACCTAGAGGAAGATATGGAGTTGAAAAGGGATGTTTTTAGATGGCCAGGAGTTGATGAGTTAGTTACTTTTATGTGATTGCAAGTAATGGAATACCTAACTAGTGGTGGCTTTATTAAATACCTTTATTATTTATCTCATATAATAATACTTGAGATGAGTGGATTCAAGGTTGCTGCAGGGCCTCAAAAATATACTCAAGCCAGATTCTCCCTGTTTCCACTCCACCTTTTTTTTTTTTTTTAGCATGTTGGCTTTGTGTTCATGTGCTTGACATGTAATAGACACTAGCAAGCTTCTTCAGTTCCACATGACTTCATTTAAAGCAAAAACAAGGAATGTGATTTTTGTGCTCTGTCCTTTTATACGGGAACAAAATGTGTCCCCAGATTTTCCTCATTCCTACTCTTTCAGACTTGTTTTTGTATCGTCTTGTACACACTGAGTTATTTGCCCATTTCTAAATGAACAATTAACAAAGGAGAATGCAGTTATCAAACATGGTTTACATCAGGGGTAATGAACCTGCAGCATCAGCACCTCACGGGAACTTGTTAGAAATGCAGATTCCTAGGCTTCATCTCAGTCATACTGAATCAGAAACTTGGGTGGGACCTAGCAGTGTGTTTCAAACAAGCTTTCTAGGCAAGTGATACATTGTTCAAACTTGAGAACCATTGGTTTAGACTCATCAGGTCATCTTCTGGTGCTAGAGAGAGGACTTATATTCACTGAGCTTACTGCTTTCTTATGCCTGTTGCAGACACAGAAGAGTGTTTGCCACCACTGACTGTATTTCAACATCAAGTAATCAGCCAGTAAAGGGACAGAATGAAGATAAGACAGGGATGAACTGAGAAAGGAGATGAGAGTGCAAGAGATTCATGAACTCAGATTCCACCTCCATGTTAAGAAGAAAGCATGAAGAAAAATGTGGATGCAGAAGCAGATAGGCTGCTAGGAGCAAGATTGTAACTTCTCTTGCATTGGGCTCAGATGAAGCCTCCTGGCAGGGAGGGAGGTGTGGTGGAGGTAAGAGCTAAGATTGTGGAGAAGGTTTAAATCTCTTCAGAGAAGCAGGGAGCTTGCTAACCTGGAAACCTCTGAATGTAGATGAGATCATGGACCTCCCTGCGTTGGTAAACCTGAGTTCGGAGTGGACTGAGCTGCCTGGCTATGTCACATGCAACAGAGGACACAGGCTTGTAGCTGAAGATAGTTTGATTACTTTAGGGTTGAGGCTTTGCCAAGAAGAGTGTAACAGAATATCATGAGCGAGGATACTTAGGATATTGTTAAGGGAGAGATTGAAGTGATGAACCAAGGAGTTAGTGCTGAAGAGGAGGGAGAGTGCAGATGGGGTACAGGGGAGGGTTAGTCTATGAGCCCAAAGTCACGTTTCTGTCTTCCTCTTTATACATTTAGTAAGAACCATTCTAAGGAATGGATCAAATGATTTCTGTATTCTTAAGAAAATTACAAGTCTCATTTGTATTATGTCCTCCTCTCACTTTATCATGGAAAGTTTGAGATTTGTTTGAAGGTGTCACATTTGCAGTGAATTGTGGCAAATTTTTCCTTACCCCTCAATTGTAGGACTTTATGCAGGAAAATAAGCCAGAGGCTTTCATTTGGCTTACCTTGACTGCTTTTTGACCTGTTTTGTTTTTCTTTACTGATGGATAACACTTTTTACAGGCATGATTTTGTAGGCCGTGCACAATCTTGGTAAGCCATATGTATAATATAAGATAGAACACTGACTTTTATCCAGCTGGACTTTTTGTGCTCTTATCCTAGCAGAGAGATAGTTACAATTTCTTAATGTACTTGATAACTTGAAAAATATTAAGATTTTATTTTTATGAACACTGTCTCCTAAGAGCTATGGGATGGTCCTTGTTTGAGAAGACGATTCTCTGCTTATATGCATGCAAAGTAGCCACTGTACATCTCAGCTGTGGCCCATACTGAACCTCAAGCCTGTTCTCTCTGCCACCTGACATGTTCCTCCCTAGGTTGTCCTTAAAAAGTACAAACCAGTAGTAATCATATTAATTGAAAATAATTAGGCACACAGATTTCCTGTTACAAACATCATAAAGTAAATTCCACAACCAGAAAGGCATTACTTTTATACGGTGCTGTGTTTTGGAACATCTGTCGTCGACTTCTTTTATGTTCCCCAGTATCTAGTGCCGGAGCATCACCCTCTCCGTGAATGGGACTAAGGAACAGTGAGATGCCCACAGCTAGACATTCACGATGGGAGTAGAGCATAATGAGACTGTGTTCCTGTTGAACTTTGAATCTGATTCTAACAGTGATTACAAGAGAGAAGAGCCAAATACTTTGAATGTCAATAAAATTGTTGGAATATAAATTACACAAGGGCAAGGATTTTGCTGATTTATTCATAGCTGTATTCCTAACACTCAGAAGAAGGGCTGGCACATATAGGTGCTCCAATAATATTTGTTGACTGAATAAGTGACTCTTTGCAGATCAATATTCTTATATAAATTCTCATGTCTGTCAATAAAATAGGTCATATATCTTGGTAGTAATGTTGGTAGTGGAGACCATCATTTCCAGGGAATGAGAAAAAGTCAAAATACATACAGTTGCTATGAATGTTTATATAAACATAGATATTAGAATCTTGGCCAGGCAGTTTGGGTGTTTTGTTATAGTGGTAGTTTGTGTCACAGACAAATTTCGTTGAATATAAGATGAAGAATCTATAGGCTCAACTCAATACATAATAACTTAGAATATACCTGAGGCCTTCCAAAGAGGTTTTTCATTCCATGGAGAGATGGTCTTTGCTGTAAGACACCAGAGAACTGATCTAGTGCATGGATATTAAAATTAGGTAGACCAGGGTTCAATTTTCCCATTCTACCACTTGCTACCTGTGTGACCATGGACACATTTTTTAACTTCTCTAAACTTTGGTGTCCTTCATCTGTACAATGAGAATACTTATATCTATTTCATAGTATTATTAGAATTGAATAAAATATATACAAAATACTTAGCAAGTGCACATAGTGAGCACTTGATAAATGGTAGCTGTTATTATCAGCTGTAATTAGTTCTTAAAGTCTGCCTACAGATTTGTTTATAGATGTATATAAATCCATACCTATGTTTGCTGGTTCTAAATTCAAATAAAGTAGTGTAAATTACAAGGTTGCTAATGTTGAACATTAATGTTCATTCTAGATGAAAACATGAAAATCTTACCTCCTCCAGCAACTAATTTAATCTGGTTGATTAGGAAATGTTCCTTTATGAAAATGATCCATTCACACTTTAAGTGGATGTTTACAGGTGTTTAGACTCACACTGAGCACTAAGCTTAGACTTAAACTAAGGGTGGACGTCAGATCATTTGTAAACATAAACTATGCTATCTCCATGAGAAAAATGACCTTTCTTCAAATCCCTTGAGTACTATGATTGTCATTGATTTGTATAAGATGAGCAATCTTCTTTTCCAGGCTAGATCATTGGTTTCCGTATTTTAAATAATTAAAATCATTCAGCTCTTACCTAGGAAATACTAGCTCTACAATATAGTAGAATTAGATCCATAGATCGCCTTTTCACTATTTTTAAGGAATAGTAATAAAACTAGACACTATTTGGAGAAAAGAAACCAAAATAGCGAGGAGGTTGGAAATTACATCCTTTGCTGTTTGTTGGAGAAACTACAGATGTTTGAGCTAAGGAGATTTAAAAAAAGGTACTGGAGATAAGAGAGTGTTCCTAGTATATTTGTAAGGATGTCATGTAGAAGTGGATGAAATGACACCTTTGTATTCACAGAGGGAAGATTAAAAATAAATAGGTAGATGTTAAAAGATGTCACACTTTGGTATTAGTCAAAAGAACCAGCATATGTAAAATACATAATAATGTTTCCAGGTTCCAGCAAGCTCATGTCCTTCCCAGGCGAATGTAGCTGGTTACGGGTTGAGTCAAAACCCACATATTGTCACTTAAATCCAGGATGGTGGTGGTGTTTAACCCTATGCTATCTCTTGGATCTTCAGGAAGTTTAGATCAACTGTTTAGGGACTTGTACTGTAGAGACCAAGCCCAACGACCTAGTTTTCTACACGCAAATTAGTTTTATTCAATTCTGCAACCATACCCAACATCATCTTCTTAGCCATCTATCTTACAGTTGATGCTGTTGATTAAAACAGAGCACAGCATGTACTGAGGTGTCACCATTAATGAAAAAGCAATTTACAAGGTACTTCCTTTTGACCATGAGTGAGTAATGTCATCCTTATATGAGAAGAACAGTATACTGATTTTAGGGTAAGTTGTGAAGTTTCCCAGAAGCACCATATTTATGGATGTATTTGGATCTCTGCCTATGAGGATGAGCAATGAGGAAGTTCAAAAGAATGAGCTTTAAGAAACAGAACTAAAAAGGTACATTTTGAAAGTTGGATGTTATGATGATATGTGCTGCCTGGCTCTCCACTGCTTCAAAGAATTTGTTCTAAATTGTTTCTGTTTTCCATGTTTCTATGTAGAAAATTGCAAAGCTAAAATTTCTTCCCTATTGCAGATGCCCTTGGGGACTAAATCAAGAGTCTGAGGGCAGAGTGAAGCTCAGGATTCTCTGCAGATAAATGGCTCATCTGGTCAGCTCAATAGGGATGTGACCCCTTCATCATTTAGATACAAGGGGGTGTTGTTAGTGTCATTTATGGAGCTGTTGGTCTAGAAAATCAAAGCGTAATCTGGCTTGGTATTTTAAAAACCTCAGGAAAACGAGGCTTGATGAGGATTGTAAAATAAAAGGTGCTTGTTGTTGCTCTTGCAAGCACTTAGATCAACCCAGGGTCAAAATCCAGTGGTATAGGACAAAGAGCAGACCCAGTTTCCTGCCTCTATTTCTTCCCCTTCCCCTCCCCCATTCTTCTTTTCCTCCGCCTTCCCTTCAGTTCTTCTTTCCTTCATTTTTCTCTAGGAAAGCAAAGAGTAAAATATTTTCCTAGGAGTAGAGAATAAACTGGTAGGTTATAGTTGTCTTTGACTTGTTAACGATCACACTGGCTCTCCTTGGGTCTTTGGGTCATTTATCATGTGGTCCTCGTCTAGGATTTGATCAGATTCTTAGAGCATGGGTGGCCTAGCAGAGTACATGTTATGGCTCGAGTTCTAATAGGATTTTTCCTTCTCCCCTCTCCCAACTACACTCCCACTCCCGGGGTGTCTGCACTGTGACAAGACAACTGTTCCTCACCCAGCAGTTTGAAAGCACTGATTTTGCTGACACTTTGATATTATTCTAGAGACATAAGCCAGGCAACAGAACTGGCATCAGATCTCCTCAGACACTAACGTGAGTGCCCAGGGAAGGTTGTAGATGCACATTTGATTTCCACATCTATCTTCTCCCTGCAAATTAAATTATTAATTTTCCCGCATGTCTTCTTGTTTAATGAGAGGAGTGGTGGCCTTTATCTGTGCACGTGTGCAAACAAAACATCACAGCAGGGGCTCCTGAACTGCCCAGAGAAGCTGAGGGGTTTAAGCAGTCAGATGCAACTGTCTTGGTACAGTCAGTGTCATTTGCCAAAGTCTGTCTGGCTGTTGGCATCATAAACATGGAAGCATGCAGACTCCAGTGCATATCCTCACATACATATCCGAAGATGAAAGCTCCTTTTACAAATACAAAGGAAAGATCAAAAGAGGAAAAATAATGGCATTTAAAATGCACGTGGGAAATGCAAAATTATATAATGTGATTGTTTTTCTGGGTTCCATTAGAGTGGTGCTATTTTCTGAGATGATACCGTGTTGGTTGATTACTTTTCCATGTTTGAGATAATAAGTACTCACATCAACATGATTTTTGATTTGTTACTATACAAGTTCTACCACATCTGGCTTTTCCAGCCTCTCATGTTAACATCTCACTAGTTAAATACATGTATTAACTTTTCCTGGTCTTTAGTGTCACTGAATACCAGGAGGTAGCTCTGATTTGGCAAAAGGTCTACATGTATTCATATAAGTTGTTTATTATAAGAATTACTTAAACATAAAAAATTTATATATTGCTTTTGTTCACTTAAAGGCCATTAAACATTCTTTGTTTTATTTCATGCTATTTGAATATTGGAATTGCTGTCGATTCTAGAACAATGTGATTCATGTATCCTGATTCTAGAGTGTTGACTTTATGGCTGCATGACATAGAACAAAATCCATCTTAGTGATTATGAAGGATTTTAGATTGCTATTTTAAATATTTGTTATCTCTCGCCTTTGTTTTATAAATGTCAATATCTTCTTTAGGGATCTAGAGTTCACCTTTTCTCATCAAGTGAAATGATGTATCCATTTATTAAAATTGAATGTGAACTGTAAGGTTGACCTGAATGAAGAGTCAATTTTGATGATTCTTTTTTTATATTTTAGAAGCTGTTGAGAACTCCCAAATTAAGAACATGATAATCTCTGTGGGTCCCCTCTCCTAACCCCACCTATTACTTACTCTATTAAAAAAATATGATTTTCTGAATTGTTACACAGCCTAGCCTTCCCATTTTTCAAAAATGATGTCACTCAGAAGTCCATGTGAAAGGTATTAGTCTGATCAACTATAGCATTTTTAGTATTACTCATATATAATATGGCATATAATGTGTCATATCATTTTATGTTTGAGAATACATAGTTATTTCTTAAAAACATTAATAGAAATGAGAATCAGTATATAAAGAGAAAAGTACTTTTCTTGTATAGGTACATCTAAATCATTTATAAAGGAAAAAATTCCACAGAGCTCTCACCACCCCTCCACTGGGCAGAAGGGAGCAATCTTTCATTGTCAACTGTAGTTTCTAATAAAAGGAGCGAGTTTGTACAGTCATTGCTTAACAATATATTCCTTTGGGAAAAAATTGGTTTCCCTTTAGTAAAATGTTCCTGTGCATTTGGTTTGTGTTGCTATGTAAGTGTAATTAAATGCACATCTATTTACACAGCTTGTGAGGACTTATTAGTTGGTTTTGCTTGCATTTCATAAGAATATCTGGCCTTAATCACTTTATATTTTCATAGGACAAGTATTATGAAAATCTCATTCACTTGTAAATACATGAAATTACAATCTCTAGGAAAATGGTTTGTAAAACCATTGGCTGGTTTGGAATAAATCTTTGCTAAACCTCAATATAATTTATTAAAAGTACCATGTTGACTCCACTTTGAACAGTGGCCTCATTTCTCATGTTCTGTTTCAAAGGAGCCCTCTGCTGGACAGCTCTGTGTGATATCACATGCACGCATATATTTATATATGATTTATAGGCTATAGTTAATATAACCCAAAAGCCATTTATGATTGAAACTCTATCGTTGCAAATTGAATGCATCACTGAAACCTGTTTTGTCATCACTTTTTCATATTTAATGAACAAGCAGTTGTCTAAAAATAAAATGTTCATCCTTAAAGTTTACTGTAAATCACTGTACATCAGCATATTCCCACACATGAGATAATCGTACTAAATGAACATTCATTACCAATAATTTTAGTAATGAATTATTCAGCTGATATGCAATTATCACACACATTTCTAAAGCAATTACTTTATTACATAGGTATTCCATGTCATTGATTTTACTTGTCTATATTACATATGTAAATATAGAAATCTTTGCTTTTACCATACGTTCAAATGCAAAGGGATTTTTAATGTTTATTTGTTCAATGTCATCAAGTTGTGAGGATGTATGGTTAGTATTAACTACATTTTAAGAAACTTGCAAATGTCAGAAAATTGCTGTGATAAAATGAGGCAGGAACAAATAAACACAACCCAAAAATCGTGGACCATGAGGTTATAGAAATGGTATGTTTTTCTGAGTAGCTTGTCAGTAGGCTCATATTATTATCAATTATATTTTTAAAGCTGCTGTTATTCAAGGCAATGATAAATAACGACTTGAAATTATAGTCCCATGTACATTTAGCCTGGGAAACAAGATGGTATAGGGAAACCACACAGCATCATAAAGCAAACGCAGTCTTTGAACTTACAGAGACTGAGTCCAAATCCTGCCTTTCTGACCCTGAATTATTTAACCTCATCTCCAGAAACAGTCTCAGAAAGTTGTGGTAATGAGAAATGGCATAATGACATATGTCAAGTGGCTAGCACGTGACCAGGTAACTTTGAAATGGGCTGCTGGAATGTTCTCCATACATTTGGAGGCAACTACTTTGTTTCTCAGGGCAGACTTATATTGCTTTTCTTAGCAAGCAGCAGCCAAGATAGGGCCTTGTACTCTTGGACTTCATTTATATGTAGCACACTAAGTATTATGAAACAGAAGTCATAAGTAGTGTGATAATTGTTTTAGGCAATAGCTCATCTTTCAGACTTTGGAGTTAAGCCCTAACTCTAGGTCAAAAGCCTGAAAACAGCCTTTTCTGTAAAACAGCATAACCAATGTGAGCCATGAAAGTTTCGGTCACTGTAGACATCTTTTTAAAAATTATTTTCAAAATGAATATAAATGATTGTTTCAGAACAGTTTAATAAAACATACTAGGCCGGGCATGGTGGCTCACGCCTGTAATCCCAACACTTTAGGAGGCCGAGGTGGGCGGATCACCTGAGGTCAGGAGTTCGAGACCAGCCTGGCTAACAAGGTGAAACCCCGTCTTTACTAAAAATAACAAAAATTAGCTGGGCGTGGTGGCAGGCGCCTGTAATCCCAGTGACTCAGGAGGCTGAGGCAGCAGAACCGCTTGAACCCAGGAGGCGGAGGTTGCAGTGAGCCAAGATTGTGCCATTTTACTCCAGCCTGGGCAGCAAGAGCAAAACTCCGTCTCTAAATAAATAAATAAATAAACAAACAAACACAGTAATCAAATTTCTGTAGTTGGCCAGGTGTGGTGGCTCACACCTGTAATCCCAGCACTTTGGGAGGCCAAGGCAGGCAGATTACTTGAGCCTAGGAATTTGAGACCAGCCTGGGCAATATGGTGAGACCCCATCTCTACAAAAAATACAAACATTAGTCAGGCATGGTGGTGCACACCTGTAGGTCCAGCTGCTTGGGAGGCTGAGGTGGGAGGATCACTTGAACCCAGGAAGTGGAGGTTGCAGTGAGCCGAGATCACACCACTGCACCCCAGCCTGGGTGACAGCAAGACCCCATCTCAAAAAAAAAAAAATCCATAGTTAACAATGAAATAGAATGACAAATGGCATAGACTGAGAAAGTATTGTCAAGTCACTCCTCATTTGTTCTGTCTTTGTTATTCACCCATTAAAATTCACACTGCAGGAAGTTGATTCTTTCTTTTGAACACTGTTTTTAAAAAATGCTACATAAAGCTTTGTGTTAGCTTATATATGAGTTTTTAACAGAAATATAAACAAGTATCAAGAATATAGTACGAGTTGAATAAATTTTGTTTAAATAAATAAAAATTGAATGAACGGATCATTCACTCTTCTAGCAGAAGACTTTAAAATATTCTTCAGTAGATGATGCACCAAGCTAGACTTGCACTGGGAGGAAAATTGTCAATACAGAGCTATAGGGCCAAAGAGTTCAGTAATTTTGAGGGGGGTGTGGTTGGGAGATGGGAACCTATACACATAGCAGCAGCAGAAATGTTTTCAAGGTCAAAAATATTGGGAGGGAATAGACTCACCTGCAGATTGGAGATGTTTAATTCAGTGATCTTAGTCTCTCAGACTTCTGCAAAAGTTATGCGTCCAATGTGAACAGAAACACATTGTTTCTACTCATCAAACACATCAAACACATCTACAAAACATTTGTCCAGTGTGAAATCCATCAGTCATAACCCATCAGCCATCATTAAGTGGATCAGGTGGAAAATTTAGAGAGAAAGAGAATAGATCAAAGGGCAAAACCTGGTCAAATAAGATTGGCTAAAAAGTTTTAGGTTTGATGAGCTTAGCTAGCCTTAAATTGAATATTTGGGATATTTTAATAAAATTTTTGTAAATGTCTTTTAAAAATAAAATCATGTTGCTGTCATTTTGGTTTTCTATTTTGCAAGTGTTCTGGGATCATCCTGTACATAAAACCCAAGTTAAGAGTTCATAATTTTATGAAGTCCTATCTTTGATATTTCTCTTTCAGATAATACATTAATTTTTAACACATTTGGATAATTTCCTGCCTAAATATGTTGAATATAATAGAATTCTGGATTTATGTCACAGAGAATACTTGATTTTTTTTAACCATTCATGTTAAATGATGATCAGATATTGGCTAATACAGAGCCCATAGGCTTCCAAGTTCTAGGCAATGGCTTAGGCCCTGGGACTACATAAATTAGATTTCTTTACCCAAGGGTGGAGACAGACAAATGTATATAATTAAACCAAACATGCTAAATCCTATCTGCCCCCCTATGTCCTGTCCCTTTCGATGTACATAGTGTTATAATGGCTAATGAGTATGATGTTATATTTACCAGTGCCATGATCATCTTCATCATCATCATCCATTTATATTAACAGTGTACACAGAACAAGTGCTGTTCTACCTTCTTGATTTTATACAGAGCAGTGTCCCTTGAGGCCTCGCAGACATCACAGGTTGTCCTAATAAAGGGCCACTGTGTCTGTGAGAAACTGCTGGTGCCCTAGAACAGTAATTCTGCAGCCGATCCAGCCAGCCATAAAAGAGGAGTCAGGCACATTTCTAAGAACCAAATATCCTTTGACTCATTTCTTTGCAGTTACACAAATGTCAGTATGCCTGAAGTTGAGTCATCTTAGTCATAGAAGGGGAGTGGTGGAAAGAAAGCATGAAGAATGGGTGATTTCGAGAGGTGACTCCTTTCTCGTGCATGTAAGTTTACCGTCATGCCAGCAAGTCCTCCGCTGACCAGTAGATGCATGCAAATGTTATCTCTAAGTAAGACAAATTAAACATAGACATGTGCTTCAAGAAGGGCTTCAATAGATACATGGATTTTTAAAAATTTATAATAGCTAATTAAGGGGATCAAGGGGCAAGTGTGGTATATTTCAACACACCTTTAAACCTTTTGACGTTAATATTTTGGACATATTAACTGCTTATTTCAATGACTGTGGCATGTACACATCAGTGTGCTAGATAGCGGAAACACTAAACCACAAAAAGTTCCTTCCTGAAAAGTCTCCCCAAATCTGTTGTCTTTATCTTGTTTCATTGTGTCTAAGATCCTGGAAATGAAACTGCTGTTTTTATAAAGCAGCATTTCAAATATTGTCTACCATTCTGTATCTGTGTTCCTCAAAGGTCAGTGCATGTATTTAAATTTCTCCCACATATTCAAGCATTGCTGTGTATTTTCATCCAATTTACAACCTATTTCTTCAGTGTGAACAATTAATTTTCCTGAATAAATATGTATATTTGGTTCGGATACCCTTGAGGCTCTTGGGGCACAATTCAGATGCATACATGGAAACTGTTCAACTAACTTGCAACTAGTTAGAAATCTGAGAAACCAAGGACATTGACTTTTTTAATTAGGAAAAACAACAACTCTTCCTTATTGAAATTCTAGCTGTTGTGCCTTAATTTCCTATTCTGATGTTTTCATTTTGAGGCTAGTTAGTTCTGGCCCACACTACCCCTACAATTTTGCTTACTTTTGGGCTTTTGAAAAACGTGTAAAATCATCCAATGAGAAGTAAAAACACATATGGAGTAACAGCCTCTAGTGGTGACCACAAGTCTGTGAGCCTAGAGGCTGCAGTCCATGACATGCACGAAGGCAGCGCAGGAGTTAGGTGATTGATATTTGTTGTTGTTGTTATTTTATTTCTATCATTCAAAGCTATATAAGAAGGTATGATCAGTTTCTGTTTTGTGTTATGTCTTCTAATTAGTTGATCTCATCAGCAGTCTGATGAGGGAACTGGTTTTAAAAATTCACAGAGATGGTGATTTCTAATGTAGATTCCTAAGGCGGTATAGAACCAATTTTTCCAAGCTTGCCTGCTTGGGGAAGAGGAAACAGTGCTGAGAAGTTACCTGATATATCTGTGGCCATAGAGAAAGTCAGGTTAAGAAGGACATGACTTATAATTGAAACCCTTGGTCCCTGAGCTTTTATCCACTTAATAGTTTTCTACCATCTGGATTCTAGAGTAGAGTATTCAAGGAATCCAATTGACTGTCCCAAATAGAGTGGCCTTTAATCTTCCCACAAGATTGATAAAGAGAGGGAGAGTCCTTTACTGGAATAAATAGCCCTTCCTTTTGAGAGGACAACCACTTCAGGATTGAGCTGGGTTGAATAATAGAAAAGAAAGTGGCATAATTTGACTTTGACTCTAACTATTGAGTGATGGAAATATTTTAAATACTTGTAGCCCACATAGACACTGTCAAATCGACATTATGGACTAGTATATTCACATAGCCTTACAGAAGTAATGACCACAGCCAGGGCTTCCCTGTCACAACTTTTCAGATGTGGTAGGGTAGACCATGTGTTCAAGGACCAGGAGAATTTGCCAGCCTCTCACCAAAATCTTCATACATTCCAAGGTAGCCTATTTCTTCCCCCTTATTTTCCAGTATATTTCCAGCATTGTCTGTTTATAGTTGTTAAAGTGTACAACATTTAAGTTGGCTAGGAATTTTATAATGAAGATGTAAAGGGGAAATTAAGATAGAAGGCATTGAAGTGCTGAAAATACACTGTATCGCGTTTGGAAAATAATATATGTATGTCAGTCAAATGAAGATAGAAATTTTCTTGATATTTAAAAAAACAACTGATAATGTGACTTCATGTGAAATTTCTTGATGCTTACTGAGCATAAAAAACATAAATGATAATGTGATTTCATGTGGAATTCCTGGTGGTTACTGAGCATAGAAAAGATGACATGCATTGCAGTGAGACAGATCATACTCTTACCCCATTTTTATGTGTTATTGAAATAAAGTGCTGCATGTAAGCAGCTTTTCCATAGTGAAGAGCAGTAAGACTCTCCATGTGGCAGGGAAATGTAACGGAAGGCGAACTACTGCTGAAACTTACCTTTCCTGGCCGAATGGGGGAAGCACAGGGGGAAAAAAAGACATCATAGCAAGATTTTTCAATAGTTAAACAGTAGCATGTGAAATGGAGGCTGAATTGCAAGGCTGAATCAGAGACAAGGAGGGTATTACAGGGTTGTAGAAGAATTGCTCAAAAAGGAAAGGATAACTGCATGATAATTGGGCCTTTGCCGATTTGGATTCTTGTGTTATTAATGGCTCAGCTGGGGTATTTTATTAGCAACGATTCTACCAGCTTGGGGAAGGCATCTAGAATCCATGCTCAGAATCACTAAGCTATCCTGCCTCTAACTGTGGTAATAAATACATGGTATACTCTTTCACCATCAATTTTACCTTTAAGATAAAATAAGAAACAATCATTCCCACAATACGTAAAAATTTTCCACGTTGGTTAATAGATGACAGAGATGAAATGAAAGGCATGGGCACACCTAAAATAAATGCTTCTATTTTTGCTTCTGTATGACATCTCCGACAAGCAATGGATTTTAGCCTGTTGTTGACTGTCAGTGACATACCTACATTTATGAAATTTTTCAACACCATGTAGGCCTGTGGTGCTAAGGTCGGACATGTGAAATACATGCAGGAATTAAATTTCCACAATTGTTCAATTTCCAAACTTACCCAAATTAACAAAGCAATACATAATATTATCTTAGGAAAATAGTACCTGTCTTTAAAAAAAAAAAATCCAAAGCATTTTGCAGAAACTGTTTTTCTAATACATCTTCACTATAATTTTGTGAAGTAAATAGGACATTTATAGGCAGTATTTATTCTACATGGTGGATTAGAAAGCTATGATAGAGAGAGACTAAGGCTGTGCCTGCATAAGCTACAAAAAAGAAAGGAACATTCACTTGTGTATATTAGGACGTTTCATACTGTTCCCAGGGGGCAAATATGTAGTTTGTCTAGATAAAATAAACAGTTGCATGAGTGGTTATACCTTGAAATTCATTGTAGTAAACACACAAGAAAAAGGCCTGAGTCCTGCATCTCTGAGCTAAGATATCATTCTCTTCACCATGGTCATAGTGTGAGGCATGAACTTGACCTACGTTCCTCAGAGCCGAGTTTCTATTTGGAATTGTGGCCATACCCATGCCTAATCAATGAATCTTGAGGAAGAATCTGAGTACTGAAAAATAAGAATTCCAATGCAAAACAATTTTAAATAGCCCTTAAATTTAAAAATAAATGAAACATTTAAAAATGATAAATTAAGACAATTTCAAAAAATGTAAAACCTGCAGAATTCCCAACCAGTTAGTGACAGAAAGCAGTAACTCGTCAGTGCTAATGGACGGTTAAGTTTGCTAGGTGCCTAAAAGAGGCCAGAAACCAACCTGAGTGAAAAATTTCCTCGGTTTGTTACTCATTTGGAAGGAAGATAAAAAATGGAATGTTACGGCTGGGCGTGGTGGCTCACGCCTGTAATCCCAGCACTTTGGGAGGCCGAGGCGGGTGCATCACGAGGTCAGGAGATCGAGACCATCCTGGCTAACAGGGTGAAACCCCGTCTCTACTAAAAATACAAAAAAATTAGCTAGGCGTGGTGGCGGGCGCCTGTAGTCCCAGCCACTCGGGAGGCTGAGGCAGGAGAATGGCGTGAACCCAGGAGGCAGAGCTTGCAGTTAGCCCAGATCGTGCCACTGCACTCCAGCCTGGGCAACAGAGTGACAGTCTGTCTCAAAAAAAAAAAAAAAAGAAAAAAGACCATTGTGGGAGAGTGGCTGATTGTTGAAGCCGGATGGAACCTGTGAAATTACCCAGCTCCTCATGTTACAAATGAGCATACTGAGAAGAGACCTGATCCTGATTCAAGGTACTTGTCACTGGACCATGTTCCCTTTCTTGATGATACACAGAGGATGCTGAGATGGAGGACATCCCCAGCTCAGGGTGGTCTCAAGCCTGGTGAGGGGGAAGCTGCAGTAAATTCTAGTGTCCAATTCACTGCAACCCTGTCCCCCGACCAAGGGTGCTGACTACTTTCGTTGGAGTTTCATGCCACAGAAGGTATTGACCAAAGTATGATTCAGGGTAATGCCAAATGATTATACCAATTCTTTCTTAATAGTTAACTTCACAAATTTGTTATAATTCCAACTTTTTATCATTACAGAAAAGTTTGAAAGACGTGATTCTTTTCTTACTCCAAGGGGACAGGAAATATAGAAAGTCTTGGCCAGGCGTGGTGGCTCACGCCTGTAATCCCAGCACTTTGGGAGGCTGAGGCGGGTGGATCACCTGAGGTCAGGAGTTCAAGACCAGCCTGGCCAACATTGCAAAACTCTGTTTTTACTAAAAATACAAAAATTATCTGGGTGTGGTGGAAGACGCCTATAATCCCAGCTACTCAGGAGGCTGAGGCAGGAGAATCACTTCAACCCCGGGGGGCAGAGGTTGCAATGAGCCAAGACTGCGCCACTGCACTCCAACCTAGGCAACAAAGTTAAACTCCATCTCAAAAAAAAAAAAAGACTGTATGAAGAGCACAAACAGCTGTTTTTCTTACAAGCACATCTTTTATATTTGTTAAGAATGTTTTCCTAGTGTGCCACGGTAATAATGAATTTAGCAAATCATAAAACCCCACTGTCCTTAGATTCCTCTTCAGTAAAGTTAAGCCATTGGACTTGCATAAGTCCACTTCAGTGCTGTGATTCTGTAACTTCAATGTGCACCAGAAGATTGTGGAATAATGTTGGATAGTTGTTCTTTTACTCAATTTCTGGATGTTTCACTTTTAACACTGTTAATTTCTTATGAGAGAATTTTAAGAAATATAATATGCAGATGTATTCTATAAACTTATTATGCATATGCAAATTAGTATTATTAATTACATCACCTTTCCTAATATAAAACTTTATAGAGAGACTTCTGCAACATTCCTTATCCAAACGTTTTAGTCAATAATCCATGTATATTCTAATTTCAAAGCAATAGCCTAAAGTAGAAAAAAAAGATAAAAGAATCTTAGAGTGCAGATAAAATTTCAGATTATCCAGTTAACATTACTTTTCAATAGCAGAATCCCTTGGAAATCTTATTGATCAAAATCATCCAACTGCTGTTTGAATATTTCCAGTGATAGCAAACTTGTTCCCTTTGAAGGCAGCCCATCCTATTATTGTACTATTCGCATTTTAAAAACTGTCTTCTTTATATTTTTCACTTTTTGATTCCGGTTTTGACTTCTGAATCTCTTTTATTTCTAAGAGTTCTTGTATTAGTCTGTTCTGATGCTGCTAATAAAGACATATCCGAGACTGGATAATTTATAAAGGAAATACATTTAATGGATTCACAGTTTCACGTGGCTGGGGAGGCCTCACAATCATGGCTGAGGGCAAAGGAGAAGCAAAGGCACGTCTTACATGGTGGCAGGTAAGAGCACCAGTGCAGGGAAACTCCCCTTTATAAAACCATCACATCTCATGAGACTTACTCAAGAACAACATGGGAAAGACCCTCCCCCATGATTCAATTACCTCCCCCCAGGTTCCTCCCATGACATGTGGGAATCACGAAAGCTACAATTTAAGATGAGATTTTGGTGGGGACACAGCCAAACCATATCAGCTCTCTTCTACAATTTCTCCCTTAATTATTTCATGATTCCTCGTATGACATAGTTTGCAGATTTCTCGATGTACTACTTCATACTCAGTGTACCAATATTCTTATGTGGTCTCAGTAGGGTGAAGACTGGGGGGAGGACTAAATCCTTGATCTAAAAATTATACTTGTATTAACATGGCTTAAAAATGATACTAGCTATTTAGCAGCCACTTCACTGTTTATTTGTCTAACTTTTGGTGAACTAAAGTTCCAGATCTCAGTCATAAGAATGACAGTCAACTGAACATGGTGGTGCCTGCCTGCAGCCTCACCTACTCAGGAGACTGAGGTGGGAGGAGGGAGGATTGCGTGAGCCCAGGGGTTGGAATCCAGCCTGGGCAACAGAGCAAGTTCCTGTCTTAAAAAAAAAAAAAAATTAAAAAACTACAGTTAAGCCAGGTGATACGGTTTGGCTGTGTCCCAAATCTCATATTGAATTGTAGTTCCCATAATCCGCATGTGTTGTGGGAGGTAATTGAATCATGAGGGTGGTTCCCCCATGCTATCCTCATGATAGTAAGTTCTCATGAGATCTGATGCTTTTGTAAGGGGCTTCGCCCTTCACTTGGCTCTGTCTTCTCCTTGCTGCCGCCATGTGAAGAAGGACTTGTTTGCTTCCCATTGTGCCATGATTGTAAGTTTCCTGAGGCCTCCCCAGCCATACTGAACTGTGAGTCAATTAAACATCTTTATTTTATAAATTATGCAGTCTCAGGTATGTCCTTATTAGCAGCATGAGAACAAACGAATACACCAGGTTTTCCCCATCTTGTATTTAAGGAAATGATTTGTTAGCGTCAGTTAAGACTTGACATTTAGTTCTGCTGCCTCTAAGTTTAATGTTTTCTGAACCTTGTTTACTTAAAGAGGTAAGGTTGAATCTTGATAATTTGATAATTTACCCTTACCTGAGTTCTCTCTCTCAAATACATTTTATCTGTATGAAATGTCTTTATGAAAACATTGTTTAAAATGTGGAATGATTCAGGATAATTACAGAGCAAATCAGTAGAAGAGAGAGCCCTTTACAGATTGACCAGCTTCCCTCAGTTAACACTGAATTCCTTTACTCAAGTTATTATTGCATTGTTCATAGTTATTACTCCATTTAACTATATTTTGTCTTCCACATTTTCCTCAATTTCAAGTCTATCGAATATGCTGCTAAAAACATCATTATACTTAAAGGGAAAATTTGACTATATATCTAGAAACTCTGTTAAAAAAGGAAAAAAAAAAAAGTTAATTCACCAAGATTTGTAATGCATGCTTGCTGCCTCCCAGTGATCACTGGTTTCTTTTACAGAGTTTTCTTAATTTCATATTTAATAAAATGTTCCAAAGATTGCTAACTTTATGTATTGAATGAAATTCTATTAGTTTAGCTGGTAACTACTGTCCCCAGCAGCTGAGAGGCTCAAACAAAAGAGCACCAGTAGGGAATCCAGTTGCATGGATCTTGTCCTGGAAGATACATGACATGCCTGGAGGTGCTCACCCCCTCCACACACGCTAAGGAGCCCAGGCAGAGAGGGGACCAGTGGGCCAAAGGCTTTATTGACTCCAGGGCATTATCCAAACAGATTTCCTGCAGGGGAGCTTTAATTGCAGGGTTTAAAGCAGCAGCCACTAGTTCCAGGAGGTCACGCTGTGACTGAGAAGGAGTCACTTTAAGTTTGCAGGCAAATGTCTGAATGGTCCATTTACAGGAAGTGGCAGGAAAGTGGGGAGCCCAGCCTGCTAGGTGGAAGAGATGCCTCTGAGTTTTATCTCTGGTCACCAGCTGGAGCCATTCGGGTAGGGTATAATGTTGGAAACTGTGTCAAGGGTGACTGAGACCTGCTTCTGGTATGAGAAAGTTAACCTTTTATGTGAAAATAGATGCTGAGGCAACATAAAATTAAAAGCACCCACTGTGGTACTGGATCTTTTGATTATGGCTTGCCTACATCATGGAACTTGAACTATTTAATTTGGTACATTTGTATTTTTTTCCATTTTAGTAGAAGAAATTTACACTTTGTCTTTTGGAATCTTCAAGTCACCTTGAGAGACATTCGATTTAGAATCCCTAGTCATGGAATTATGTCTGTCTGTTCACTATGCATTAAGAATCTGTATGCCTAAAACTCAGGGCGTGGGACTGAGGATACCCAGCCTTTTCTTTCTTTATGATGATGACCACAGTTGCAGTGTTACAACTTTGTTTAAGGTTCTTGTCTATACCTCCTCCATGTTCCTTCCTCTTTTTGTCCAGAAGAGAACAAGCAGGGGGTGAAAACTTGCCAAACAAGTCATGTGAGCAGTGACGGGATGACATGGGGTTGTTAAGCCTGGGGAAAAGAAAGTTTGTGCAAACAAAGTAACTGTCTTCGAACATTTGAGAGACATTGAGTTGAGGTAGAAGAGTTAGTTTGAGTCTGCAGATTCAGAGAAATTTGAATTAAGGCCAGTAACTAAGCAAATTTTAATGTCATTATAAAGACATCTTGGTCTAAACTGGTGAAACATGGAATGACCCATTTCCTGACCAGCGTCACTGGAGGGTCCAAGGACTACTGGGGCTATCCCATGGCAGAGTCGGGTTAGATGGAGTCCATGTGGATCGGCCTGGGTAGTGTTCACGATTCCTCCAACCCTGAGATCACATGATTTTTATGCTTTATATATTTATATCTTGTTTAAAAGAGATCTAAGGAAATGCTATGAAAATCAGTGCACATCTATTCACATTCCCCTTTTTCCTTCTAAAAGTTGAAACTGCCTGTAAGGCAGGAATTTATCAGATGCTCTGCTTTTGCCCGAATGTTACTCCCAACAGATAGTCTAATGCTTGAGGTTCCCTCATCATCATCTTATCATTCTGCTACCCAATTTAATTATCTGCTTTCGGAAATCATCCTTCTTATCCACCATGCTATGATCTTCTCTCACAGCAACTTAAGTATTTTTTATTTAAACCAAAATATTCTCCATTGTGTTCCCACCTTCTAGGATTATTTTCTCCTCAGGTTGTTTACATTGTTTGTGTTTGTTCACAACAGACTGTACTATTCTTCGGCACTTGGTTAATTGTATTTATTTTGATCAATACACACCCTCTGTCATTGTTCTCCATGCATGAGTCACATCGCTCTGAGTTGAGGTGTATACTGCTTATTCCTTTGTGTTAAAAAAATTTCTATTATTCTCCTTTATGCTAATATTTAAGTTCATTTTGTTTTATTGTCAACATTTTACATATTACTATATGTACTTCAAAAACTAAGTATTCGTAGCAAAACCTCTGTTATCATTCCGTCTTTGTGAAACTCACTGTCTTCTACTACAGCTATTCTCCTGTAGAATTTTACCTGTTTCACCCCAACTCTGACATGTGCCTCCAATTTCTCTTTGAAATATTTTTATATCTCACATACACATTTCCTGATCTTTAGAATAATTTCTCTATCTTGAGCCAGATGAGTGAAATATAACTCTGTTATACAATTGAAAAAACATTTCCAATAACAAAAAATATGTTGACACTATTCTCTTGACCAGCTTTCTCATACCAAGCCATAACCTCAAGGATGAAGATATTTCCCCAAGGCCTTCAGTTTCAGACCCAGAGCTTTAAATCTTCAAGAGACAATTTGGAACATTTTCTATAACTACCATTTATTCTCTCTTCAAGTCAACCTACTTGAATAGGAATTTGCAGGTTCAGTGGCATATCATTTTAAGCAAGAATGAACTTCTTGGTTACCCATGTTGAATAACCAACCCATTGTTTAGGAGACAGTCACCAGCTGACCCACCAACCTTCTTTCTCTGGAGGGTACACAGGGACCTCCCTGGGCTGAGGCCTGTGCCTCTTCTTTGGGTAAGGAGTGTTGCACTTTTTTTTTTTTTTTTCAGAAGATCCAAATTTAACTGCTATGGTCAGTGCCATTTACAGTTTTTGTGGCTTTAGTGAAATCTAGTTTTCTCTTATCTTTTTCCTCAATGATAGCTTCAATTCTCTAATCTTCTGATGTTCCGTTTGAGTCAACATCAACCCCACTGAAATCTTTTCTTCCAGTTTTCATCTTGGATTATTTTTTCCATCTTCTCTAGGGACACTTCATGCTTTCTTTTTTTTTTTTTTTTTTTTGAGACGGAGTCTCGCTCTGTCGCCCAGGCCGGACTGCGGACTGCAGTGGCGCAATCTCGGCTCACTGCAAGCTCCGCTTCCCGGGTTCACGCCATTCTCCTGCCTCAGCCTCCCGAGTAGCTGGGACTACAGGCGCCCGCCACCGCGCCCGGCTAATTTTTTGTATTTTTAGTAGAGACGGGGTTTCACCTTGTTAGCCAGGATGGTCTCGATCTCCTGACCTCATGATCCACCCGCCTCGGCCTCCCAAAGTGCTGGGATTACAGGCGTGAGCCACCGCGCCCGGCCACTTCATGCTTTCTAATAAGCAAGAGGATACATAGATATTCCTGAAATTCTTTCATGTTCTTTACTAGATAGTTGTATCTCATTCCTCCCTCGGAAGAGATGGAGAAAAACTTGTTAGCAGTCTCAGCAGAAAATTCTTGAGATGGCTCAGGAGTTTCCATTGAATCATCCTTGGTCTTTTTCTTTTCTTTCTTTCTTTTTAACTGCGTAATTCTATTCTATTGCCTAATGTCTTATAGGATTTATTTTATAAAATCTTTATGACTTTCTGTCAGTTGTATTCATGTTTTCTATAGCATTAGTTACAGAGAACAAAATCTATTAAGTATATTCATGTATGATCTGACCAATGCTGCAAAATGAGATAATATTTTCTATGCTACCTAGTGTTTTCTAATATGTTGATTTGAGGTGAAATACTATGTTTGAATCTTACAGCAGGCTCATTAACTAATACAACTACGTTTGTATGTAGCTACCTATTGCATAATGCATCTTACAAATATTTACCAAATAGCAATATGCACGAGATGCTATTCTGAATGGTGGGATATACTTATGAGCTAAGCAGGTGTCTTCATCTAAAGAAGCTCACAATCTGTGGAGAGAGAGATAGACCTGTAATAGCAATCCATTGTGCTGAGTGCTATCACATGGGCATATGCAAAAGGCCGTTGGGGCCTAAAGGACTATCTTAGCTTGGTGGTAGAAGTTCAGAGAGTCTTTGCAGAGGATAGTACTTGTAAGCTAAGTTTTTATGGGTGGGTAAGATGTCACATGAATGAGAGAATTCTAAATGCAAGAAATGTGCAAAGGCACAGAAACACAGAAGAGCATGTTGTACAACCTGGCTATAGTTTAGATTTTGTGTGTGTGCTATGAGAGTGTGCGTGTGCTGTGAGTGTGTGTGTGGGCGCACGCACGCATTTGTAGGAGGTAGGGAGAAGAGTGCCGGCATAACATGAAATGATATTGGACCTCAAATGGTATGCTAAGATGTTTGACAATTTTATTCTAAGCAGTGAGTTTTTAAATTTAGACATGCAACTATAACATGAAAGAGGATTTCGATATTAGGAGTAGTGTGACCACTATGGAAAGAAGAGAAAATAGTGAGGGCCTAAAACTAAGGTAGCAGCAGGGGTGAGAACAGAATTGGCTGGGCAAAGTGGCACATACCTGTAATGCCAGTGCTGTGGGAGGCTGAGGCAGGAAGATTATTTGAATCCAGGGGTTTCAAGCCAGCCTGGGCAACACAGTGAGATCTTGTCTCTACAAAATATAAAGAAAATTAGCCAGGCATAGTGGCACACACCTATAGTATGAGCTACTCAGAAGGCTAAGGCAGGAGGATTGCTTAAGCCCAGGAGTTCAAGGTTAGAGTGAGCTATGATTGTGCCACTGTACTCTAGCCTGGATGAAAAAGTGAGACCCTATCTCTTAAAAAAAACAAAAACAGAAGGATTAAGTGACATTTAGAAAGTAGGAGAGATTGGATTTGGAGACTGAGTCTCTACATGTGTGGCAGAGGGAACAGTTAGCCTCCAGCACGTCTGGCCAGAATATTTGGGTAGATAGTGATAATGATAAGTATGAATTATGTAGGAGGAGGGATGGAGAAGATTATTAATTCGATTGGACAGATAAAAAATTTGAAGTGCTTTTAAGACATATGTTAAAGATGGGACTGATTAGGGTTGAAACTTAGGAGGCTTAGAGATACAGATTTGAACATCATTTGAATTTGTGTAGGTTGTAGTAAAAGTCATGCACTTGGATGAGATCCTCTAAGAAGAACATATAAAGTTTTAAAAGAAGAAAATTCAGGGCCCAGAATCCTAGGGAACTCCATAATTTAAGGGGATAACAGATTTCATCTCTCTAAAAGACAGTCCAAAGATAGAATAGGAATCTTGAAGAGAGTAGTGAAGATTGGAAATGGCAACTGCAAAAGAAGCTCGTGAGCTCCATGCGGAAGGGTCGCTGAGGGCAAAGTGGTGCTGAGGGCCCATCTAGGTGTTGATAGCATACATTTTGCATCTTACTTTATTCCATGAACTGTGCTTGATACATAGCGCTGTGGTTGTCCTTACCAATTTAATGATGTTTCTGATGATCATTGTTCCTATTTGGCAAGATTACTTTAAATTCTGAGATTATCTTGCAAGGAAGAACTTCATTTGCACCTAAATTTTGGTGGTCTTTATCATAATGAGGAACATCTCTCTGCCATCATCTGGATCCACGATGAAAATATCAAAGTGCCCCTGAGACAAGGATGAAACGTTGCCGAAAACTGCTGTCCCTCTTCCAAATGTCCGTACAGATGTGAATGAAAAATAGCAGCATACAAGCATCTGAACTGGCTTGGTCAGCCCAGCCTGAGTGAGCAGGCCAAAATCTGTCTGCACCAGATGCCAGCCAGGTCCAAGAGAAACCCCAAACGATCTGATAATAAAGAGGAAACCCTGATATGTCTGTGGCCAAAAATAATTAGCAATGGAAATGGAAGGGCACTTAAAGGAGGAGGAAATAAAGGAGGAGAAGGGATTTTTCAAAAAGAATCTCTGGGCAGACACTCAAGGAGAGTTAAACACCCCAACCGCATAGGCCTCAAGGGAGCAGGTAGAGGTGACATTGTCTGCTGTATGTCCACCGAAAAGAGACTGCAGGAGTTCTGGACAGAGTGCACATTCACCCGAGTGATAAGGCAGAGGCTTAGGATGACTGAGTATGTTGAGTCCTACATGTCTTCCCCAACTCCATCCTCATATTTTAGGAGTTATCTGGGTAGATGGAATAACCTCTATCTTAGTACAAAAGTAAGTGGACTACATCCCAGGGGCCAAATCCAGCCCTCTGCCTGTTTTTATAAGTAAATTTTTTTGGCATACAGCCACACCAATTAATTTATGTGTTGTCATGGCTGCTTTCACACTACCACAGCTGAACTGAGTAGTTGCAACGGAGGATGTATGCCCTGCAAAGCCTAAAATATTTACATTCTAGCCCTTTACAGAAAGCGTTTTTTTGACCCCTTAGTATGAAGACACTTTAGCTTGAAAAACAGCTGTGCCTAAATTCATCTTATATGATTGAACCACTTTATAGCATAAATACACAGACACCCACACACACATATACATGCACACACATGCACACACACACACACACACAGAGAAGAAACTGAGAATTTAAATGGCTAAAAAATGCAATCTGCATTCTGACTCTGAATTATATTTTTTAAATGTTGCATAGACTTTGTTTGGATTACCCTCTTTTATTCCCCCCCAGGCTCTGTCTTAATCTTCCTAAGTGAAATCTGTCCTTTGCTTCATGTTGTCTTGTAACCATATTTCAATAGCACTTAATCAGTGATAAAACTGCTTTGATTTATTCCCAGCTGTGGATATTATTGTTGAAATCTGCGTAAGTGTTCCGACGTGTTATGATTGGAGCAATAGCATTTAAGAGTCCAGAGGCAAGTCAGAAAATTAACAACTGAGTTTTCTGATGCCTAAATTAACTGCACAGACAGCGCTGAGTACAATGAGAAAGTTCTGTAGAAACTTACTCGGCAGTATGTAAAGTGTTGAAATGGCTCACCCATTAAAAGTATTACATGGTGAGGACAAGTTCTCATTGGATATACTTCTTACAGGCAGTGCCACAATTTCATGTAAAGGACAGCTGGCTGCTCTTCTGGGACACTTTTCTTTATGCAACATATACATTGTTGTTGCTAAAGCATCTAACGTGATGTTTCTCGGTTCTACAGCAAAACTGAGCCGCAGTAGGTGCCGTGTGGTAGGTTCTGCTGATGCATCTGCAGTCATCGGAAAAGAAAAAAGCCATATGATTATAAAAGCAATCTGTATTCATTGCAGAAGCGTAGACTACAGAAACACAAAGAAAAGCAAAGTGACTCATAATCCATAATCGTAGCACCTACAAATAACAGCTCTTTGGTGTCTAGTCTCCCAAACTATTTTTTTAATTCCTGTGTTATTCATGAAATGAGATAGATCCTGAAAAAAACATCTGAGTCTAGATGATATGTGGAATAATATGTTCTCAATTTTTCAGTTAAATTTCTGGCACTTTATTTCTTCATGGAATCTTTCCTTAAATACTGTTGTTATTTCGCTGCCAGATTGCTTGTAGTTTGAGTTGTACTGTATGTTAGAGTTGGCCATGATATTTTATTGTTTGCTGTTTTTCTAAATCTGAATCTGTGTGAATTGGAGAGAGAAGTTTTCAATACATATTTTAATTGCTGTTGGTTTTACTCGACTCTCTTCATCTATTGTTTACAAATATCCCCAAATACAACTAGATGTTATTGGTAATTATTGATTGTCATGGTTGCCAGGCATTACTGGACCTAGAGTTCTTTTTTACTACATAAAAACTCAAAATATTATTTTTTCATGAGACAAATATGCTTTAATGTCTATAGGAGCTCTGTAACTGTCATAAGTCTTTTTACAATTTGAAATAATGGTATTAGATCGTTTCCTAACAAACGCTGAAAATGGCTACAACCTTAAGTTGTGTAGTCTTACTCTATTATTGTGGATCAAATTGTTTATCGTTCCAGCTAGACTTGGAGATCCTTGAGATCCAAGATATTTTATCTCTGTGTTTTCAGTACCTTTTCTAGTCTCTGGCACATAAAAAATACATGCCTAATAAATATTTGTAGAATACAAAATTACTTGCCCCAAATCATCAATTGATACAGCTGTGCCTCCTTATTTGCTCTGCCTGCCCCCATATTTCCCCTTATGTTAAACAATACGGTACAGTGGTTAAAAAGTAGGTTCTTGAGTTCAAAGTCTCTAGGCACTTTTAGTAAAGTTTAAATCTGAGCCTTCTCCACTTCTGAGTCATGTGACCTTGGCAAAGCCTGTGGACCTCAGTCCTGCTATTTGTAGAATGTTGACAGTAATAGAACTGACAGCACAGAATTATTGCAGGTGAAGTGAAATAATACCCTGAAGTGCGTTGCCCATTCTTGGTGTCCAGAAACTGTTACTATTTATTTTCCTCTCTCTCGATCATTTTCATACATTGAAATAAGCTATGATAGACACTTTATAAGTTTTAAAATGCTTTTAACATGTATAACAAATATTAAAAATGTATGCTATGACAATACGGTTCATTGTTATGGTTTCTTTAGGTTCATTTCACTTTCATGGATTTACAAGCACTGTAAATCTTGGGCCTGTTATCTTTGCACATTTTCTTGTGCCCATTTTCATCTAAGGAGAAATTAAGGAGTAGAGAAAGGATGTAAGTCTCCTTAAGGCTACTCAGAATTATAAACAGTAAGAAATAGAAGTTCTATAGCAAGATTCTTAAACTGTTGAATAAAATCTTCCTTTCCTATAAAAAGACTGTTCTGAGTATCCATACAAGTATCATTTATAACCACAGGCAGGGTATGTATGGGCTTTGATTTCAGGTGCTGTGTTTTGCTGAAG
Organism: Homo sapiens; assembly: GCF_000001405.40. Lineage (NCBI taxonomy): Eukaryota > Metazoa > Chordata > Mammalia > Primates > Hominidae > Homo > Homo sapiens. The sequence goes on from NC_000014.9 coordinate 33,451,964, forward strand.
TCTGCTAACAGCCTCTACATCAAATTCATAATGATATTAAAATCTATGGTTCTTAGAAAAAGAATGGTTGAGAATGTGTTACAAAAGCAATTTGTCTCATCATGTTAATGTTGATGCCCTCTTATCCCAGAACCTGGCTGAAGCTGGAGTCAAAATCTATATTGGTTTAATTTTAAGTGGCCTTGTGAACAAGTGCATTCAGGCAATGAAGGAACTGAAAGCTACTTAGACCACCCAGGCTCCTGGTTGTGGACTCTCGGATGGGGCTGGGCATTGTTAAAGGAGGTTGAACCTACATGCTTAAAGTTTCTGTGAAGGAGGAGTTGAATTTTTAGGACAATGTCAGTTGCTTTTATTGTAATCATGGTGACAAACTGAATTTATTAATGAGCATAATAGGATTAGATATTTTTAAAAGCCTCTAATTTTCTAGTTTAATTTGAAAGGAGCTCCTTAAAAAGTAGACAAATGCTTTCCTGCAATCTTTTAGAAGAAAGAGTACATAGAGACTGATAAAGACAAGTCATGGCCGGGCGTGTTGGCTCATGCCTGTAATCCCAGCACTTTGTGAGGCTGAGGCAGGCGGATCATGAGGTCAGGAGATCAAGACCATCCTGGCTAACACGGTGAAACCCCGTCTCTACTAAAAAATACAAAAAAAATTAGCCAGGCATGATGGCGGGTGCCTGTAGTCCCAACTACTCTGGAGGCTGAGGCAGAAGAATGGCGTGAATTCGGGAGGTGGAGTTTGCAGTGAGCCCAGATCGTGCCACTGCACTCCAGCCTGGGCGACAGAGTTAGACTCTGTCTCAAAAAAAAAAAAAAAAAAAAAAAAAGGCAAGTCATAATGTACAGCCTGATGATGTGTGTGACCAAAGGTGGCAAGTAGCATTGATCATTAAATAAAAATTAAGTATATGTATTCCTATTCAAGTGTAAGCTCCCTCTCTTCTTGTAATTATGCTTGGGTAAGCATGGTTTCTTATTGTTTAAAAAATGAAAGGAAATTAGGTATCCGAGAATGGCTTTTTCCCTTGCTGGGAGATAGCAACTAAATGACATGATCGTAGGTGACAGAGGCTCCTGATTCCCTCACAGATGCCAGTGGACCAGGTTCATTTTGAAATGAGCCAGGCAGGCTCCAAGCTCAAGCTCACCCTTGTTCAGGTGTGCCGGCCTCACCAAGCCCCCGCTGCTCAGTGAGGTGAAGAGTGCTTGATCTCTCCCATGTTCATCTCAGCCAGGGGTCTATTGTTAAGACCTGCCTGAAAGCTGGCAAAATGACATTCCCTGGTGTGATTGAGTTTTAATGTAAGATTACAACCATAGATCAAAGTGAGGAGGACATTTGGGCAGGGGCTTTCAAGAATTTTAGAGCCAGAGCATAAAGAAGATAATTATACTGTATGATTTAGGGTTGTTTCTGCATGTGTCACTCACAAGCAAGGCTTGTCCTCTAGTTTATAAAGGGCTTTGTGGGTTTTTTGTCCTTCCCAATATTTCCTATTATTTAGTATCTAGAAGACCTTTTAAGGGCTATGATTAAAGAAACCAGAACTGTTCTATAAATGGCCTTTCCTGATAATGATGATCAGTCTTTTAGACAGACAGCGTATTCTGGATTTGTTATCCACAAATTCAGCAACATAAAAAAGAAAAATGGGGCCAGCATTCTGGTAGCTTGAAGTCCTTTGGTTCTGATTTCACCAGTTCGGATTTTAAGATAATTCAGTCCCAGCTGGGCTTAAGTTTACTTTTGCATTGTTGACCTATTTTTTAAGTGTTAGAATAAAATCATCCTCCTTACCTGGAGACCCACAGAGAAATTCCTCCTCAATTGTAGAGCTTTGGAACAATTTAATCCTCCTAATGGTCTGATATGCTTCCTTTGTTTGTTTGTTTTGTTAGTAGAGATGGGGATTCACCACGTTAGCCAGGCCGGTCTCAAACTCCTGACCTCAAGTGATCTGCCTGCCTCTACCTCCCAAAGTGCTGGGAACACAGGCGTGAGCCACCATGACCAGCCCTTTTTGTTTCCTTTTTTAAATTAAGCAACAACGAAGGTTTTCCCTTTTTGCCCTGGCTGCCAGGGACTAAATTTCATGCTCAGTTATGATAGCTTCCTTTAGCCTAGATTTCTGGACCCTGTACCCTTTTTCATTTGTTATTGCCTGGCTTTTTACCCACATAACAACAGATGGATTGTTCTATGTTTTCTATATTTACAGTGCCAGTAAGTGTATATTAATGCCAAGTCAGCTTTATACAATTTGTTTTTAAACTTTAAACATTTTATCACAGAAGGAATGCATGATTATTTTAAAAGATAGAAAATGTGGAAAAGCAAAAGTGAAAGTTAAAAATTACCCTTAATTTTACCAATCAGGAAGTAATTTGCTTTTAAACATTATGGTTTCTTAACTTTCTGTGGCCCAACCATAAAATGAGGATAATAAACAGACTCCACCTTTAAGGCCCCACCCACTAAGATTGCTGTGAGTATAAAACATGTTACTCCATGAGATGTTCTCAGAACAACACCAGGGATGAAATGAGTGTTTGATGAGTGTTGGTGGTTATTGTTGTTATTGTTGGATATCTTATCCCAGACCTTTTTTCCTAAGCATATATGACAGATCATTTTTGTAAGTAAGTATAGGCATGCATTCAGTAAAATCATGGTATTTGAGAGCTGCAAAGGGTCTTAGGGTCTTTCTAATCTAGTTTCACCACAGGGGATTCGGGAAATAAACCGGGGAGTTGGGGATTTCTTTTCTACCGCTCAACTATTACTGATTCTGCCTTAGGACCTACTGCATCAGAAACTCCAAGAATAGGTATGTGTATCTGGGGAGAAAAATGAGGTGATACTGATGGGAGTACCTGTTGACTGGACCCAGCGTATAGCCAGATTGCCTTTAACAGGTGAGGAGAGGCAGCGTGCCCCCGGCTGAGTGAGTGGCCTCAGGATCACACAGTGTTTACATGGAGCTGGAGCAAGACCTGAGTCTCTGAATGGCACCCGGCGCTGGCTTCCATCAGGCAAGGGGCCACCAGGCAAGACAAAAGAGATAAACATTTTGTGTGCATTTTGGCAGCATGATAATCTGTTATATCCAGACAGTTGCTGCAAATAGTATTCCGTGTTAAGATGTACCATAATATTTGCTGGAAGTTAATTCAGGTGACTAAATCTGCAACTGTTGAAAGTAAAAACAAAACAAACAAAGCTTTGGTTTACATTTTAAAGCATTGATGTTTCACTAATTCATTTTGACCTTCTCTCATCAGTCTGACTCAGTGAAATTTTGTTGTATTTCAGCTCCTAAGTTTAAGATGGTTTTGGGGGGTGGGTAGAAGCCAAAGTTTGTTATGAATTTAAAACTTTGCTATGGTGCCTTCTAGTGAAATTCTTCGGGCTTTCACTTCTCAAGGTGGTCTTCCTTGCTTTGCAGAGCACTCACATGTGAGAACAGAGAGTGGAACGGGGCAGTTTCATATCATTCCTAGAAGTTCAGTTCCCTTGTAAAACTATAAGAAAACCATGTGCTGTATGTTGACCCATGTTTGAGAAACTACCAAGAAAAAACCAACTTCTTGAAGGCTGCATGAGCTGAGCTTGTGTTGGGATGATTTGTAATGGTTCTGAATATTACAGATGCAGCTATAATCTTGTATGACACTGCCCTCACCATTGCACATGACTGATTCTGTAAGGATCTACAAGTAGGTGTTTAGGTGTTTCACCGCATCTGCCTGACATAAACTAATGATGTAGACTGCTAAACGTGGTGACATGATTAAACAGGATGTTAACGAGTGGCTCCTCTAAGAGTCTTGCTCATTTCTTTTAACAGCCTTTGTTATGCATGTACAAAAGTTAAAGAGACAGAAATGGCTGTTTCCTGCAAAGCATCTGTTAACAGCAATGGGAATTCAAGAAGAAAGCATTTAAACTATCTAGTAAGACACACAGGGCCATCTTCTTGTCCTGGGGGTTGTCCAAAACCATGTCTTTGTGGGAAGGAATATGGCAGTTTTTCTGCAGGCAGTAATCATTTGTACTATTACTTAGTTGTCATGTATTGATGATCCCATTTCAATCAAACATATCTCATTCAGAGAGCTTTGGATGGGAGGAATTTTTGGAAGGGTTTAGGAAGGTTAAATCTGTGAGATATGGCTTCCATCTGGAATGCATTAGCTACGAAGATTTATTAGTCAGAGTGCCTGTGCATAATGTTCCATGGAAAGGGGGCCCTGCATCTAATTTCCAGTGTGATGTCTATATGAGGAGTGATCTTTGAAATATCATAGGTGACAATCAAGTTTGTTATAAAAATAGTAAATGCCCAGGATTTTCATGGCGGCTATTTTAAATCCCTCATGAGGGCTGCTAAGCAGGTAGTTGATTTGTTGACAAATGATAAAACTGTAGGAATAGCAACATGCATGAAATTTTAAAATGGGGCAGCTCTTTTAAGCAGAAAAAGACTATTAGGAAAATTATGAGCATTTAGTGTTTTCATTTACCCTTTCTTTGGGCACGATAACATTAGAAAATAAGAAGACCAGTCCTCAACTCTGTGAAGAAGTACATCCCCCTTCTGATTAAAATAGTTTTTAAGAGCTAGTGTTGTTGATCAATAAGTGAATCAGGGAAAGCTTTATAACGACTCATATATTAGACAGCCTGAGACCGCACTGTTTTCAGCTGTAATGTGATTGGTATAAATTAGAAATTATAGCGGTGCTAGAATCCCAACTCTACTGATCTCTGTGTGGAAGGGAGGCAGAGCTGGCATGCAGCTCAGGCTTACCTGTGGGACTGTTCTTCTAAAAGATAACAAACAGAAAGGCAGAAATGGGGGTAAAGGTTGAGTGTGGGCTGCAGAAATCAGGATTTAAAAACCAGAAGGCTCCTCAGCTTCCTTCGTAAAAGGCAACTCAAGCAGGGGAAGGACTTCCTCCGCCTCACCTGCCTTGTTCTCAGTCGCCAACATTAAGGTAACATAATGAGGTCCAATGCAGTCCCACAAAAGCGTTTTATACCATCAGGAGGCAATACGGTTCAAGATGCCTTCCCTGGCTGTGTCATATCTTCCTGAAACTGAAGGGCAAAGGATTAATGCCAGGTGAAGGGCGAGTCGCCGTCCAAATATTTATCTGTGAATTTAGGTCACACCACAATGCCCAGTTGTGTCATTCTCTCTCAGCATAGGAAAAAGTGTTCTGTATCCTGGATACAAGTTCAGTACTAAATGGTTCTCCAAGGATTACAAGAGAAATGCTGGAGCTCAGCAATTTTCTTTTACCCTCCTGTTGGGCTTCTGTGCCATTGGGCAGTTTTGTGCCAGACAACAGAATTGAGAGTGAAATAGTACTAACCACAAAACACATGTTAGAGAATGAAAAGAGATTTTACTGCAAGACCTCAAAGAGCAAGGTTTGGGTTTTTCACCTTCTAAGTCAACATTTACAGGGTTCTAAACTTGAAATGTGTATTTCTCTTCTGCATCCTCTGTGCATGCTGAGAAGGGCATAGCAGGAGCAATGCCTCCCACTACTGAGGAGGACACATTCCCAGAAACTCACTTACAGTAGGATGCATTTGAGGACCTTAATTGCTTCTATTTTCCCATCAGATTTTAGCAAGGAATTTCATTCCTTCTTCTTTTAAGGCAAAGTGATAAGAGGTCCCCACAAACCCATGTCCCAGACATGCTTCCCCACTCCAAATGACTGGGTCCTTCCAAATCCCTCGCTGTAGCCTTGCCCTTAGCGTGTGTAAGTCTGGCTCGCTCTCTGGGCTTGCCTTGACAAGAATTATGGGATGGTGCCAGATTTCCTCATCAGCCGATGTCTCCTTTTACTAAGGTGGGGCAGCACCCTGGCCAACCCCCTGGACACCCCTTGTTTGCAGGAACCTGTGTTTATCAGCGTCTCACTGTATCCTGAAGTCTTTGTATGTAATTTAATATAAACTAAATAAGACAGTGGAAACCGCGACAGGTTCCCAAAGGCTCACTGGTTGATGTGTTTTTACATCTGGCATATGACTGACAATACTTTCAAGGACATAGCTGTTGTGGAAGTTAAGTAACTAATCCAAGAAGATTGAATATTGTAGCAAGACCACCCTGGCCTGCCCGGTTGTCCAAATTACTTCAGTTTGCTCAAGAAAAGAGCATTTGCTCAAGAAAAGTTCCTCTTTTAAATTCAAAGTATTCTTTTGTTTTTTAAAACTTCAGTGGCTTAGAATTAAATTAATTGCCTAATGTAGACTTGAATACATAGAAATATTTAGAAAGAAATTCCAAAAACATTTAAGGAAAAATAATCAGTTTTTCTTTCATGTCACAATCTAGGCTGTTTTTGGTATTTTGAATCACTTTAAATTTTCTCTGTTTTGATAGTGATTAGTAAATTGGCACAGATTTATTTTTTGGATATATGCCTGATGTTCAGAACTTCTTTTAAGTCACATGGGGCGAAAAAAGAAATACCATGAAGTTCTGTGAGCAAAGTTTTATGAATAAAGGTTAATTTTACTAAATCCAGCAAAAATTATTTTCATTAGAGTTAAATTCTTGAAGAAGGAAACATAACATTAGCATGTTAATTGTCATATCTGAAACAGAAATTTAACATCTTTGAAATGAGATTTCACTTTAAAAAGCAGTTGCAGTTGTGCTGTCTATCGTTCTTCAGTGCAAAATTTAAACTGTATGCTTTGTGTTATATGAAAAAGTCTTCTACTAGTCATTGTGGCCAATTCAATAATAATCAGTAATTAAGTAACCAAAAGAAAAAGGATACTAGGCAGTTTGATTAAATTTGATTAAATTATTACATACGAGAGTTTTGTTACAGGAAAGGGGTCCCGATCCAGACCCCAAGAGAGGGTTCTTGGATCTCGCACAAGAAATAATTCAGGGCAAGTCCATAGAGTAAAGTGAAAGCATGTTTATGAAGAAAGTAAAGGAATAAAAGAAGGGCTACTCCATAGAGCAGCCCCAAAGGCTGCTGGTTGCCCATTTTTATGGTTGTTTCTTGATGATATGCTAAACAAGGGGTGGATTATTCATGCCTTCCCTTTTTAGACCATATAGGGTAACTTCCTGACGTTGCCATGGCATTTGTAACCTGTCATGACACTGATGGGAGTGTAGCAGTGAGGACGACCAGAGGTCACTCTTGTTGCCATTTTGGTTTTGGTGGGTTTTGGCCGGCTTCTTCACTGACCTGTATCTTGTGCCGACCTCCCATCTCATCCTGTGACTTTGAACGCATGACCATCTGGGAATGCAGCTCAGTAGATCTCAGCCTTATTTTACCCAGCTACTATTCGAGATGGAATTGCTCTGGTTCACATGCCTCTGACACTTTCATATGTAACAATGGGATAAGAAAACTATAAAATATTATACAAATGTAAGGTGTTGTTATTGATTCACTTAACCAGTGAGAAAGTCTGCACATTTAGTTGATTGAGTACATAATCCTGGAAATCTGCAGTAGAAATCATGGACAGTATTACTACATGAGCACTTAAAATCAGTGTCATCTCAAAGTCATTTGGTCAGGCAATCTGAGGTGAGTCAGTTTATCTCTCTGATTTATCTGTAGAAGAGGAATATTAATTTTATCTCATGGTGTTGCTAGTAAGATCAAAGGAGTGTTGGTAAAAATGATATACAAAAGTTGATTCTTTTATATCTTGTAAACTCTACCTGCCTCTCTTATAGCAGCATATCGTATTTTGAAGGCAAACATTGTACAAATCTCCCTTAAATATCACTGATTGCATAATCTGCTCCCTGGCTGAGTCAGAATCCTTATTTTTTCATTGGGTGCCCAAGAACCCTCTTTCCTTTACATATAATTATCTGTTATAATAATCCGTTCTCTTCTCTTTCTGTCATCCTTGCTAGACTATAGGCTCTTTTAACAGTAGAGATTATTTCTGCCTAGTGCCCAGCATGGTGCTTGGCACACAGTAGTTATTCAATAATTATATGCTGAATGAGTGAATGAATGCATAGAAAATTACACAGAAGGTGACTGCTAGATCCTTCTTGCAGAGATTTTGTAGTAGCATCAAAGATGTGGCCTTCCACAAAAGGACTACAAGGACTATTACAAGAGTACTCGTACACATACAGCTCTCTTATGGGCATACTGTTTTTTATTTTCTTGTCAGTAACATTGGCAATGAAAAAAAGATTGTTTTATAATTGCCCTCAGGACTCCAAGTCTAAACAGTCCCTTCTTACTATTATGTTGGAGTACAACCTGGAGATCTCTGGATTTTAACCCTCACTTCCCTCTGGGCAGGGTGCCTTGAATATTGCACAGCCGTGAGGCAATCCTTAGTTCACTGTTTGAAGTAGGCTGGCTACCAACATTAAAAGAAGTACTATAACTCCAAGTTTCTGTCTCTGTTTTATTTTGCACTATATTTTCTAAATATGGTAACTAGGCAACTCCATGTTATACAAGTAAATGCTTTTGCACTTGTGGAATGCAGTTATGTCCCTGAAGCTGTGACTCTTCCCAAAAATATATGTATCAACCCTTTCTGAATTCTAAACTTTCCTACAACGTCCTAAATCTTTATAAGCTCATGATGATTTTATTGAATAATCACGTATATTTTCGGCGTACCCTACTGCCTCCTACCCTCCTACTTTCCACCCTCTTTTGCAAATTGATTCTTCTACTTTAGCAATTCCTTTTACTGTTGTTGTGGTTGTCGTCGTTTTGTTTTTTTACCTACTGGATTTGCTATTCAGATACTTAAAGAATATTTAAAAATCAGCAAGGAAAGCACACAAACCAACTAACAAAACTAGATTTACAGAAAAACCAGAGAGTGGGTCCAGGAAGTTGAGACACTCAAAATCAGTCTGGTGTTGTGATGCCATGGGAGAGGAGGAGGGTAACATTATTGGCCTACAACTTTTTTAAAAACAATCTTCTGTGAGTTTTGTTAATTACATCATTCCCTGTTTCTTGACAACAAGGACATTTTTGAACTGCTCACCATATCAACGATTCTACAAGGGTAACTTATTAGTATTATTGGGAATAAAACTGGTGCGGACGATACTAATAATTAAGTACGTTCAAAGCCTGACTCCTGCCATTTATTTATTTACTTAGGGCCTGCGAGGCTTTATTTAAAATAACAATTTTTGTTTAATAGTAGAATCATGGAATAATCTCAAGTTGTCTTATGATCTTTTCCCTTGCCTTTAGGAATTCAGTGCTGAGCTAGCCAAAAGACAGGAATGTCTGTTTTATTTTGAATGCTTTTCAGGGTCTGGGAGATTCAACTGAGAAGGCTATTTTGATGTTGCATAAAATGATTCCTGTCAAAATCATTTCTGTAACTGTTCTGCCTATTTCAATAAGATAGTTTTATCCTGGTGTTTTTAAAAAATCTTTTCATTCATGGCATTCTACAGGCTTGTTATTGTCAGATAATAATAGCTAACACCTAGATAGACAGTATGGGTCAAACATCTTAAATATGTTCACGAAAGGTTTTTATAAAAGATGTTATGAGTTCCGACGGGAAAATCACACCCTGATGGGCATGAGGGAAGATTTCATGAAGGAGGTGACATTTGGTTAGGATTTGTATTCCCTACGTGACTGTTAGCCTTAAGCAGAACCACTGCCATGTTTGCGGTAACTGACAAAAGCAGGTTCCAGTTTGAAATCTGACCTTGCACTTAGTATCCAATGATAAGGTTATGGATATAGGATAGATAATACTTCTTAAGCAACCCCGAAGAGGAAGCATAGCTTAGTGCAGGCTTAAACTAGAGCCCCTGATTCAAATCCCTGCTCTACCATTTCCTCTGGGGGCAGATGAATTGGCCTGCCTGACACTCAGTTTCATCACTTGTGAAATGGGAATGGTAATAGTTTCAAATTCATGAGGTAATAGAGACAATAGAGATTTCAGTAGAAGTCAAGGGTTGTGAATGTGTCCTTATATTTTCTAAGGGAAAGGCTGCTTGTGAGGAAGTTCTTCCTGCCTTTCAGCCACAGATAATGGCAACTCCTACTTGGTTTATTATTTATCTCTGTACTCTCCATGACTGAGCATTAGATGAAGTGGAAACCATCATTACAGGAAGTTAGTCCACAAGAGGATGTGTTGTTGGTAAAGTGTGAGGGACTGCAGAAACCTGGGCTCTCATTCCTCGCCTGTTTCCAGCTAGCTTATCTGGGCAACATTAGGCAAGTCGAACAACCTTTCTGGACGCAGTTCCTTCCCTATAGCCTGAAGGCACGAGACCAGCTAATCCCCCCAGCACTATGATAGTCATTATTGCTGCTGGCAAACCTCTGGTTCTCGTCTCCTTCTGGGCACAAGGATAATTGAACTCTCTGCCCCTTTGAGGTCGGGTGGGACCATGTAACTAGTTCTGGCCAATGAGCTGTGAGTGGAAATGACATGTTTCCTACAAGCTGACATGTTTAATGACAAGACCCTCTGAAGTTCTCATTCCTTCTTCATGACATAGACGGCGACTGTTCTGTGTCCTGGGCCCTGGAGGAAGGGTAACGGGGAGCAGAGATCCCAGTGACCCATGTTGGATTTGAGTAGGTGTGAGAAATAAGCTACCATTTTTTAAACCACTCATAATGTGGGATCATTTGTTACTCCAGCATAACACACATATGCCAAATTGTCACTGGCACCTTCCAGCCTAAGGCACCCGGGAAGACTTCAGGAGGAGCTGATGTTTGAAGTCCTAATGGCCATGAGTATATGGTCTGGATTCAAAACCTAGCTCTACACACCACCAGCAGTGTGACCTTATGCTAGTTGCTTAGCCTCTGAATTTTCATTCCCTTGTATGAAAATGGAGATATTACCACTGGTTATCTTATTGAGCTGATAAAAGGGTGAGGATAAAATGAGATCTTACATGTAATACATTTTAGAAAACAACTGGCAGACAGAAAGGTAAGTAGGTAATAAATGGTCATTCTTGTTTTTCTGGTTTTAACATTCTGTGAGTTAACGATTTCCTTATCTTTTTATATTTCTTATTGAGCTCACTGCGAGGACTGAGGAAGTTTATAAGAAATATGGCAATAGGTAATGGCTTAGGAAGAAAGTGGAAGGAGTAGTACCTTAGCCCCTGTAAGCCAGCTGCTTCTAATGGGAATCAGTTTCTATTAGTGTATGAGCATTACATCTTGGCCGGCCCATTTCCAAAAATAAGAGCCAAAGCCACTGAACAAATCTGTAGTAATCCTTTCTAAGTAGCCATCATCCAACCAGTGATATTTTCCTACAAAAACTTCTTTGGGAAAAGAGATTATATATTTGTATCACCTCAAATCTTGCAAATTTGTGTCACATTTTGTCTTTAAAGCTTTCAAGTAAACATTAAATTGATTATATAATAAAGCCAATAGCTCATTTGGAATATTTACAGGAAAACCCCCATAGAATGGGCATAATGAGAAAAATAATGACGCAGTAATTATAATTCTCAAGGCTAATAATTTTAATAATAATTTATACTTAAACAGCTCTACACATAAGGAGATTTCAAAGGTTTATAAATATTAAGTAAAAGCTCCGTATGCTCTGCCATTCCTAAAACAATGCCTTGAACCTAACATTTCTGAAACATTCATGCATCATTGGTATTATTTTACAAATGGATAAACTGAGGCAAAGAAAATATGCCTGGAGTCAGGAATGTGTAGCAATAAATTCTTGTCTTCTGTACCTATACCCAAAATCCACCAAATTAAGACATCACAGTGGAATAATTGATATTTCAGTCTCTCAAGGAGTTAAATTGTGTTGCACTAACTGCCGCCACAGTGATGTGAGGTGACCCATGGATTTCATTTAGAGTAATGGGTTCTGTATGAAAACAGTTGCAGTGGGGATGGGAGGTTTTTGTGGCTTGTGGTCAGTCCTCAGTTGAGGTATGAGGGAGGTTTCAGGTTGGATTCCTGGCATGGCAAATCCAAAATATGTGCTCCAGCCAGAAGGTTACTGCTGAGTGTGCCCGCCTCCTCAAGAGTGGAATCAGAGCCCATCAAAAGCTGCCCTTTTTTTGTTCCACTGTGCTCATTCACACATGATATCCCAAAACAGTTAAGTAAAATGAGGGACATTATATCTGTCACACATGAGAAAACTGCAGTTATGGATTTGCTTAATGCATTCATTGCTTTTTGGACTCTGGAGTCCCCTGGGCAGTGCCACAAATCTACATGTTGGCCCCTAGTTCCATATTCTGTGTGGGACTCTCTAGTGAAGCTAGCATGTGTATGAAAGGTTCATTATTATTGTTGTTAATTTTTTTTATTTTCATGGTTCAAATGAATCGGCGTTAACTCATGGTAACAGTAAGGGCTGCACTGGCCGAGTACATTACAGTAATCTATTGTTGAAATAGCTCCCTCCTGGCTATACACTGAGCACTGAGGTCCTGCCTTCTGAATTAATACCAAAGCATCGGTGACATAGCTGACCCATAGCAGAGAGCCTGAAGCCACTGCTTCTCTATGAAGTTTTTTGAGAGATCGACCCCTCCTAATTTTTCCAAATGCGGTCCCTGACCCTCTGATTCCTGGGATCTTGAATAATGTTGAAGGTGAAGCTAGTAGTCATTTATTCCAAAAACATTTACTGTCTGTGGCTGCAGCTGTGACACAAGTTGTACAGAGCATGCTGTCCTTTTTCATCGGCCGTGCATGAGGATTGTTCTTTGATTTATGGTCATAGGCTCTGTTTGGCGAGGAGCTGGGAGCTGTTTGTACCTTCCTGTATGATGCCAAGTGCAAAGCCCTTTGTTCAGAGAACTGCCTGGTCCTGATGGAAAGGCTTGGGCTCCTCTGGCAGCTTCTGCAGTTGCCTGGACCCCCACACCTGTGACCCAAGGGGCCTGGCACACAGTAAGCACTCAGTTAATGTTAGCTGTTGTTATCGTCATCAGGTTCATCATCATTATCATCATGCCATGATGATTATCTTTCCATTCACTATAGAAACAGTAAATAGGGATCTTGCTTTGATGTGTTTAATGTGTGTTGCCCTTAGTCACTCACTATTAAATTCCCAAAGGTTTTTTTTTACTTGAGTGATCAATAACCAAACAAATTATGTATTTGTAGTATCCATTTACAATTTTATTAATCTGTGGTGGCAAGGACTATCTTTGTTTTTTCCAAGGCAAAGTTTTCCTACTTTGCACGCAATAGATGCTCAATGAATATTATGAAATGAATAAATAAGTAAATGAATCCTCTAATTCTGTCAGCCCCATACATTAAAGTATTTTAAACACGTAATTTTATTAAGAAGTTATATGGTCAAGCTTAAGACGTTAAATGCCTACTATGCATTCTCAGAGTAAAAAAGTTTAAAATGTAACTACTGTCTTTAAGCAGTTCACAGTAAGATCAGTCACATGCATACAGGTAACAAAAAAACAAGATTATAGAATATATCGATTCAAGCATGATGTTTAGTGTTCTTGGTGTTATTACTAGCTTTGGTTGAGCACTTACTACATACCAGGCACTTTTTACAGCACTCTTGTTTAATTCTCACGTAAAAATCTATTTTTATTAGCCCTGTTTTATAAGTGCAGAAACTGAAGCCTAGAAAAGCTACATGTGACCAAAGGCATATAGTTTACAAATGGTGGTGCTATAGGATATAATATGCTTAACTTCTATATACTAAATAAAAATGGCCATTACGCTCTTTTATTTCCTTTCGCAAAACATGCCTTTGATATTCAATTTATTTATATTTTCCCTTGCTTTAATTCAGTATAATATATGGCATATATTAATTTTATCATTATTCGGTTTTATTTGTTCTTAGTTTAGCCACCTCAAATCATTTGTGGAATCACACGAGATCCAACAGATATATAATAGATAATAAAATGCTAAATTGTGTAGTATCTACAATAAGCAAATTAACAGTTTTGAGAAAGGAGCCTGGGTAGTTGAGCATCGAGCTTCTCTGGAAGAATGGATGAAATCAAAACACATAGCAGATGGGGAGGCAGGCTGGAGCGTGAGCAAAACCGCAGTAGCACAATGAGCATGCGCTTGAGCTTCGGGAGCATGCTGGGGAGTGCAAGGAGACTCACTGCCCAGGAGTATTACACTGTGTGGGAGAGAGGATGGAGCTGTTTAGAGAAGCAAGAGAGGGACCATGGCCCAACCTGAGGGTGTGAAACCTGGTAAAGGCAGGGCTAGAAACCAGGTTCCTTTAGCAGCAAAACCAGGGTCATTCTGCTGGAGACCCCTGTCTTTCCTATCCTAGCAAGAGCCTCAAATTCTAGAGTTTAGAATAGAAAAACACAGATGCTAGAAAAAGCAGATGATGATTAGCAAGATTTGTTTTAACCTCTTAACAAATATTCACATAATGGAAGTAGCCATCACCAGTTTGGTTATCAAGTAAATACTATCAGCATTAGATCACCGTTGTTCATCTAGCAATTGTATGCCTTTTGAGAAGACGTGGGAAGACTGAAGAGTTTGTTTACTCCTTGTATTAGTCAGTTCTCACATTGCTGTAAAGAAATACCTGAGACCGAGTAATTTATAAAGAGAATAGGTTTAATTGGCTCACAGTGCTACAGGCCATACAGAAAGCATAGTAGCTTCTGCTCCTGGGGAGGCCTCAGGAAATTTACAATCGTGGTGGAAGGCAAAGAGGGAGAGAGGCGTCTCACATGATGGGAGCAGGAGGAAGAGAGGGAGGTGGAGGAGGTGCCACACACTTTTAAACAACCAGATCTTCCAAGAACTCACTCACTATACACTACCAAGGGAGATGCTGCTAAACCATTCATGAGAACTCCACCCCATGATCCAGTCACCTCCTACAGGCCCCACCTCCGACACTGGGGATTACAATCAGACATGAGATTTGGTGAGGACACAGATCCAAACCATATCACTCCTTGAAGGAGGTAATAAAAGAAAGGTTAGGCTAAAAGTTTCATGTCTAATATATTTATTAAGGGAAGTTCTTATTCATTGGTTGTGTTTTACTAAATCTGTCTGTGAGTGGGTATAATGTTAGTGTTCATAAAGTTGTTACTTGGTTGGAATTACCCCCTCAAAACCAGAACCGCGTGAGTGACTGTGACTTTGCGCTGCTCACTGGGGATGTGCTCAAGCCCGCCTGTGTGCATGCCCTCAGCAGCCAGATTTCCTAAAGTGAATTGAAGGAAGAAAAGGCTTAGGGATTTTGATGCCCAGATTCTGTATTTGGACTCAACACATGTGCCAGGTCACATAAGGCTTTTACTGTTTATGCTTTATGTGCAGAAGATCTTGCTATAATAGTGTGTAAGCTGATAAAAGAGCTTTCTCTCTCTCTTTGGGGGAAGTAGATGGAAAACAATCTAGTTGTAATTAAAGTTGAGGTCTTGCTGATAGTCATTTACAGGTTAAACTACTATACACTGGAGGAGGAAATCATGTGATTCATTTTTTAACTTGAGCTATTGTAGAGCTCACTTTAGACATGAAGTTCTAAAAGTCAGCTTGAAACAGCTGAAAGAAAAGAGAAACATGAACGCATCTGTTTCCAGAATGTAGCTGCTTTGTATTTGGGAGAGCTAACTACCTGGAAATGTGACTGGAATTGTCCCTCCCCCGGCTATTTTGGCCTCGTCTAGGCAAAGCGGCAGTGCCCTTTGTATGCTGCAGCGGTGACTTAGCTAACCTAAGCAATGTGGAGCATGTGCGGCAGGGCTCGGAGGCCTCAGAATCAATAAGGACCCTTTAGATTTAAAACTAATGATTTTCTGTGTTCAGCAAAAGTCAAAATCTCTCAAAGTTGCCATTGTTGTCTCTGAGTTTTTCCCCAGAGAACAAGAGATGGTGTGATAAATCATCATGCTTGCAACACGCACGTCAGAAGAGACTTGAACTAGACCAGAGATGGATAGCGCGAGCCCCAAACATCTTAATTATTTCAGTCTTGAATTGAGCAAAACCCTTAAACTAGAACTGTGGGAACAGTGATCCTAACAGCAGTAGACACACCATCTAATAGGGTCATCATGCCCCCCAAGAGTACAAGTGTGACCCATCCAGGCATGCAAATGCAATCGTTTCCTCCCAGCAGAATTGTAAGCAGTTGAATGGTGACGTCAAATGCTTTTGAATGTATCTATAAACTGCTGTTGAATGTACATAAAATTTCACCAGACTCTCTGATTTAAAGCCCTAGGGAAGGCCACCAGGCTCGTATGGAAATTAGCTAAGCATAATTTATTCATGGAAGGCAGAAAAGCTGAATTAATAAATACATGAGTATGTAAACTTATAACTGCATAACGATCTGTAGAAAATATGAAGGCCAAGCTCCATGTGTTAACAGAAACCCTTAAGGTGTGGCCACTTGGTCCTTTCTTGCAAAAAGTTCTGTCTTCTGTTTTAAAAGCCAATGTGGAAATAACTAATAAGAAATACATTTATTCTTTGGAGGGTCTCTTTTTTTCCTCTAAAAATGTGGACCTGCCTTGTGGATGCTTCTCTATAAGAATCAATCTCAGAGAATTATTTTTTAAATATTAATGAAGGCACTAATTCCAGAGATTCAGAAAACTGCTTCTCAGCAGGTTTAACTCATACTCTTTCTGGATGGACCCAATTCTGAGAGCATTTTCACAAAGTATTGTTAAAAGTACAAGGTCTTGCCTTATTACAAGAGTGGTCATCGTTCATTTTTTCCCTTATTCTCCCCATGATATTAAATCTGTATCAACATTATCAGCCTCATCAAGCATTGATTTAGCAGTACACTTTTTATACAGCAGGAATTGGAGTAAAATATATACTGTCACACAATTCTTTAAAGGGAGTCTTGCCTTGTATTGAATGCATTCTAGTAAAACTTCATTCTTGTTAAATTCTGAGCTACAGTTAAGACCCGGTTGGAATCCAAAAGACCGAATCTACAGGGGTGTTACCTAGGATTTGATAATCAAGCAACAAAACTCGGTATCTCCTACAGTTCTTGTAATTTGGTCAGAACATTCCAAGAGAAGCATAGTACAGTATTTCCATCCATCTTTATTACTGATGTTATCCTTTAGTAATTAAAGACATTTTCTGAAATTCTGTTTTGGGAAGCATCAGTCCCTTTCAAACTTTGCCCTTAGTCAAGGGATGAGGACAAAACAAATACATGTTTAAACCTTTAAAAAATAGTCTTGTTTGAGAATTATAATCCATACAGGATAAAGGTGATTCAGCAAATGCCTTCCTATCCACAGCCATGATCAATAAAGAGGAAGTTTTCTTTAAAAAAAAAAAAAAAGAGTGTGTGTGTATGTATATGTTCTATGTGCTAGTCATAGAGTGGTTTATAAATATTCACTCATTAAACTCTTGTGGCAACTCTATGAGGCAGGTATAATTATATCCATTTTAGAGGTAAGAAAGTGAGACACAAAAAGGTATATAACTTACTTAGGACCTCACAACTAGTATGTCAATATTAGAAATCAGCCTTAATGTTGTGAATATATATTTACAGCAAATACCAAGACCTCATGGCTTCCTGACCTCAGTCCTTAAAGTGTGTTAATGGGAACTAGTTATTCTAGGATAAGGAAAAAATGTTCTTCTTTATAGCATGGATCCCGCCAGTTACCTAGGCTGAGAATTTTTAAGACAGGCTGTTGATAACCCTCGGTGCAGTATTTTCATTCCTGTTCTGAACACTCTCTTCTTAATTTGACTGTTTGGTAAGCAGGCCACATTCTGGTAAACAGAACAATGGAAATGCACGTGTGAAAGTAGGAAGATGTATGTTATGATTATCTGTTGCTGCATTAAAAAAAATTACCTTTAAACTTATAGGGCTGAATTAATGACACCGTTTATTTGACTTTTAAATCTGCAGTTTGGGTAGTGTTTGGCCTGGGTAGGTTTTCTCAGCTTCACTTGGCATCAGGGGGCCAGCTCAAGGGCTTGGGTTTGGAATAGTCTGCAGCCACACTCCAACATATTTCTGCTGATTGACCCTGCCTATCAGCTGAGATCTCATCTAGGACTTTGACTGGAACACCTACCTGTGGTCTCTCCACGTGACTATTTGGCCTCCTCACAGCATGGTGGCTAACTTCCAAGAGTCAAGGTCCTAAGACAAAGAAAGCCAGGTGCAGTAACCTACCTCAGAAGTCATATAATGTCACTTACAACATATTTTATTGGAAATGGCTGACACAAAGTTGTGCCCAGTTTCAAGGAAAGGGAACATAGATCCTACTGCTTGATGAAGGACTGTCAACATCACTTTGTAAGAAGAGCATGGGGGATGCATAAATTGGTTCCGCCAGTTTTGGAAAACACAATCTTCCAGAGTTCATATTTTCTTAAGCATTTAGGACCATCAGTATAAAGAAGTGTCTTGCATGAACAAATCCCTTTACTATAATAATAGGGTCCGTATTGAACCATAGGCTTAACTGAAATAACTGTCCAAAGAATCAAGTTTTGCTGGAAACCAAATCTCACATCAGATAGAAATAACCAAGGAATAGGGGAGGAAACCTTCTAAAGTTAATTCTAGCCTTGTTCCTACTTCATAGGAAAATTCTTTAGAGGTGGGAATTCCCTAAACATATGTAAGGTGGTTCATTTAGGCTGATCACATCTTTAACAGTTGCCAAAGGATCTTATACCAGATGTTAACATTCTATTTTCTATCAAAGAGCCATGTTGGATTTTTTCATTATTTAATATGAGAACAATAGAAGTGAACTTTTATGAAGTTCCTTCCCTATGGAATCCAACTGAAGTTAACTAGACACACTTTAAGAAAGATGGTGACCATTTCAGAGATATTCTATTTACTGAGCATCCGGCCTGAGAACAAAATGGACCTCAACCTTGAGAAACTCACAAGCTGATGCGGGATTTGTAGAGCATATTTAAAAAAAAAAAAAAAGAATGTTCTCTTTATGAAGTGGATACCAACAATCTACAATCTACCTCATGGCTTTGAGCAGTTTCTCCCTTTGTGTGATAGAATTGCACGTAGCCAGTTATACGCTGTCCTCCAGTCTCTTTCACGAGAGCTCTGCGCATATTAGGTAGCTCTTCTGAGTTAATAACAAAACTGATGCTTGTACAGTGCTCTGTGCATTCCAAAATGCTTTCCCATCCAGTATCACATCTGATGCTCATAGAAAGTCTGTCGTCTGGATAGAATCATTGTTATCTCCATTTTTCAAATTGGGACCTGAGAGGCAAGTCACGCTAGCTGGAGAAGCTGGGGCAGTAATCTCATGACCTTACTCCTTATTCACCGCTTTTTGCCAACCATATGATTTTCAGTTACACCAAACTTTCTGACCAATAGATTGAAAGCAAGGTTTCCCTTATCTTAGGCCATGGCAGGCAGAAAGCACATGACTGTGCTTATGCTGAGGATGTCACTGATGGATCAGTGTGGTACCCAGGAGTCAGCATTGGAGTGGGAGTCGGGAGACAGCGATTTTTGCCCTGGCTCTTTTACCCATTATTGCCCCCGGATGTGGAACATGAAGGAGATGGACTAGATAAGTTTCTAAGATTACTTTCAAGTCTAAATGTTTATGATACCATATTATATAAATGCAAAACCAGAGTAGTTGATATCACCGTCCTTAAAAGAAATCAACGAGGTAGGTAGAAATTAAGTTGTAAAATGATTATTTTTATCTAATAAAGGGGGAAATTACCAGTAGAAAGTTTGAATAAGGTTAAAACTGGAGTCCCCAACCCCCGGTACTGGTCCGTGACCCATTAGGAACTGGGCTGCACAACAGGAGGTGAGCAGCAGGCAAGCGGCGAGCGAGAGAAGCTTCATCTGTATTTACAGCCGCTCCCTATCACTCGCATTACTGCCTGAGCTCCAGCTCCTGTCAGATCAGTGGCATTGGATTCTCACAGAAGCATAAACTCTATTGTGAACTACACATGTGAGGGATCTAGGTTGCACACTCCTTATTAGAATCTAATGGCTGATGATCTGTCACTGTCTCCCTCTCTGCCCTCATGGAGCTTGTATTCTAGCTGGAGGAGAGAACAAGCAAGTAAACTATATGTATGTCAAATGATTAAAAGGGGAATAGGAAGTGCTGGAGGTGACTGCAGTTACAAATTGTTGATCCAGGAAGGTCTCACTGTGAAAGTGACATTTTAATAGAGACCTGAGGAAGGGAGGGGGCTGAGGTTATGTAGATAACTGGGAGAAGAGCTGTCCAGGCAATGCAGTGTGGCTGGAGGGGCATGTGCCAGAGGAAGAGATTAGGTTGGAGAGGTAAGAGGGTTTTGCAGGATGTAGGGGGCCTTGAAGACTTTTTGTAAGGAGTTTTGTCTTTATTTTGAGTAATTTGGGGAAACCATGTGGGATGGGTTTGAGCTAAGGAGTGACAAGATTTGACTTAGGCTTTACAACAATACCTTTAATGTGAATTATATCTCAATAAAGCTGTTTTTAAAAAACAAACAAAAAGAATCACCTCTAACTGTCATTTTTCTAACAGACTGTTGAGAATAGGCTGGAAGTTGGAAGACTAGGAAGGTATTACAATCTTCTAGGCTAGAGACAGTAGTTACTTGAATCAGCTGATAGCAGTGGAGGTTAGTGAGAAATGATCACATTCTGTATAAATGAATGTCAAGCCCATAGGACTGGCAAGGATGACTCCAGTGTTTTTGTCCTCAGTGGCTGGATGAAGTTGCCTTTTATTCAGAGAAACCTGTGTGAAAGCAGGTTTTGCTATGCGTGTATATGGGGTGGGGTGGAGGGTGGATTAGAAGTCAAAAAATGTGTGCAAAGCAGAAAAAAAAAGACATTTATTATTGATATGATTATATTATTTTACTTTCCAAAAGGATTTGAAAAGGCTTATAAGAAAACCTAGAGATAGAATGCGGATGGAAACCATTTAAAAAGCAAAAACAGCCGAAACCCAATCAAACAGTAGTGGATCTAAACGGAAATTTCCTGCGGGGGGAACTGTAAGCATGTTTGCTTGAGCTTTGCAGAGTGTTTGTGGTCAAGAATAAAAATATGAGGGTAAGATAGTGATTTCGCAGAGTAAAAGAGAGATTTTGCAGAGTAGGCCTGGCCTGAGAATACCACATTGTCAAGGAGAACCGGGAGGTTGGCTGATGGAAACTGGGAAATTGGCAGAGACGCTAGCATTCTATCAGTATCATGACTGGAACGTGCATCAGAATCTTCACCTAATAGGCATTTAAAACATATAAATGCAAGGCCTCACTCAGACCTCCTGAGTCTAAATCCTCTGTCAGCAGACCCAGTACTGCCCGTGTTTTAAGCCCTCCACATGATTCACATGCAAGTCCTAGTTAAAAGATGCTGGAGGAAAGAAGTTGATGAATTTAATTAGCTTTCAGAGAATGCGGATCACCTAATTGGAATGTTTTCTAGAGAGAACAAAGTAATAATTAAAAAATAATTTTCCAGAGATTTATTCATTCATCTACTGAATATTTATTGAGTACTTACTAAGTGTCATGCATGTAAGTACTAGAGACACAAAGATGGGCAGAAAGCATAGTCCTGCCCTCAAGGAGTTAATAATCTGCTGAGAAAACCAAACACATACATCGACAGTTTTAGAAGGCAATGTGTTCTTCTTGCATTGAGTGTAATGGGAAGAGAGTTAGAACTGGAAATAGAGAGAAAGTTTTCTGGAAGGAGTGTCACCTGAACTGAAAAATTGTCTAGAAACAAAGTTGTCAAATTATGCAGTTTAGCTTGCTGCCTGATTTTTTTGTAAAGAAAGTTTTATGGGAACCACAGCAATATTTATTTCAGTGTTGTCTGTGGCTGCTTTAGCACTACAATTGCAAAGTTAAGTAGATGTGATGAAGGCATATGATCCACAAAGCCTCAAATATGTACTACATGGCCCATTACAAAAAGTTGGTCAACACCTGCATTCTAGAAAGCAGAAACATATGGTACTATTCAAGGAATCACAAGCAAAGATTAAGGCAGGGAATGGTAGTGTCTGAAGCTGGTGAGGTGGCAGAGTCTAGATCACTGAGATCCTGCACCCCATAGGGAACGTTCGCTTTCTCCAGGGCAATGAGGATCAATGCAGGGTATTAAGCAGTGACACTACAGAGTCAAGCTTGAACTTTGGATCGATTAGTCTGTTTGCTTCATGGGGTATAGATTGGAGGGGGAAAAGACTGTTAGAAAGGAAACTATTAGGAGGTTTGTAGAAGTAATTTATGCTGTAATTAATGAACTGAGTAGAAGTTTGACCATAAATATGTGAAATGGAATATTACATGATCATTATAAAGAAATATATCTGGATTATATTGACAAGGAAAGATAACTACAGTATGTTTAGTAAAAATAATCAAGGAAACTGCCTATACAAACATACAAAACATATGTGTTACTTTATGCATAGAAGAAAAATGAAGAGAATATACAGAAAAATGTCAAAAGTCTTTTGTGGACGGAGAGGAGGTAAAATTACAGGAAACTATCGCCTTTAATTTTACATATTTCTATACTCTTTTTGCATAAAAATAGATTGCTTTTTAATTAGACCAAACAAATTTAACTTCTTAAAGTTACTTGTAGAGAGAGAGAGAATGAGAGCTCATACCATGACCTAGAACAGGGAAGGAGGGATAAAGAGAAGGGTATAAATTTGAGAATGATTAGGAAGTTAAACTAGCAAAACTTAGTAACGTGAGAGGTGAAGAGAAAGGGGAAAAATTACAATGCCTAGGTTTTTGGTTTGGGTAACTGTGATGAATTGTGGTGTCAATAATAAAATAAAAATAAATAACTTTACTGATTACTTATGAAGTTCAAGTAGTCTTATGCTAACTGTACCTTACCCATTTTTAGTGCATTTAAACTGTCAACAAGTGAAGGAGGAAGTTTTATTTTTCCCATTTTGTAGATGAGAAAACTGAGCCTCAGAGAGATTAAGTAGTTTACCCAAGGTAATGTGATTTGTGAGTGGGTTAGCTGGGAAATGAACACAGATTTGATTGATTCCGAAGCTGACATGCACTCCTACCCTCTCAACCTTTAATGAATTTTTTTCAAGCCACATAGATGGAAACATAAAATCAGTTCAGGACATATCGAGTCATCAACATAGAAGTTTTGATCTAATGTGATAAGCTCTGAATAAATAAAACGAAAAGAGAAGGCCTCAGATTGAATTCTGGAGAATGTTTGTAGTTAATAGATCTTAATCACGAAAGTTTTAAGAATAATGGCATGGAATATATAAAAGATTTTCCCCTTTTGTTGTGTTTGGATACTTGACATGCTTATTGATGCAGTTAATAATGCACATTAAAAAAGAATTAGAATAAAACAAATTTGATGCATTTT
Organism: Homo sapiens; assembly: GCF_000001405.40. NCBI lineage: Eukaryota > Metazoa > Chordata > Mammalia > Primates > Hominidae > Homo > Homo sapiens. The sequence goes on from NC_000014.9 coordinate 33,475,392, forward strand.
TCTTTACATCAAAAATCATAGGTCTGATTTTGTCATTTTAACTTAGAGAACATCTGTTGAGTGCTCACTGTGTGCAAAGCATATCGATGCCACAGTCTTGCCTACTTTAAGTTTTTATGTGTCTGAAATTTCCATGGAGCTAGGAAGAACTAAGATCTAAAAAAAAAAAAAAAAAGCCTAATTTTATAAACAGATCTTTGAGCAGATACTAGTTCAAGAACTGTCTGAAATCCTTATACACTCCTGGTTTCCATCAAGCCGTTGCTATATGTTTTGTTGAGGAAGTCTTCTTTGACAACAGCATTTCTAGTTCTGGTTTGGAGAGTTGGGGTTAAAGGTAAACTGAATTGCCTGAGGAAATGCTGTGGGCCTTTGTGAATGGGAGAGAAAACAATGCACCTCCCACTGAGAGGGAAGCAATTTCTCATTGTGTTACTTCACCCTGGCATTCAGCCACCAGAGGGGGCATGGACCAGAGTGAAATAAATTCTGCCAGCTGCCTGGCCTGGCTTCTCTGCCTTCCAGAGAAGGACCATAGCTATCCTCACTTTGAGATGGGACTAGAGCCTCACTTCCCGTTTGATGAGAAACTACGTGATTTACTAGTAAGCCATGGCTGCGCTTTCCCTGGTGAAGAATAAGACGTGCCTTACAGACTCCCTAAAAGGCACAGACTTGCAAACATAACGATGGTTTTTCCTTAGCGCTATATCCCATGTACAGTTTACTTCCTTTCTAATACGTTGTTGGTTTTTATCCAAATATAGATATGAGCTGTCAGAAAGAGAAATCTTGTTGTCAAGATTGACCATTCAACATAAAGTTTGAACATTGCATAAAAATATGTTTTTGACACAGTAAAATGCATTCCCTCTATGCTCATTGTAATTTACTTTATAGTGACTTGCTTAATAGCATAGCATATATCATTTATACTGCTATCCTTCATGCTTTTAAACTGTAATATCCTTTCCTCAATGACTACTTGTCAATTTCACTGATCTAGATTTGATTTCATAAATTAACTAGGCCAATTAAGTAGAGAGTTATCATTAGAATAAGAAGTGGAAGCAAATAAATATTAATCTTCCCTCTCTGAATGTCGGTATTTCTACACAACTTTGATCATACTTGAACACTACTTAATGGAAAAAATACACCCCTCTATTGTCAATTTAGTATTCCCCAATTTAAACATTTATGAGTATTTTTTTATTCATTTTCTCATTCCAAATCCATCCCACTTTGGGACAGTTGTTTCTGTTTCATCAATATAAAATGTGGGGAATGAGCAAATACTGGAACTTCATTATTTAAGGATTCTCATCATGGCAATTTTCATGGCTTTTCCACCTGGCCCCTTTACCTTGTGGGGTATTTGTTTCAGAGCTACAGGAACCGCATCATATATTGGTAGTTTGCCTGCTGTGCCTTTCTTTGTATTGCTTTAGTCATTTTGCACCCTCACAGACTTTTGGGGAACCACTTGGAAATGACAGTGTTTGACAGAGAATAGAATTGGAGTAAAATGCCCATGATTTCAAAGTATCTCTTTCTAAAATCTTAAGAGGCAGGGACTTCTTTCTCTTTTTCTTTTATTTAAATAATTCATCTTACAATATTAATATCTTGCTCTGTCTTCCTTAGAGGTGGAAAAGAGTTTGTCAACACCCTTTTTATAAAAATACTTTGTGTACACACATGCAATGATAAATTCACCCTTTTTAGCCTTTTGTTGCCTTCTGGATTTAATAATTTCAGCTTCTTTTGTCTTTTAAAAATAGATCCTATTTACCATCTTTCATCTTTTGGTGATGGGGGTAGGGGTGGAAAGAGAGGATGCTTTTCTCAGAACCCTTTTAGTTTCTTCTTTCCAAACTGTGGACACATTAGATTGCTGTGGTAATGGAATATCTTCCCAGATTCACTATGGAAAGAGAGAAGCTACCCAGAAGAGGATATGATACAGGGATCTACGGGAAAAATCAACTTGGGACTCCTGTGTTTTGATGTTGACATTGCTCTCACCGTCCATCCCTAACTCTGAACAGAGATAACGTGATCATGTGCCCAACACACACACAAACACACAGTCACATACAACACGCTCATTCACAGAACATACGTACTCATGCACTCATAGCACACATACACACAGCACACACACACAGCCATATAAGTAGCCTATGGAATATTTTGGGACCCATGATGGGGTGACTTCTGGACTTAGGTTTCCCTGCTAGTTCTGATTAAACACTTCGGATCCAAAAGCCAGAAAATCGGAGCTTCTTAGTCTCTCCAAGTTCATTTGCCCCTTACAGCCCTTCAAGCCTCAGTAGTTTTACCATAGTAATAATTTTTCACTAAGAATTTCAAAAAAAGAGTTTGCCATTGGACATCCTTTGAAATACTTAGCTTTGCTTCACTATTTTTTGTAACTTGCCAAAATCACAAATAAAAGGAACTATGTCCTCTAATGCTTCTTCTGTGGTCATTATCTTGGAAAATATGCAGAGTCTGGTCCAAGTAGAGTGCTCCCCAAACCTTGCTGTTACTTTGAGAATAGTTTTAATGAGGCTTGCAGCTGAGCCAAGCTCTCCTGTTGTGCTATTATGTGGGCATGTGGAAGCCCTAGTGATTGATCTGTGTGGGGGAACTGGCAACACTCGCATGCCCTCTGGGTAGAGGCAGAGCCTCCAGCAGGAAAAATTAGGGAAAGAGAAAAAACGGAGAGGAAATGTTTATCACTCATTTCCTAGCATTTTATGGCAGTGTTACGGTGAACTGGGAGATGGATGTGTATATTCATGGATTTTGCACCACTTTAAGCACTAATAACATTAAATCAACCTTAATACTTCATGCCAAATGTGCTCTAAAAGAGGGAATAATGGGAATTTTTGTTGACTTTAGTAAAGCATCAAAAGTTACACTGGAAACACATAAAATGCTACAATGCAGAGGTCACAATTATGCTAATATCATGATAATATAAAATATTAAGTCACCAAAATGACAGGATTTACAACCAACCATTCTTAGTCCCCAGAAGCCTTAGCGATAAGCTCCTGGTAAACACAACAGCCTGTCCTCCCAAGGAGTCTGATTACAAATTTAAATATGTATATGATTAGAACTCTGCCAGTCTCCCACCCCTGAAGACAGATGAAGTAAAATTTGATTTATATCATACCTGGAATTCTATTGTGTTAGATTCACTCTGTTTTGCAGGATCACTACCAGGCCTGATGAATTTTGTATGTTTAGAAAGTTGCGTTTGGGCAAAACAGGGACTACTATTAATGATCTTGAATAGCCCTGTAATCTCATGAACTAAAACTTAAACATTGATACAGAATAGTCAAATATTTGGAAACGGCACACTGGCAATTGGAAAACATTATACTTGTGTTATCTTCTTTTTTGATATCCTGGCTGAGGTCCAGGGTTGAAAAGCCTTTTACCCTGAGCCTTAATCTCATGGCCTTGAATTTGCCTTTAACTCTCTGGCTGCCAATCTCATTAAAGTCTCTTCTACCATGGAGTTCCTTAGACACAATAACTTGTTCATTGGCCATAGTTATCAGGGAAGGTAGAAACATCACAGCTAGGCAGCTTTCCTAATTGTTGTCAATTCCGGCCAAATGATGCTGACTTCTATTTAACTTAACCAATGTCATTATGGCAATAAAAGGCTAAGGAAAATAAACGTGCAGTTAAAGCACGACATTATTGTTAAACCAATGCGCTTTAATATTTCTTTGTGCTAAGGTACCTCAGCTATTTCATTATGCCAACTAAGATTAGCAAATGCATGTTTATGAAGAGTATGCTTTTCCTTTTTAATGTTAAATGCATGCATGTTGCCTGCACTTACAGCTCGCTCTAGCAAGGGTAATAAATATATATGCTTTGCCACTAGATGTATATTACTGGTACCATCACCACTAGTCTCTACCAGCAGAGTGTAGACTAGCCTTACTACCCCACCCCCAAACTGTGAGGTCCCTAGTGAAGACAGGAGGTCACTGTCACCTAGATGCTTATCTAGACCACCCTTCACCCACTTGTCACTCTGTCACATCATTAATGCAAATGTTATAGATGACAATAAAATAAAACAAGTTACCCCCAAAGGAATTTCTGTTTGTGTGCTGTTAAGAAAAGCTCTAAAGCCATGTTTTCAAAGTGCAGCTTGTGATCCCTAGAGGGTACAGCAAAGTTCTTATAGGAGTTGGCAGCATCAAAAGAACACCGACACTCTGTGGGCACTTTTCCTCGGTCAGTCTCTCCATCTTAGCAAGCGCCAATCAATATTTCTTGATCTCCAATTTTGTGCAAAACTCCTCTTGTGCTTAACCCTTCTGGCTGTCTCCTTTGCCAGCTCCCTCTTTCTGGGACAGAAGGAAATGCGTTTGTCCTTTTGACAGGATGCAATTTTTGAACACACTTATTTCTTTCCATTTGTGAAGAATTTCTTGGGGTTTCAGGCTCTCTAGAACCCCTTGCATGACTTAGAGAATTAAAAAAAAAAGTATGGGAAAGACATTTCCAACATTATCAAAATTATCCTTGTTTCTAAATAAATGAGATTGTTTTCCCCTTTTTCTCAGGAGGCTTGAGTTGGCTCGTTTCCCAAACTCAACCTTTTGGATAGTAAATTCCTTTTGAAAAGAAGCACGAAGCCCTTTTGATGTTATAAGTAGTATATGTACTAGAAGGGAGAGGATCATGGAATTGCAACACAAAGCCTGAGAGATGTCGCTGGGATAGAGTAGGTCTTATTCTCTACTCAACACTTCGTAACTTTATGCAGTATTAGAAGATACATTTTAAGAAGCATTTTAATAAGAACTGACAGTTGTTCTATCTATTTGCCTCTAATACAGCGTGAGTGATTTACTGATACGTAGATATACAACTATAACTACAGAACAAAAAGAAAGTCAGTGAGGATTCAGTCATGCGCTGCTATCATGGCCTTTAGGCAATCTTCCATAAGGCAAGTTACAGTCTGGGATTAGTTCTGAAAAGGCAGAAGATTTTTCTGTTCCATAGAATTCCTGAAGAACTTCCAAGGCAGTGAATTCATATTCTCTCCGTCTGTCTCTCTCTCTCCCTCTCCCCCACTCTCCCCCTCCCCGCCCCGCCCCCACCCTTCCTCCCTCCCTCCCTCCCTCCCTCTCTCTCTCTCCCTTTCTCCCACCTGTCCCTGTGCACATCTAAATGTACACCTTACAAATTCACTTCTCAGGATGGCCTGTTGTCTTCCCCACTGTGACCCTTTCCCCTGCAAGTTCAATGCTCTGTTTTTGGCAGGCATTTAAAACCCTGAAGACATAAACCTCACTTTGTCAATGTGGCAGTGAGGCCCAACACATCAGTAAAATGTCATGGAGGTGTCAGCCCTTTACATCATAACTGCAGTTCATTTCTCTGCATTGACAGTGATGCTTATACTGAGTAAGGATTAGAATGGGCATATTTCCAGATCTTAATTACATCAGGCATAAGGATGAGCAACAGCATTTTTCTTTGGGGGAGAATAGGAGAGGAGGGAGAGAGAGAAGGGAGAGTAATGCTGAATTTGGCCATCTAGAGCCTCATGCGTCCCCGTTTATCAAGAGATAATAGGATTAAGTTAAGCTATGGGACTTCTCTGGCTAATGCTGCCTTCAGCAGGGGTCTAATAAGGATAGATATAATTGGGTAAATGGCGAATAAGAATGAAAAAGTCCAGAGTATAAGCACAATGCTTAGGAATAAATAATGACAAATTGGATTTTGTCCAATCTCTGCAGACTTGGTTCAAATCTGGCATCCTACACTGAATTATAAGGGGTAACATCTATTTTTCTTCTTAGTAACTTGTCTCTGTTCATTGCAAACGTCACAAAGTATCTTCACAAGTTTAACGGAGTCTATCAGTGCTGCTCATGTGAAATCAAGTAGGAACTGTTAAGGAACATTCAAATAAGGTTAAAGACACAGAGTAAATTAAGTGCCTAAAAACAAATGTGATACAAATTAGAGTTTGTGTCTTTGACCCTTATCCATTTACAGAATTTACCCCATTAACAGCTGGAAATTTATTTTCACTTTCTTCACCTCTCTAAGAGGAAAGCAAACATATAACACAGCCCCAAAGGAGTAATTAATTAGATCATTTACTGACATGGATTTGAATAGTTTATTTAAATACAATTCTGTTATTTATTTATTTTACAACATTATGCAAGAGGTTGAAACTCCTGTTCCAATTTGCACTTAGCAAGAATCTCTGAAAAAATATCACAGTGAAGGAAATAAACAAAGAACCAGGATCAAAGGGCCACATTCAGAAACGCATAAAAGAATTTCACCAGGACGTGTGTTTCAGTTATAAAAAAATCAAAAAAATAAAAAAAAATAGGAGGTGGTTTGGGTTGGGAAGTGAGGGGGAGGACAAGGCTGTTTGTTTGTTTTGTATCCCCATGGGCATATTTTTAACAAACATAATGAGTTCATTGAAAAGATGCTATGTAAAAAGGCAAGAAAAGAAATTTAAAAATAAAAGATACCAGTGTAGGTAAGAAAGGTATAATGAATATGCAGATTATCACAACAAAATGAAGACTGCTTTTGAAAACAGGCAGTGGAAAATTCATGAACTCAGAAGCAAGTTTTTTTTTTTTTTTTTTAAGATACCCGTGCAACCTCACAAATGATGATAGTTGTAAATTATTCCCAGAAAACGAAAGGTTCTTCAAGTATATTTTCAAAGGCTGGAAGTAAAAGTAGGAAATTAGTTCACCAAAGGTGAGTAATGAGTCTCCTCTAGAATTAAGAAGGTTTTATTCTTTTTTGAAAAACAAATTATGAGATGTTTTAAGATAGATGTTCACATTCGAACCTTTAGATAAGTAAATGGCCCTATAAATGCTTGTATGTTATCTTTTAAATGTTTTCATTCAGTGGGCTTTTAGGGAAATCTCTGATTAAACCATCGTATATACACTTCAGCTTTATTCCTCTAACCTATGGGATTATAATCTTCTGGTCACTATAACTACAGAACACAGGAAAATGTCTTCCCAGTGCTTTGATTCCATACAGAGTTTAAGATTACAGAAGTTGAAACGTGGTGGAGATAGGAGATGACATTTCAGAAGGGGAGTGGATAATAGGGAAGCATAATACTCTAAAACCCGAATTTTCAGAGAGTTGAGGAGCAGAGTATTCCTCACCTAACACCCACCTCAGAGCCTCCCTCTCTGATCTCTTGCCTTCCTCCCTGTTCTTCTGCCACACCTGGCAGAAGAGACCAGCGAGGTCTGGTCTCTTTCCTTCCTCTCTCCCTGCCCGTCCTTCTTTGCCCAACCTTCACCCCACTGCTTGTCACTCATGATCTCCCTCTGTCAGACAGCAATTTGGAGGTGCCGTATCTGCCTTTCTGCAATTTCTCTCTTCACTTTTTCTCTTTCTTTCTCAGTTGGAACTAAAGAATTGTGTTGGTAATAAACATTTTTAAATATGCTAATTATGTCAGTAAATTAAAACATGTTAATGAATATACAGATCACTTTAAAACAAGGGAGCCAAACACTATTTGTTAAGAAGAAAGACAATGCTAGATGACAGTGTTTGTTTTGTGATCCAGGTGGGGAAAGCAAAGGAAGACCCGAGAAAGAGAAATTTGTCCCATGTTAGTTGACTACGTATGCAGTCTCCCTTTAATGTGGTAACAATGAAAAGCTGGTGAGCTGATAGCCAATTCAGGCTAAAATAGAACATTCAAGTGTGCAAGTACTATGAAACTTCAGCGTAACTTAGAAACAAGTGAACAGAAAAATGACTCCCATCTTTGAGTGGCTCAGCTCTGTGTCCTGGTGGTCAGTTCCACAGGGCAGTTTATCTTGCTAGGACAGACAGTAGTAACCTAAATCAGTGTTGGGCTGCTTGTCTCCACCCGTGGGTTTTGTTTTGTTCTGTTTGAACAGAAAACCAAGGATAGCGTTTCACTAGGACTATACATTTCCACAGTTATACCTTTATTATCTATCCGGAGCAAGAGAACCACGAAATGCGTCTGATCTCTCCCACTGCATGTAGAGAAACCAGTGAAATAAACTTGGACCTGGGTTTTCATTCAGCTCTAAAAGCTAAGTCAGAATGGTTCATGCACAGCACACAAAATGCCCTTCACACAGCAGACAGTTACCTAATGGTAAACGATGAGGGATCATGGTTTCAGGTGAACTGTCATGTCATAGGGGCTTAAGTAGCTTCTCCATTAGAAAAGTGACTACAGGATTATGAGACTGCTAATGGAAACTAGTTGTCACCTCACATGCTTTTCTGTCATCAGGCTACTGCATGACCCAAGCACCTCCCTCGAACAGCTTTCCCCTCCGTTGAAATATGCTCCTTTTCTCCACCCAAAGTCAGCCTACGGCTGACCTTTTTTCTGGACCTCAACAGCTTTGCAGATATTTCCAGCAGAAATACTGCCTTTCCCCCTAAAACAGCCTTTTAGAAAGGCTTCCTGGTTTTGTAACTTTATACATTTTTCCAAATTCCACTATGCAATTCCATGCTATATATTCATTTAGCAAATATTTATTAAGCACCTACTGTATGCCAGGTACTGTTTCTAGGCACTAGGAGTACAGCAGTGAACACAACAGGCAAAAAGTGCTGCCTTCATGAAATTTATATTTTTGATAAGGGATGTTAGAAATTCAAATAAATAAAAGGATCCTATGGTATGTTTGAAGGCAATAGATTCTAGGGAGGAAAATAAGGCAATATGGGGATTATCATGGACGGCAGGGTTGTAGTTGTGAATAGGATGGTCAGGGAACACCTCGTGAAAGGTCTGGAGGAGGAGCTGAGGAACTATGTAGGAAGCACTATGAGGGTGGGCCCTTGTCTTTCTAGCCCCGGAGACTGCATTATTATCTGCTAAATATTTACTGAGCATTAAGTTGATCTATATTTGTCTTCCTTCGGAGCATTACTTCATGACAGGGAGGAGGTACTAACACTGTACCTTCTTCCCGTAGTGTGTTTTACAGGGCTTGACCTGTTGACAGGAAGCACTCAGTAACGGCCAAATGCTTGACTCAGAGATAAAAATACCCAGAAAGGACTGTCAGAATAATAACACAGGCATAGTGGTTCCTCACACCGAATCCCCCACATTTGTGAATGTGTGTGAGGAGATAAATAGTACATGCTTAGAGAGATGTGGATTTCAAAGTAGTCACACAGATCACATTCAAGTATCCCCTGAGTTAAAATACCTGGTCCATAAGCCACTGTCAAAAGAAAGGTGCAGTGTTAGTAAAACAGTTCAGTGTGAGGAAAAGATTCTCGTGCCAGAGATCTCTACTGATCGGCCAGCCTGGCACATGCATGTCACTGAGAGAAATAAAGTCCAGGGACTTTAAAGCTGTGGGGCAAGACACAAATCAAGGTGAGGGGAATTGCAACCACGCTTCACCTGACACCCAGACCCTTCACAGATTTCATTTTCTTGTTCCCCTGACGCATCACAGAGGGAGGAAACCCAGCTCATCGGGCACTTCAGTTGCTTTTATTAAAAGGAAAGAATCTTTTAATATGTGGATGGAACTTCCTGCTTTTGGTAAATAGAACTGATTCATGGACAGGGCCAGTAAATAGTACCTTTGGAGAGGTAGGTAGGTATAAACACAAAACTAGAAAATAAAATCCCAAGACTCATGCTAGCTTTCTCATGTATAGACGGTTTCTCCTTTCTGAGTCTGTGATAAGAATCTCTTATGGATTCCTCGTGTGCTTAGCCTCATCTTTGTGTAAAAGTCTGCCGCATCCCAAATTATCACCAAGAATCCATCTTCCCGAAGATGAGACACCAGGAGCAACAGAGATTGGCTAAACAGGAGGTGTTTTGAATGAAATGCATGGTTTAATCACATTCTACTTTCAGAAAACTACTTCATTTAAGTCGGTGCTTGCCTGGGGTAATAATTTATGCTCCACACTTGAGTAATCACCAGGAAGATTGCTCGGTACCCATCCCATCACAAACATAGCCACCAGTATTCATGGCCTTAAGTCAACTTCTGGAAACTTTGGATCTAGATAATCTCAGCAAAATGCAGACCTCTGGATTTAGAGGTCCCCCGACTACCCCACCTTCATAGAGAAGAATTTCATTTCTCATGCTTTACATTAACATTTGGAAGTGAAGCGTGTCCTCTTTTCTCCTAATCAACATATTTTAAAAGACAGTACTCTTGAACATTAAAAATGCTCAGTTTTCTACGTACTATATATTTTGTCTCACAAAAATGGAAAACTACAGAATGTCAGCCAAAAAACCATTCATTTTTAAATTTGAATTTTTTTCACAAGATCTCCTTGGTTTCTTCTCTCCCCACGTTAGAACTTACCCACATTCATAAAGTGCATTTGAATTTGCATTTTTTTTTTCACCTTCTCTCTCTGCCCCAAGGAGGGTGGCCTCATGTGAGTGCTCAGGTTGCGTAGTGAACAAGGATGCCACCTCTAGGGGGTCATAGTATATGAATGTGAGTGGCCGCCTGCACTCCCCAGGTTCTGGATGTGGATGTGAGCAGGGGGAGTGGGGGCAGGTTCATTGGTGCAGGCAGCCTCCTGTAAGCTCTGGAAAGCAACCCAGGCAGAATAACCAGGCCTCACTGTATGGTTGTCCAAGTCCTGCACTGTTATACTAATGTAAACATCTTTTACCCATGGAAGGAATGCATTTTTTTTTTTTTTAATTCTCACAAAGTCATGTATGGACTGGCTGCTGTTCTGGTACCAACACAAGTCATAGAGAGAAATAGATAGTCTAACGGCGGCCAATTGTGATAACATTTTCCACCTGTCCCCAAATTTCTGCTGTATAAATTGTTTCTTTCTCCCGGCGTCCTCATCTGTCTTGATTTTCCTTCAGCTTTTCTCAGCCCTGAGCATGCCTTCTTTTTTCAGCAACCACTAAGGTTCACAGAATAGACTATGTTACTAAATTAACATAAAAGCTCTCTGTGTTTACTTAACTACTCAAATCACTTATCTTACCAGAAGCAACCCTGGGCTAACAGGGGAAGGACAGTGGCTAAGTTTTATTGCAACTCTAGGCTGTAGATGCACTAAACTCCTGTTAGCTATAACCCCTGTTATACATGAAGGGAAGATAATTGTCTCCCAAGTTTTCAGTTGAGAAGAAGCTCTCAAGCAGTCTTGCTTGACTAGATATTTAAGTTGGCTAGTCAGCTCGGTCAGAGTACATTCTAACAACCCAACACCTGTGACCCAGCATGCTGAGGGGCCCGGCAGATTCCTGACAGACTTGGCCCCTCCTCAGGCAGGCCTGGGGACTCCTGCTTTTAGAATGTAATTTTTCTTCACCTAACCTTTAAACTATTAGTTACCTCATCAATCCAGACCAAACTCAGTAGACATTTCACTAAAATGAATAGAGACAGAGAATATCACTTTCCTGATCCTGTTCAGCAATTTTCAAGCCGCCTTGGCCTCCTATTGGGAGCCTTCATGCTTGGTTTGTTTATGCTCTCAGAAGAATCAGTTTTGAGGTGTTTATTCCAGTGGTTAAATTTGACGAGGTGAAGAAAAGTCAAACTCTCCCCAATATTGCCTAGGAAGAGTCTAAAATAATTGGTACGTATTTCTTACATGTGAGGAAAGAAGAGAAGCTTCCATTTCTTTATAACAGCAGAGTTTTTCAGACTTCTTGGCCAGGGAAACTAAAAAACAAATTTGCTTTATCTTCAAAAATAAAGATGCTTATTTCTTCCTTAACATGCATAGCAGATATTATTTTGTAATGTAATTGCCCACTTAAATTTTTGTTTCATATTTCTTCATTCTCTTAACCAAGTCCCAGACATAATAGTTAAAATTAGTGGATCATCTTTCTGAAATTATACATTTTAATTATGATTATTTGATAAGCATTTCAGGCAAACTCGCCCATATATCACATAAAATCAGAAATAAGTGTGTATATCAATATCAGTTTAATCCCAAATGGAGGCTTTATTTAAACTATCGAGGACTTGATTACAGGAGCTTGGAGATTAGAAATGAGATTTACAATAGGCTAGAGGGAAATATTTAAATATCTTTGCTAGAGCAAATTATAGTCATTTTTAAAAAGGCTTACAATATGAGTGTACTGAGAATTTCCTCCAATGTATCCAGTTATTGAATTATGCTTCTTTCATAGTCACCTCTTCAACTTATTTAGAAAAACAGCTTACCCATAAGCAAGGAACATCTAGGTTCTATCATACAGCCAGCAAAGTAAGCTTTTCGTGGAAAATGTGAGTTCTACGTAATTTTCCATTTGAAATTTCCTGTAAAACCAAGGGTGGGAGCTTGTCTACTTCTTTTTGCTGTGCTACTAAAAGAACCAAGTACGTGTTATTTTTAAATATTTTGGGCTCCAAAGTGAGGCTCATGAGTTAACCATGGAGTTACTGAATAATTATTTCTGATACACTTATATCTGTCTTTCGAATTGAAGGATCTTCCATGTCTACAAGTGTATATTTGTTGAATGGATGAATTTAACTCAATAGAAATGGATTAAACATTCACTGTATATGAGGCCCTGTAAGGTGGTACAGGAGTTATGAAAGGAGGCAGAGCAGGTAAGGGGCTGGGATAGGCTCAAAAGGGAAAATGTGTTTAGATGAGGTGGTGTCACTTCTCTGGGAAAAGAACATTTAGATAGAGCTCTGAAGGAGGTAAGAAGGCATTGGAGTGGAGAAAGTGGATTCTAAGACAGAAAACAGCATCAGTAATAGTCTAAAGGTGAAGAGATGCTAGAGGTTTTAGGAAATGGAAGGGAAGTAAGTGTGACTACAGTTTAGTGAACAAGCAGGAAGGTGGCACGAGATAATTTGGAGAAAGAGATGGGCCACCAAGAGTCTTAACGGGGCTGGCAACTCTTTTGAGTTTTATGTACAATGGAAAGCATGCAAGTGCTTTTACGCAGCCCCGTGCACAGACTCCAAGTCTTCAGTTCTGCACTAGTTCTATCAGAGTAGTCTGAGAGCGAGCCTATCTGTTTCCCAGGAAGCTCCCCAAAATCTCATTTTAGGAACCCAAAATGAACACATACCTTAAAAAGGTGATATTTTTCTTTTCTGTTAGAATACATTAAACAATAACATTTCCCTGAATGAGTTCATCATATTCCTAGAGCTGGCTCAGAGTGTTTTGGGGTTTTACTGAACAGGACTGTCTGTCCTATGATGGGAATATTTGTTCCCTGTTATGCCTATGAGTTGGATGTTAGCCTGAGCTGGAAAGCTGGGTGGAGAGCTTCCCTGCCGTCTCGCTGGCACAGTTCTGGGTGTGCACAGAGCTGGCAGAACTGGAGAAATGCGCTTTAGTTTTAGTTTACATTCTCACCCATTGATACTATATCTATTGAAGGAGTGTTTTCCATATTGAGGTGCCGTATGAAAGTGTAAAACACCAGCATGTGCAGGAAGTGTGAACGTGGGCAGTGATTTTACTGTTGTTTTTAAAGATGCTCACATGACAAAGCAGGCAAGCTCAAAATTGTACCCATTCTCCCTGAATGCTATAGCAGTAAGCCCTTAACTCGCTTTGAAGGTGACAAAACTGCTAAATTTAGCTTTGAGTACACCAGTGATACTTAGAGACAGTGAGGGTTTTGGTTTTTTTTCTTTGATAGTTATCTGATGTGCATTACAGAAGTGGACTGGAATTACATTTTATTTATTTTATTTTTAGTGGAATTGAATTTAGTAAATTGACAGACCGAACACAAATAATCTGTGTACAATTTCTACTCTTTCGGATTGACTCCGAAGGAAAGTCAATATAATATAGGGATTTTGTTTCCATGACATCAGACTTCACACTAGCACATGGTAAACAATAACTACAGTACTAAATATAGGAATATGCCTGTATCAGAAGGGATTTTGATACAATCCTGTGGCTGAGATTGGTTTCATTGAAGGCAGAGACTGTGTCAATATAGAAAATGTTGTATATTTGATATTTTAAAAAAACAGCAAAAAAGTTATGCAATAAGAACCATCCATTCCCATAATGGAGAAAGGAAATACATCAGCAAAAGCTAGGCTAAGATGTAGCATATATGCCTCCACTTTAAAAGAATGTAAACTTGTATTGTAATATTTAGCAAATATAATTGTAATTAAAGTGGTTGTGCTTTAAAAACCAAAATTCCTTATTAGTTTTTTATTTTAGTTGACACACAATATTTTGTGCTACATTTTGGCAGATATGAATGCTGCTGTTTCAAGTGCAAGAAGAGTAACCTCCAGAACATATTATAAATTGGCTGGCCTCAGAATAGGGGGAGATGATTAGATTGTCGAGTTTCCTGCTGAGTGGTACATGCTTGTTTTGTAATACTGTTTTATGAGTCGGAGATTCAAACAGAACATGTAGGTCCAATTCAATACCTCAGCATTGTTGATCTGCTTTTTATTGATTTTTCATCTGTTCAAATCTAGAGTTCTTGGTAGGTTTCAAGGATATCATAGCAAAAGGTTGTAGTAAAAGAGTTTTAATTAGAAATGCATTGTTTTCACTAAAATATGGTGAGCTGTTTTGTTGCTTTTTGGCTTTGCTCTATCATATTCATGAAGTAGGATCTTTTTATCAAGAAAAAAGTTCTCTTTGTGCAAGGCAAAGTTAGAGTACTAAGAGGTTTATAGATTTTGTGTCTGAGCATCACTGAAGACAGTGACTTACCCTGTATTCGTTTCATGGGCAGGTAAACATTCTCATATTAAATAGGGAGACATGGTGCCTATATGTTTCGAACCCATTATCTGCCTGATCAATTTTTCATAGCTTTTCTGTTTTATATTACTAAATAATTACCTTATGACACTTGGAGAGAAAATTGCTAAGGATGTTTATGCCATTTGAAATTAGCATCTAAAACCCAGTTATATTTCCTTTTTTTCTTTCTTATCATTGCCTCTGTTAATTTTTCTTCAGGATCCATTGAACAGTATACAGTGACATTGTAAGAGGGTTGTACTTCCTCACCTCAGTGCCTTGTTAATGCCGTTCATTAATCTAGAACCTCGAGCTTGTTCAGAGATGGTTAGATATTCCATATTTCCATGGAGTTTTGGAGAAGGGTGACAGCTTACTTACAGCTTCTGCAACCAGACCTCGTTGGTTGTCATGTCATTTTTAATACTGATAAAATGGAAGGGCATGCACATGAACTTAGAGCCTTTGAAGGCAGGAAGAGAGGCACAGTGGCACACACAACATACACAGTCATTCCGTCACCCTGCACTGTGCTGGAACAAATCAAGTCCTTTTGTGTTTGTTTACCTCCCTGTTTGCTTTCTGTACCTGGCAGAGAATGAATTCATGTCCAGGAGCAAGCTCCTCTCCTAGAGAGCCTCAGATGCCGCTGCCAGTAGCACCACCAGGCCTGGCAGCCCTAAAGCGCATTTATTCTGAGAGACCAGTTAGAGCTGACCCAAAGGGCTGAACCCCTAGCCCACAAAGCAAAAATACAATTTTTCACTGCAGCAGCAGCAGCAGCAGCAACAGCAACGGCAGCATCTCCTTATCTGTTCAGTTTTTCTATCTTGTAACCTCAAAGCAGATTCCTCAACCCTACCATGATTTCAAATTTGAAACATAAACAATTTAGTAGCAAAACATCTGGGGACCTGGGTGAAAAGTTATTGTGAACAAACCTCCACAAGTAAAAGGAAGACAGCTACAAATAGAAAAGCCATTTTTGATATTTCCAAAGCCAGTCCTTTTGCTGCATTTCTTATGAGAGATGAACATTTAAAGTTTTTTTTTTTTCTCAAAGCCTAATAAGGGTTATGGAGAAGAGAAATAACTGACTCAGCGTTGTATTAGGGATTACACATAAAGCCAAGATTCAGACACAGTCTTCTAGATCTCAGAATAGGCCATTCTGGTCCTGCGTGGGTCAAGACTGTGTGAGGCCTCTGGATGGTGTTATCCAGTGGAAATTTGATGATGGAAACATTCTATTTTGCACAGTCTAAGATGGTAGGCACTAGCCGCCTGTGGCCGTGAGCACTAGGATTGTGGCTCATGCAACTGAGGAGCTGAATTTTAGATGTTCTTTAATTATAATTAATTTGAAGAGGCAAATATGGTTGGTAGCTACCATATTAGCTCTAGTATCATAATCACAAAACTTTTAAACCTTTAAATAAGTATACTGAGTTGTTTGGTTCACCTTCAGAGGATAAAATATTTTGTATTAGAAAGTACAGTAATATGTTACTCTGCACTATAATACTTTATTCTACTTAAGCCTGTAAGCATTGCTTGTGGGAGTAAATGGCTAAGCGTATTAATTGATAAGTCAGAAGTAATGGCAGTATTTGCATATTATCATATATGGCTGAAAGTGCTTGTGAGTGTGTGTATGTGTGTTTTAATTATCTCTGCTGAAATGTACACATAGCCAAATGTATGGTATGTGCAGACAAACATCCAAATTGTTGACCGAATTCTTTTTCACCCAGATTTATTGAAATTGGGTAAGCCATTCACTCTTTTGTACCAAAACTACTGAAATTGGGTCAATGAGGCTACAGTTTGAGTTTTTCTTGAGGTTATGTCAAGATAGTCCTATAATCAAAGTGCTATGCAAACATTCAGAGATGTTCACAGGCAGGGTGATAATCTCACTCACTTAGGGATCTATGCTGCCTTCAATACAGATGTGTAACCCCATTAACATTAATAAGACTTACGCTCACATATCGATGGAGAGTAAATCCCTAATTAGCAGTGAGAACTGTTAACACCCCCACTGTGGTAATACCTCTGAAAGATTTTCATGTTGCTGTGATAATAGGCACATCTGTAAAAAAAAGAATATTTTAAACAATGTGGAAGTTGACACACAATCAAGCCTGAGACTTATATACCTGTAACTGTCACAGGTAACATGCTTTTACTAAGGGAGTCTGGGCCTGAATCTGATAACAGCAGGCAGAGGAAGAGATTATTCTTTGCATTTACTTAGGAGGACATGAATGTTTCTCTCATGCAAAGAGGAGAATCGCTTGCTCTTTCTCCTACCCAGGATGGTAATTATTCTGCAAAGATGTGTAGAAGATTTCATCAAAGGACTAGTATTCAAAGCAGTGGCCTTTCATCCCATTTAGAATGTAATATGTAAATAGGATACACATTGGACATGGTTTGGCTCCTCTTGGTAACGGAAAGGACATGGATTGAAGCAAGGAGCTTCCCATCCACAGCGATGTGTTATTGATGAGCTGGCATTTGCCCTGTGGCCCTCCCAGAGGATTGCTTACATCTATTACTCACACACATCGATTGGTTAATTTGATAATTCTATCACCAATCAGCTGGTGTCTGACCTTTCACCATGGCAATGATGGCAGGCTCTTCATTTTTACATTGCAGACCTGTTAGATTGACCTTTTTGAGGAGAATGTCAAGGCATCCCTTGATCTTAACCTGTCACTATATTTGTTAGAACTACACTGTCCCTTAACCTCGATTTATGGTATTTCAGCACTCAGGATATGCATTTTGTTTATTTTAAAAATTCCCGGTAAGGTATGTTGACCTGATGAGGGGAGTTTTACAATTAAAGTTACATTCTCACTGCGTGAGCTTTGTGCGCAAAAACCATCTGGTTCTCTGTTTCTCCTTTCATTTGACAAGCCAGTTTATACTTCCCAGAAAACTTCTCATCATCATTTTGGTGGCAAATTAAAATGCAAGGTGGTTTTTATGGTATTTTGTGCATTTGCTTTCTTTTGCTCTCTCACACATTGATAAAACTGAAAAACCCCTTTAAATACTTTCTGACAATCGGGGGAAGATATTATGGTAAAGTTCTGTTTGCTCTCTTAGTCTTTTTTTTTTTTTTCACACTCCTAATTTATACTCTTGCCAGAGGGAAGAAATTGTCTTGTCTCTGTGCTGCTCCTCTGGGAGCAATACAAGGGCATCGCTTTGTGACTCTGAAACCATAGATTTGCTCTTCAGTTCAACGACAGGCAGAATGAAAGGAACTTTCTCACCGATCTTCCTGTGTGTGTTTGTGTACCCACATGTTGTGTACATGAGGACACATGGATGTGTGTTAAGGCGTGCCCCATGTTACCTCAGCCCGCTGTGAGAGGCAAGCAAAGAGATGGTGTGTAATTAAGGCTCTGTGGTTATCTAGCTGAAAATAGAGGGAGGGGCTAGCCCCTTTGCTTCCCTGTGACTAAAAACCAGCCAAACCAATTTCACTAAAATTTAGTAAAATAAAAACTGTGCTCCCAGGATGAGAAGTCGCATGCCAAATTTCAGCCTGAAGCGAATTTAAATGGCTGAGTTATAAACCTTTCATAAAGGATGTTTTGTCACTCACTAAAGATAAAAAGGCTCCTTTTTTGAAAAGGAAATTATCTAGGCACATAGTCTTTAGCGGGGATTGTTGCCATTTATTTAAAGAAAACACAATTTTAAATGACTGGGTTTTTGAGGACTGAAAGCAGCAACTGTGTCTGAGCAGTAATTATGTTTCATAATTTTGTTTAGCAAGTATTACATATTATATGAATAGCATCATCGTAAAAATGATTAGCATTCATACTATGCAAAATTCTGCATATTAAGAGCTCCACAGTAGTGTCCTACATACAATACATTGTAATGGCTCCAAATTATATTGTGTCAGCTGAGCTCTCTGTTTCTCCAGCGTGCCCTGGAGCCCAGCTCGGTGCCAGGGCTCAGAAGAGACCTCAGTTTCACATCAAGCACTAGGAGAACAAACACTTCCAAAACAGCTTTAGAGAAACATTTAAAGTTGAAGCAACAGTTTCATCAAGGATGCTTGTGTTATTTTATGTGTTCTGCAAGCATAGAAAAACACCTGTTAGCCCCGCTGTGTCCATTTTTTTAATGTGCATGCAGTGTCGCTGTGTGAAACCAAAGGAGAAGGCTACGCCTTCCACAAATGATCCCTTGGGCATGATGGGACGTACTGACTGTGAGGTTTCTGTCTTAGATCTTGTGTTTGGAACCTCAGTGTCTCAAAACAAGTTGCTTCCCAATTTGGGGACCAGGCTGTGAAGTGAGACTAGTGACGTTTCAGCTGGGGAAATGTCAGACCTGGATCTACAGGGACCCAGACTCTGAGAGAGACTTGTTCTAAGAGATGTAAAGTTTCAAAGGTCAGAAATATATTTCTGCCATAAAAGCTG
The DNA here is from genome assembly GCF_000001405.40 of Homo sapiens. Lineage (NCBI taxonomy): Eukaryota > Metazoa > Chordata > Mammalia > Primates > Hominidae > Homo > Homo sapiens. Next base: position 33,494,663 of record NC_000014.9, read on the forward strand.
TTTTTATTGCTATTACTGTTGTTTAAACCATAGGTATATATTTCTGTTTCCCTAATTTGTTTTCTTTTTACAGTCAACAACATTCCTTACAAAGTCTAAAATTAATAGGAGAAATAAAAAAATATATGTCACTGCCCTTCCTCATGGATTTCTTATGAAACTGTAGCTTCATGGTCAGAGTACCTCAGAAAAGACAAAAACAGAAGGGAGTTTAAGGAAGGCGCCTAATAATTTGTTGCACAGCAATCACTGAGCCATGCACAACCCGCAGAGTCTCAGTTGGGATTTTTCTTTAAGACATGCAGTACCTCCTTCAGTTCTGCTCTGATCTTAGTTATTTCTTGTCTTCTGCTAGCTTTTGAATTTGTTTGCTCTTGCTTCTCTAGTTCTTTTCATTGTGGTGTTAGGGCATCGATTTTAGATCTTTCCTGCTTTGTCCTGTGGGCATTTGGTGCTATAAATTTCCCTCTAAATACTGCTTTAGCTGTATCCCAGAGATTCTGGTACATTGTGTCTTTGTTCTCACTGGTTTCAAAGAACTTCTTTATTTCTGCCTTAATTTCATTATTTACCCAGTAAAGGAGCAGGAGCAGGTTGTTCAGTTTTCCGTGTAGTTGTGCGGTTTTGAATGAGTTTCTTAATCCTGAGTTCTAATTTGATTGCACTGTGGTCTGAGAGACTGTTATGATTTCCATTCATTTGCGTTTGCTGAAGAGTGTTTTAGTTCCAATTATGTGGTCAATTTTAGAGTAACTGTGATGTGATGCTGAGAAGAATGTATATTCTCTTGATTTGTGGTGGAGAGTTCTGTAGATGTCTACTAGATCCTCTTGGTCCAGAGCTGAGTTCAAGTCTTGAATATCCTTGTTAATTTTCTGACTCATTGATCTGTCTAAAATTGACAGTGGGGTGTTAAATTCTCCCACTATTATTGCGTGGGAGTCTAAGTCTCATTGTAGGTCTTTAAGAACTTGCTTTATGAATCTGGGTACTACTGTGTTAGGTGCATATATATTTAGGATAGTTAGCTCTTCTTGTTGTGTTGATCCCTTTACCATTATGTAATGCCCTTCTTTGTCTTTTTTTTAATCTTTGTTTGTTTAACGTCTGTTTTATCAGAGACTAGGATTGCAACCTCTACTTTATTTTGCTTTCCATTTGCTTGGTAAATATTCCTCCGTCACTTTATTTTGAGCCTAGAAGGAGACAGAGACCCAAAAATCCCTTCAAAAAAATCAATGAATCCAGGAGCTGGTTTTTTGAAAAGATTAACAAAATAGATAGACTGCTAGCCAGACTAATAAAGAAGAAAAGAAAGGAGAATCAAATAGACACAATAAAAAATGATAACGGGGAATATCACCACTAATCCCACAGAAATACAAACTACCATCAGAAAATAAACACCTCTATGCAAATAAACTAGAAAATCTAGAAGAAATGTATAGATTCCTGGACACATACACCCTCCCAAGACTGAATCAGGAAGAAATCGAATCCCTGAATAGACCGATAACAAGTTTTGAAATTGAGGCAGTAATTAATAGCCTACCAACCAAAAAAAGTCCAGGACCGGATGGATTCACAGCCAAATTCTACCAGAGGTACAAAGAGGAGCTGGTACCATTCCTTCTGAAACTATTCCAATCAATAGAAAAAGAGGGACTCCACCCTAACTCATTTTATGAGGCCAGCATCAGCCTGATACCAAAGCCTGGCAGAGACACAACAAAAAAAGAAAATTTCAGGCCAAAAATATCCCTGATGAACATCAATGCAAAAATCTCAATAAAATACTGGCAAACCGAATACAGCAGCACATCAAAAAGCTTATCCACCACAATCAAGTCGGCTTCATCCCTGGGATGCAAGGCTGGTTCAACATACTCAAATAAATAAACGTAATCCATCACATAAACATAACCAGTGACAAAAACCACATGATTATCTCAATAGATGCAGAAAAGGCCTTCGATAAAATTCAACACCCTTCATGCTAAAAACTCTCAATAAACTAGGTTTTGATGGAATGTATCTCAAAATAATAAGAGCTATTGATGACAAACTGACAGCCAGTATCATGCTGAATGGGCAAAAGCTGGAAGCATTCCCTTAGAAAATTGGCACAAGACAAGGATGCCCTCTCTCACCACTCCTATTCAACATAGTATTGGAAGTTCTGGCCAGGGCAGTCAGGCAAGAGAAAGAAAGAAAGTTTATTCCAATAGGAAGAGAGGAAGTCAAATTGTCTGTTTACAGATGACATGATTGTATAGTTAGAAAACCCCATCATCTCAGCCCAAAATCTCCCTAAACTGATAAGCAACTTCAGCAAAGTCTCAGGATACAAAATCAATGTGCAAAAATCACAAGCATTCCTATTCACCAATAACAGACAAACAGAGAGCCAAATCATGAGTGAACTCCCATTCACAATTGCTACAAAGAGAATAAAATAGCTAGGAATACAACTTACAAGGGATGTGAAGGACCTCTTCAAGGAGAACTACAAACCACCGTTCAACAAAGTAAGAGAGGAAACAAACAAATGGAAAAACATTCCATGCTCGTGGATAGGAAGAATCAATATCATGAAAATGGCCATACTGCCCAAAGTAATTTATAGATTCAGTGCTATCCCCATCAAGCTACCATTTTCTTTCCTCACAGAACTAGAAAAAACTACTTTAAATTTCATATGGAGCCAAAAAAGGGCCCATATAGCTAAGACAATCCTAAGCAAAAAGAACAAAGCTGGAGGCATCATGCTACCTGACTTCAAACTATACTACAAGGCTACAGTAACCAAAACGGCATGGTACTGGTACCAAAAAAGATATATAGACCAATGGAACAGAACAGACGCCTCAGAAATAATACCACACATCTACAACCATCTGATCTTTGACAAACCAGACAAAAACAAGCATGAGGAAAGGATTACCTATATAACAAATGGTGTTGAGAAAACTGGCTAGCCATATGCAGAAAACTGAAACTGGACCCCTTCCTTACACTTTATACAAAAATTAACTCAAGATGGTTTAAAGACTTAAATGTAAGACCTAAAATCATAAAAACCCTAGAAGAAAACCTAGGCAATACCATTCAAGACATAGGCATGGGCAGACTTCATGACTAAATCACCAAAAGCAATGGCAACAAAAGCCAAAATTGACAAATGGGATCTAATTAAACTAAAGAGCTCTACACAGCAAACAAAACGACCGTCAGAGTGAACAGGCAACCTACAGAATGGGAGAAAATTTTTGCAATCTATCCATCTGACAAAGGGCTAATATCCAGATTCTATAAGGAATTTAAACAAATTTACAAGAAAAAAACAACCCCATCAAAAAGTAGGCAAAGGATATGAACAGACACTTCTCAAAACAAGACTTTTATGTGGCCAACAAACATATGAAAAAAAGCTCATCATCACTGGTCATTAGAGAAATGCAAGTCAAAACTGCTATGAGATGCTATCTCCCACCATTTAGAATGGTGATCATTAAAAAGTCAGCAGACAACAGATGCTGGAGAGGATGTGGAGAAATAGGAATGCTTTTACACTGTTGGTGGGAGTGTAAATTAGTTCCACCATTGTGGAAGACAGTGTGGCGATTCTTCAAGGACCTAGAACCAGAAATACAATTTGAGCCAGCAATCCCATTACTGGGTATATACCCAAAGGCTTATAAATCATTCTGCTATAAAGACACATGCACACATATGTTTACTGCAGCACTATTCACAATAGCAAAGTCTTGGAACCAACCCAAATGCCCATCAATGATAGACTGGATAAAGAAAATGTGGCACATATACACCGTGGAGTACTATGCAGCCATAAAAAGGATGAGTTCATGTCCTTTGCAGGGACATGGATGAAGCTGGAAACCATCACTCTCAGCAAACTAACACAGGAACAAAAAACCAAACACCGCATGTTCTCACTCGTAAGTGGGAGTTGAACAATGGGAACACATGGACACAGAGGGGAACATCACATACTGTGGCCTGTTGGGGGATGGGGGGGCTAGGGAAGGGGTTAGGAGAAATACCTAATGTAGATGATGGGTTGATGGGTGCAGCAAAGCACCATGGCATGTGTATACCTATGTAACAAACTTGCATGTTCCGCACACGTATCCCAGAACTTAAAGTATAATTTTAAAAAAAGAAAGACATGCAGTACCACATAAGGAAGGTTTATTTTTAAAATCTGGGGATGGGCAGTTTTAAATGAATGAGAGAGAGAGACAGAGAGAGAGTGTGTGTGTGTGTGTGTGTGTGTGTGTGTGTGTGTGTGTGTGTGTGTGTGTGTGGTGGGAAGGGGGGTGTATAGACCTATAGATGAAAGAGACGGCTGTAATGGGTAAAAGAAAGTTGTGTGATTACACAGGAAAAAATTTCTTTTAAGCACAAGTCATTAACACTGTAGGAAAAGCCCTGAAACAAGTGACTATAAATTAGTTAAAACTTAGTTAGAAATTTAATTTTTCCAAAAAATATTATCGAAAAGAGCACCATGTTCAGGCTTGATTCCTTTCCAGAATCAGACCTCAGAGACTGTTGGGAACCTTTTGGTTTAATGTTATAAATGAATCCCTAGGAAAATAAAATATTAAATTTGTAAGCTGTTAGTACCCTATCTTCCTTTTGTGAATGCCCTTCAAATCCTAGAGGATAAATTTCAAGATTTAAACCCTTTTTTAAAACAAATAGAAAGAACGTAAAATGAGTCTAGATCCCTATTTTCCCACAGTGCTTAAAGATATCATTTCCTTAGAAATGATATCTTGGCAAAAGAAAGTATAAGTATACTTTATACTTTCTTCAGCCAACTGATGAAAGACAGCAAAATATTCTGAGATCACTTGTAAGCTCCAGCACACCTCAAGGTCTGGGAAATCCTCCATAACCCTGTGCCTAACTACCACATGAAGCTACATCAGCATGTTTTTGATCTGGGTGTGCCTCCCAACTTGCTTAAATCTAGCATTTGCCCATGGGACAATTATAATAGAAACCTTCTAATTGGTTACTGATGATGCCCAGCCCTCTGATATTAGTAACAATATTTGCAGGCTGAACAGCGCCCCACACACTGAAACCTGCTGATGCTCCTGTTGTATGGATGCTTTCTTTCTCATTTTTCTTGCTTTCCCGCTATTTCCAACTGTTTATCTCTGGCAGCCTTCTCGCAGTGAGGCACAGGAAAAAGAATGCCTGGTCTGTGTTTCTTTTTCTCCTCTGCGCAACTCCAGTCTTTGTTTTGTTTCTGTCTTGTGGAGTCTGAACGGAAGAAAATAAAGGAATCAAGGGTTCATTGCATTTCTCTTACGTTCTCCCCATTGTTACTGCCCTTCCTCACTGATTTCTTATGAAACGGTAGCTTTAGGGTCAGAGTACCCTAGAGAAGACAAAAACGGAAGGGAGTTTGAGGAAGGCACCTAACCATTTGGTGTCCAGCAATCACTGAGCCATATACAACCAATCAAACCCACAGAGTCTCTGTTGGGATTTTTCTTTAAGAAATGCAATACCACGTAAAGGGAGGTTTATTTTTTTGAAGCTAGGAAGGGCGGGGTTGGGAGTTTAAGAATCCCAAGAAGTGGCATTTTTAGTTTGAAGCTGGAGTTCTCTGAAGGTAAAGCTACATGAATTTCTCTCTGGGGTGTCTTTCAAAGTAGGTTTATATGCTCCGAGGAAAAGATAAGGGGAACAAGGAAGTCCCTTAGCCTGATTTCCCAAGTCCGATCAGTGCAGCGGAACCATCTAGAAGGCTGCTACAGATGAATCGGGTGTGGTTTTTAAGTAACATGAAGATGACCCAAATGATCTGGACCAGCAGAAGGCACTTTTTCCGGGACCAAGTTGTTGTTATTGTTGTTCTTTCCATCAAGAAAAGAGTTACCAGAGGAGAATACGGCCTCATTCACAGAAATACTATGCAAACTTCTTTAGATATGATTCTTGTCTGGCTTGGATGTTTGTTACATCAGCTTTAAAAAACAAAACAAAACAAAACCTCTTCAGTTGTGGGCTCTCACTTTCTGAGGCAAATCCCTGTCAGGCAGGGTAACCATAAGCAGAATTTGTTGTTTTTGGTAGAATATGATCTCCAAACATGTTTTAAGTGCAATCCAAACTAGATTTAAATGTCACCGATGAAAAGAGAAAAGCCAGCAGTCCGTTGTAAGAGCTGGTGGGTCATCACTGGCCTCTTGGCCCAAAGAATATTCAACACAGAAAAATTCCACAAGATGGGAATAGGCTTCCTTGCTAATTAGGAACAACTTATAAAATAAAAACCTTAGAAAATGTTTATTTAAAAAATATTCATACTTAGGATGTTGTCTTTCTCTTTGATTTACATCAAGAGAAATTATTTTTTGTGATTCTAATAATGTTAGCTACCAGAAGTCATATCAATATATTTCCTTGAAAATAAATCCTTACAGAAATGATATAAATTAGAGTGTGTGTGCTAAACATATCCCATCTCTCCATCCATTCTATTAGGCACTATTTTAATGAAGGTTTTCTTTACGCAGGAAAACAAAAAGTAAAACAGAGTATATCTGAAGATTAAAGTCAATAATAAAAGGAGCAATACCCTCTTTATGGTGGTAGCCTGCACAGCTCAGTAATAGGTATTTTGCATAATCTATAAATAGTTTGATTTATTGTCTATTGGGGCAGTAGTATTAAAAGGTGGATTTGAAATCCAAATCTGTTATTCTCCTTAATGTTTAACATTTACTTTAAAAATTTATTTTTATGTAATAATATATTCTACTAAATATTGGCCACTCTCCTTCACAACAATAATACACAACAAAGTAACATGTTGCAACCTTCCTGTTACCCTCTCTGCTTTCTCTCATCAGATATTTTGAATAGAATCTTTCAGATTCCTATTTCTTGTTTTATATTAGTCTCCCTTCTAGAATCTGGATTTGTTTTTTTTTTTTTTACCTTCAAAAACGGCTCCTGTGTCTAGATTTCAGGTTCATGACTAGGGTGTTAACAGTCCTGAGCTGCTTCTGAACCTTAGCAGCAGGTATAGCCTGCAGCAGCTCAGGGAAGAAAGGCTCTCCTAAGACCTCCTTTAAGAGATCTGATGTTGATTTCTAATTTCTGTGTTGGACTTTCATGTGCTAGGTGTCACAGTCTCAGGAAGTTGTATGTCACAAAACAAAGAGATAACTGCGTTGGGAACTTTCTCTGGAGCACATTTATACGTTAAGATAAAAAGTGAATCATTATTCAGGGAAAGGACCCTGTGAGTAAACCCTCTAATGAGCTCAAGTATCATTATTTCATCTAATTCATCCAATTGCTCCCCATCCAAAAATTAATTTCAAGCCTTGAGGGTAATACAGGAAAATAAAATATTATTTATGGGTTCCCAAATCTATAGCAGCATTAAAAATGATCTTTGTACTTATTTTAACACCCCAGGTAGAATACACTGAAAGTCTGCTAAATTAAAAGCAAATGGCAGCTGGGGTTAGTGAAAACAGTGGGGTGATTTATGAAAAGCACCTCTTTTTTTCTGTTTCTAGCTCTAATTTAAGTGCATTTTCTATGGCTCTCCCCCATTTTTTTTTTAACACTTTGGCTTTTTCCTCCCCTTTTCTTCTCTCCTCCCAGTGGAGAAGGATCCTTCTATGCTGCTAGCGCCCTGGCATTTACATCTAGCTTCTTACCCATCATCCTCATTGCTGTTAGCCAAAGATGAGCTCCTGTGCTGCTCTTCGTTGGGGAGAGCCCTGTCCTGACCCGACTTCTGCTCTCTGTTCACTTGTGAAGTAGTCTTAGTTGTATCTTTGACTTCGTGTGTTTTCTTTCTCTGCCCAAAATAAAATGATTGCAAAGCCAAATTCTGTTCTTACTTTCTAGAGAACTTCCTCCAAATAGGTTCGTTTCTACACCTCTGCTTACCCCTGTTATGAAGTAGTATTTTTGTTTTTCTTCTTCAACGTAATCTTCTCCATCTCTTCTCTTTACTGCTGCTGCGCCATCTCCAAGCCTCTTTCCTTAAATCTTCAGAATATCATGTGCTAAAACCTTCTCCTAGTTTCCTTCTCTTCTGTCTTACAGTCTATCCTAATAACTTACTGCAAGCTGTCCCCCACCCATAAAAGCTGCTTCTATTTCTTACCAATCCGTCTCTGCACTGCAGATTGAGTCACTATGTTTTGGGTCTTGCTTGAAGTAAGAACATTTCATTCAGTGATTTATGGAAACTTGCAGATCTAGAATATCTAACACACTCCAAACTCAGCCACTCACACAGCAACTATACCATCTATACTCTACTCTCCTTGTTGCCTTTTCTTCATGAGTATAGTTCAAGCAGTTACTTCAAAAAATGGCATGTATTAAGTTCTCTCGAGATTTATTCTTTGTTAAATTTCTACAGTAATCAGAATATAACCAGGAATACACATAAAATGATGGCAGAAAAAAATATCAATGCAAAAACCAAAAGTAATTGCCTTTGTCTTCTTAAATAGATAAGTGAGACATTAACTGGAATATATAACAATATCAACAATTATAGTAGTAGCTGCTACTCCACACTATGTAATACTCTAATATTAGTCATATATTCTAAATGGCTTGAGTTCCCATGCCAGTTGAACCACTTACTAACTCAGAGGCAAAATACTTATAATGACTATAATAATGTTCATGCCATTGAATGGTTTTAGGGACGAAGATAATGTATGAAAACATGTTTACATGTGGTAGTTGCTCAGTAAGTGATCAGAAAAGAAAATAGCAAGACCGTAATTGGTGAAACCGAGTGATACCTTTGGATTCCACAGCGCCAGTGTGCTTTATATAATCCAGTTAACACAGAGCTTCTCCAGGCCATATTGTGCTATTTCTTGCTTCTTTCAAAAAAAAAATGGCACGGCAATGGGGCAAAGCCTTATATTCTCATATATAGTTTATTGAGCCTCATTAAAAATGTAATTCATTAAAAACTGCATGTTCTAGAGAGCTTGATGAGAAGAAATATGACTTGATACTTGGGGAAAATCCAGCCCCTGCCAGAACAGATGAAGGGAAAGCTGAAGGAAGAAAATTACTCCCAACCGAATCTTTTTCCTACATTGCTTTGTTTATCCTTTTACTCTACATTTCATTTTTCCCTTTAGGGGGAGAATTTATTTAGTGTACAAGGAAACATTCGTAACTCAATAGTAAAGAATTAATTGCTCTGCTAAAAGCTAATTGGTAGAAAGAATAACTAAATATTTTTAGAAAAGGTCCTATGTACAACAACCTTATCTAGACGTTATGTTATCTAGACATTATTCCAAGTGTTGTAAAAATTAGTATCAGTGCAAAACTACAATTACTGACACCCACCGCACATAGGGTGTTGGCCATTGCTTCCAGAATTTTCCACACATTAAGTATAGAAAAGCTTAGAGACCTAATACTTCAAGTCTAATCTTTTTAGCAGAGAGACTTACCAGTGGATCTCAAGTTCCATGCTTCATCATACATGAGGACCCAATTATATGTAGCATGGACTGAGCAGGCTACCATCTTGAATTCCTCTGTGAGCTGACTTACATTGCCAGGCCTTTTTTTCTTATGTTGTGTGTTACTGTGCTTAGCAGAAGGTTTTATATTGCATGTGCTTTGAGGACTTCACAAATACCATAGAATATGTAATGCGTTTACAAAACTACCAACAATAAAAGCTGGCATGAGCTTTAAGAAATGTGATTCCCAAGACTTTTATATTTCTAATCATATGCAGAACAAACTGGTTTTAGCTTCCTTGGCATATGGGATGGAAATTCTCTAACAGTCCCTTTGTAGCATTTCAAATTGGCTGGCCATTTTAAAAGGTAACAGCCCTTTTGCAGTAGAATTAAATGAATTAAATTGTTAAACTTAAGTAGAAGATTTTATGAATTGATGTATTTTTCTTCAGTTCCCTATTCAGAGTTGCATCTTTAAGGGCTGGTTTAAGCAAATATTTATTCAGCACCTACTATGTGTTGGCAATTCTTCTGGCTGTCAGGGAAACGGTGCAAAATAAACACAGTCCCTGCTATGGTGATGTTTTGAGACTTTGGGGAAGTTACAGACAAGTAAATTGGCAATTACAATTACTGCTATGATAGCAGAAGACCAGCATGCTATGGGATTCTACGTGAGGAACACCCAGTAACCCAGACTTGGAAGACAGCTGAGAACTACGGAGACAGATAGGAATTAGGCAAAAGAAATGGGGAGAGAAAATGCTTCAAATGAATGGGAGAACATATGGAAAGACCGGCCAATAATTTATGTCTCTCTCAAGTAAATTGAATGAGTATTTTAGACAAATATTTGCTTCAGTACTTTAAATAAAAATTGTGGAAGTTTGGCAAGGTTAACAAGTTAATACACACAGCAGTTATTTAGGTATATATCATGGTCAGAGCATTCTCAGTATTTTTGGCAAAAGTTTGTTAATAACAAGAATACATATCAGCCAGCAAAATATTGACTATAGAGATTTAATATTTATTAACAGCTAAGAACTTATCTTATAATTTCAATTGGCAGCTCAAGATAAATATTATAGCCACATAATAGGTCCACAATTGATGGCAGTTGAATTTTTAATGGAAGAAAGTGGAGAAAAGTTGTACACTCTCTAGGGGAAAAAAATCAAGTTTCTTCATTCCAACTTTAGCAATTTCTGTTTTGATACCCTACAGACATGTTCCTTCGAAAGTTTTGAAGAAAGCCCACTTGCTGGAAATTCACATGAGCTGAAATAACATATGAGTTATTAAAAGGTCTTTCAGCAGAACTGGGATTAATTTCCATATCCCTCAGGAGCCCATCTGCACTCCCTTATCACACAAATGGAATTTTGGTATATGGGTTAAAAATTACTTACCAAAAATTAAATTAAAAATAACTGAGCCATAGTCAAATCAGCAAGCTGTATTTGTCTTATTTGTTTATTTATTCAAAACCGGAAAAAAAGAACAGAACTTTCCAAATTAGGGAAATTATTTCGTATCACCATCATGTCAAAGATACACAGTTGAACACCAATAGGCAGTTGCATTCAAATGCCCTGATGTCCATTGGCCTTCAAGATTCTTCCTGATTGGCCTCCATCTCCCCTCTTCCCAGGCTGCTTCTCTGACTTCACTTCCCACCACCCTCTCCCTTGTCTGCCCTCCTCTGGCTCACTGACCTTGTTGGAATATGCCAAGCTCACTCTTCTTCAGGACTTTTACATCGCCTTTCTTTCTGTCAGAAGTACTTCCTCCAGCCCCATATCCACGCGTTCTTTCTTCGAGTCCTCAAATGACATAAGACTCCCTTCCTCTCAGTATAAACAAGCAACACTCTATCTTATCCTGCTATGCCACCCTGCCACTCCCTATCCTCCTCCTTACCCCGCTTTATTTTTCACCATTTCCCATAGTGCCAGCCAAAATACTATACATTTATTTACTTGTTCGTCATCTGTCTCTTCAAACACAATACGGGCTTTATAAGCAAGGATATTTGCCTGTGTTATTTATTGCTCAATAAACAATCTTAGAACAGAGCCTGGCATATAGTAAGTGCTCAGTAAATATTTGTTAAATGAATAAAAGCTTAACTACAGAAGCAGGAGGTATCTTTCCTTAAAGGTATATAAATATATGACTTTCTGCAATTTGCAATGCTGCCCATATATAAGTGAAAGATACTATCCAAGTGATTAAATGGAAGGATTAAAAGGAGACTCCTTCCTTGTATCTCATATTTACATGTATTGTTGTTTTCATTTTTTGTTTGTTTTTACATTGTCAAATGCTCTCCACTAAATGGTAACAAATTATATGCTGGTTACAACATCACAGTCTGACATTTTTCCATCCAAACCATCTTCTACGAAATAAATCCACAAATTTTGTATTGATATGATTATAAGAGATCTTTGTAGACAATGTTAGTGTATGGTAGACAGCCAGAAGCCATAGGCTATGATCCAGTTAACTCTTTATTGTGATTATCATAAGCATTAAATATTTATTGACTATCTTGTTGTGCATATCACAAGGGAATAAAAATTCAGGTCTAGGTAGATTACTGTGTAGGAAGACAGTCTCCCCCCTAATTCCCCACACTTGAAGTAGGAATTTGTATGTTTTCTATTTATTTTTCTCCGTACTGCTGAAGGTCTTATTTCACTCCTTCTTGACTTTTAAAATTTCCTCCTATTCAATTGTAAACTTTTGAATCATTGAACATTTTGAATCCAACTATTAGCTTTTAAGTTTTAATCAGGCCAAAGGAGATCAACAATAAACTCAGATTGGAAAAAAAAAAATTGTATTGCTCCATGAGGAGTGACGTAAAAGAGCCATCTCTACTTCAACACATGAAATGTTGTGGGTGATGGACTATGATGTTCATTTTGTAGAATGTAATGAGCATGTGGAGTTTGTCACACCCCAACCCAAAGATCTAAGGATATTTCTGATATATTTGGGATGTTAGCCCAAGTAGAGAACGTAAGGATAGAATGCAGTTTTTTGGTTACCGGAGAGAAGTTAATGGAGGAGAAATGTCTCGTCTCAGAATTTGCTGCTGTTTTCCTTTATGTTTCTAGTAATATCTATTTGTGATCAAATAGAAATAGAAATAAATACCTTAGACTGCCATCTTGTGCAGGAAGTAAAACAGCAGGACATTCAAGTAAAAAAGAGTTTTATGTCTGTTTATTTGTGGCCTTTGAAACCTGCTTGATCTTTTCAGTCTTTTTGATCCTGAAGATGTTTGCCCACACCCTCCTTGTATTTTGTTCTCTGAATTGTTCATTGTTGTTCTTTCCCAAGCATAGTAAGGTTATTCTTTTTATTATATAACTAGTAGAAAGAGGCTTTGAAAATTTTCATTTTCAAATGGAATTCCAATTCAGTTTTAGCCTACTGTTCTCCCTCATTCTGAAATGTGCCCTGACCATGGAACATGGAATTTCTATCTAATTTTACAGAATTCAAATTATCGAGTTCTGTTTGCAAAACATTCTTGCTAAATTTCTTTGTCTAATAAATATCAAGAGTTAATTTTTCTCTGACAATGCTGTTCTCTTTTACTTCTGGTTTGGAGTCTGTGTTTTTGTACTTTCTCTTTGCTTGTTCATGGTACACACACATAAGCACTTTCTGGTTTTGATGTGCGATTAGTTTCCATCTTTAATGTGGATGTGGGTATATGTGGGTGTGTCTCTGTCATTTTTTTAAGACTAAGCCTCTCCTTCCTACTCCCCCTACCCTCATCAAGACGCTGAGAGGCTCAAGTTGCTGCCAAGGGACTCTTCCATGAGAGCACTCAACTTGCCATGGAAAAGTTTGCTAAGGTGCCATTCAATCTCCTAGTCTCCATAGCAAATAATATTGCCATTGTTTCTCCAGGAAAAAGCAGCCCGCATTCAGGTTTCCATGTTTCCTATGTTATGGCAAAACCAGCAGAGAAACCTTCCCAGTCAAAGCAGAATAAAATTTACAAGCAGTTTGCTTGGGCAAAGGAGCCAACTGCACACACACTGCTTGCTGTTTAATTCAGAACAAAATCATATCTGTTCTTATAATTACGTGACAAATCACGCCTTCCAGATGCATTACCAAATGCCTGAAGAGGTGAAGCCTGGATTTTCCTCAGCACTATGAAGCAGTGAAGCAATGCCGAAAAGGGGGCTTAGGGGGATACTAAGTACGAAGATGTAAGTTTGAGGAGGGATAGATAGCCAGCCAAAACCAGATTTATTGAACTTGCTGTTTTACACCATGTAAATCCAAAAGACTCCAGAAAGTAACCTTCTCTTTCTCTGAAAAGTGCAAATAACTCTGGGGTGAGTTCTTAGCATCCAGGAAGCCAACCACACACAGGGCTCACACAAACGCCTGGTTGGCTGTCATCCTCCATTATCCTCAGAGGGAATCAGTAAACAGAAGCTGCTTACAGCCAGGAAGGAGAGAGCCAGGTAACACTCTTACTGCCCGTGTGAGAGTATATATGATCATTTTTAAAGTGTACTTGATTGTTTTCATGACCCCACACAATTTCCTAGGCCTCCCTTAACTGTGGTATAGCTGAGAAAAGAAAACATTCACATCTAGATGGGGTCAGAGGAGTAGAATGAGCGTGGGAATGACCAGACTTTGACATCACTCTCACCCCTGAGCCTTCATCCCCTGACAGGCCCATGGGAGCCCTTAGCTGCCCTGCGGTCTCTGGCATGAGGTCTCTGTTCATGCTCTAAGAGTGATTTTACTGTTTCAGAGGGTGGTGGCCTGTTTGTCCTTCTCAAGAAAGGTGTGGTTCTACTCAATATAACCTTTAAAGGTTATCCAACTACTTTTTTTTTTTTTACCTGAGACTATATCCTATATGTAAGTAAGAGGATTCAATAGTCTTAAGGGGGTGGTATTATTAGCATTATGATTTCTGTTGTTATAATTGATTCTTGATCATATATTGCTTTGTGTTATCGCTTGGCAAATCATATTACACTGATGACTCCTTTGTTTTTATTCAACTTGTTACATTTTAATATGTGATTCTGCCATACAGATTATGAACTTTTCTAGGGCAAGAACAGAAGAGAATCTAAGCGCTATAAAGGAGTTGAGCAAATATTTGACCTACTCTTTCTCTTCTCCTCTATTCCATTTTACAGATGAAAAAGCTGAGGACCCAGAAATACAAAATGACTTGCCCTGATCCAGTAGCTACTTGAAAGCAGACAGATCTAAGACCTGGATCTTAATTTTAATCTCACTGTCCTCTGCACCCTTCTCTTCTAGTTCTTTCTTGTACAAATGACTATATAATTAAATCCTTCATTATGTGGATTTTCTGACCTAGAGATTCAGACTGGAATGACTGAGGGTGTGCATTAGGCTCAGTTAAGGAGACCTGGAGGAGGAGGTGGGACTTCCTTGGGGCCTTGCGTAATTCACTAGGTACTTGGAAGGAAAGAGTAACAAGTCCAGTTACTCTGGTCTTCAGTGTACTGGCAAGATCACTGAACTAATGTCGGGAAACCTGCCTTAACCATGAAATTAGGGCATGACTTCTGAAAGCTCTTTATGACTCTTTAGTCCATAGAGCCTATATAGATAGACGCTATCAGACTATGTTTATGACTTTGTCATTAGAATCTCTTTTGTGCCAAATTCAACTTAAGAGTTGTTGTGATTCCTGAGCTGGCCTGTACACTTATTTTTAAACGGGGAACCTAGCATCAAATCTAAAGTCTACCCTCCAAAGCTTTTATATCCTGAACCTATGTGCATGCACACTTTTTGTTTCCCCTCCCCCAGCACGCCCCGGGATAATAAAAATCAGAGGTCTGACAAAGGAGGAGAGCTCTCAGGACATGCTCCTCCATAACGGTCTTGCAATTTCCAGTGCGAGCTGGAGCAGTGCGATGTGGTGTGTGGTTGGAAAAGCAGTTTGTTCTCTGCTAATGACAGCTGTGGATACTGAAATGAAGCACAGCAGGTGGGACAGCGGTACTCAATTTTCAAAATCTGTGCCCTAAAATGTGTTTGCTTAAACCTTGTCTCACCACCCTTTAGGGGCCTCCACATCCATCAAAACCAGACCCCAGGAAAGGAATTCAGGCTTCTATTTCTCACTAGCGCTTTCACAATCGCTGCTATGATTCAGAGGTTGTCTGGAAAGTTCAGTAGCCAAAAGTTCCCTCCTTCTTCCTAGAGTGATAAATTAAATCACTTCCAGTTCCCAGGGTGGGTGGAGGGGGGACTGGCCTTGCCTAGGTAGCCACAATAACTTTGAAAAGGACATACAATTCCTCACAAGCATGAGTTAACAGCATTATGTTGTAAGGAATTCATTTTCTCAAAATAATACATGGGTAAGGTGTTAATAATGCCATTGGCTGTTTCTGAAAGCCATGGATGAGGAAAGAAAAGTTTGCATTTTCTGCGTGTTGGAAGATTTTAAGCTTTTCAGGTGTAGTGCGTTACACTAAATTCTTACATTGACTTTTTATATAACGTGTGCTTACTGGAGAACTACCGCTTTCCCCTTCTAAGGTGAATGTGGATGCATGGTGTAGGTTTGTAGAGTGTTATTAAGATATTTAGAAAGTTGCAAGGCAAAACGTACCCCCTCAGGCAAATGACTGATGCTTTATGTGTTCTTCTTTACCAACATGTTGAATGATCTTTTTTCCTTTATGTTTTTCAGTGGTCACTTAGGCATAGGTAGAGGGGGTTAATGAGCTTTCAGCTCTTACCTGAGCAATTTCTTAGGTGGGTACCTCCAGTAATTCTGAGAGTGCTTGTGTTGTTTTAAGCTGGTGTTGAGTGGATAATTTACCAGAAACTCCTAGTTTCATAGTTCTTTTACTTTTTGAATGTTATTTTTCTTCAAGAAGAAAGTTTTCAGCACAGCGTTCAGGTGCCTTGTGTTGGGGGAAATCCTCTGAGAGCAAGATCTCCCAAGGGAGATGCAGATGGCACAGTTGTGAATTCAACAGACTTTGCAGAAACGCATCAGACTCTTCAAATCCAAATGCATTATCTTTCCATGTAATTCAATCACCTGTTATTTTATGGCTCTGTTTGATTTGATTAAAACCTCAGCAACCAAATCATTTGTATTATACATTATACAACTTCCTATTTTTATTTCCATCACTTTTGATCCCTTTCGGCAGGTTTCACCAGACAATTCAATTATGAACTGTTTTAGAAAAATTACAATTTAATCAATAAAGAGAAAGGGCCAAATTTCTAAACAAGATCGAAGGATATAAAACAGCACAAAAATTACCTTTATTTCAAAAGGTACATTTGGTGACATTTTTGGCATGTGGCCGCGCTGTTGTATCCTCTTTGGTGGTTAGATAGATGACAGCCACTAGTTTCTTGTGAATTAAAAGAATGTGATAGATAAAGACTTAATTAAAATAAACAGAATCCTGCTCACTGGTAGGCAGTGAACTCTGCCAAGAATTTTATGGGAAATAAATGAAGCTCCTGAACTTAAGAAGGGACAAAGAATGGAAGTATGTGCTTTGGTAGCAAGACTACTTGTCCTTGTATAGAAAGAATGAATTTTTTTTCCATGGGACATTTACTATGATAGCAGGTATTTTTGGTTTTGTAGCATTCTACTTCAGTGTGGCTCAAACATTAGCATGCATCAGAATCACCTTGGAGGCCTTGTTTAAACTCCATTGCTGAATCTTACTTGGAGAAATTCTGATTCCTTTAGGTCTAGGATGTGGCTAGTCAAGCTTCCAGCTTCTGCTGCTGGTCCACACAGCATGGGTTGAGTAGCACCACTCTATATAGGAACCAATTTTGAACAGTCTTGCACTTTTTTATTAGCTTGTCCATTGCCATGGTGACAGAAAGAATGCCTCTGCCATAGATGAACAGCACAAGCTTAAAGAAAAACTAGACTGAATCTTTTTTCCTATGTTAATTTGCGTTTGTTCATAGCATTTTTAATATCATACTAATTTTTAATCTTGGATCCAAGCTAGTTGGCTCAGTGTGTTTGTAAATACTTCTCCACATCAAATTTGTAGAACATCTTTTTTTTTCGCCCATTGAGGTCAGCATAGTCTGTGACATGGCATGTTGTTTTCCTGCCAACTCACAGAAGTGAAGAAATCCATTCAACACCCGAGAAAAGTTTTGTAGGACTTTACAGTGTTCCCTGCTTTGATCTGAAACAAGAAGAAGCTGACATTAGTCACGTATTTTACTTTAGACAGCTACTTCCAGATTTGTCAGATCAAAATATCTTATAAATGACTCAAATGTTATAACAAATGGTTCAAACCTCATGGCATTTGTGGAAAACAATTTAATGGGGTCCCTGAGCAGCTACAGGATAAAGAAATTTGAGTTATGAACTCTAGCAGCATTTTGATGTGGGGTTTGCATTCTGGTGTGCCTCTGTGTGTACTAAGTATTTCTCTCTTTGTAGAACTTCTGGTTTCTTCTGTGGCAAGGTCAGAAACAAACATGCCTGCATTTTCCATAGCCTCTGTGGCTTGGCAAGGAATTTATTTCTCGTAGATGTGGAACTCTCTATGTAGATATAAAGATGGAACCAACCTTAAAGAACATCTGATTTAGACTTCTTATTTTACAGATGAGAGAAAAAATACACTTCAGTGACTTTTATATCACTGTATATTTTTAAAGTGCCATTTCTAAATTTAGAAGGTTTTGAAAATTAATTTCAAGGTAGGTTCTTATGAAAAGGAAGTTAGTTGGTAACCCCCAATGTGTTTGCAATTTTGATGCTCTTTCTCCAGCAATAAGAAGTTTTACCTCGAATTCAGTGGATGAAAAGCCAATATCCTTAGCATAACTGTTTTTGTCATTGGTGGATGACAGAACTTTAAAAAGGAGACGTTAGGACCGTTCACTCATTGACAGAAGGGTTGTGGGGCACCTAGCCATGTAGTGCCTAGACTAGGTAAGTATTTTTGTCATGTGGTTTAACATGAAGTTGACAAAAATTTTTTCATTCCAATACTCATGAGCTAAGGTCACAGACAGTGGATTGATCAGATTCTAATGAACATATATATTCTAGTGAACACTGTACACATAGTTATCTGTAGTACTCTTCTTGGTAACAAATTAGAATTCTGTTATAAGACTGTCACACTAACACCACCACAATAATAAAAGTGATGATTTATTAAGTCCTTATGTGTCAGGCACTTTGCTAAGCACCTTGTATGATTTGTTGTCTATTAATTGTCACAGCCAGCCTTTGAGTACAGTAGGTATTGGTTCCATAATTATATAATGTTAATAAGTACTGTTATTATTTCCATCCTGTAAAAATAGAGCTGCACCTTAGGGAGGTCAAGTAACTTGCCCAAGTTCACACAGCTACGAAGTGGTAAAGCCAGGATTTAAAGCCAGGTCTTTCCATCATTCCAATCTATTAAACTCTGCCACCTTCCAAGGGAGTAAGAAGGATTATGTTCTCATGAATGAAGAGTTTAATACAAATTCAAGCTGAATGGGCAAGTGTTTTTTTCCTTCTTGACTCCTATGATTTGCTGCAGAGTTTTTTTGACAAAGAAAAAGCTCACGCTCTGGATTTGTGGGGACTTGTTATAAAAAGTCACTCTTTTTACTAGCCGCGATGAATGTATTTTTTCCCCATGGGGGAGAAAGGTTTGAGAGGGGTGAGGTGGTTAGAAGAAGTTGGAGGAGAAGACTTGCATGCCCAGGCTTGCTAAAAAGCATGTACCCCAGGCGCAAGAGTAATTGTTTAATAATTCTTCCTCCTAATATATTCATATCCACCGGGGGCCAGTTTGAGAGATGATTAGGTCACAAGTGAAATGAGTTTGGTGGTCTCAGCATAATCCCCCTTGGACATGAGTTCACTCACACAATTGCAGTACAATTTTGTCCATGTCTGCATTATTGTCTGCTTCAACTCAGGAGATGCTCAGAATTGAATTAACAAGGGGCTCCGGGTCAGTCTGAAGGTGTGCAGAGGCAACCCATGGTATAAGGAATAGTGCCTTGTCAACGGAGTTGCACATAGACAGGGCAGCTTGTCCCACACCTCTTTGTCTCTAAATCCAACCTCCTATCCCTCTCAAGTAGATAAACAGTGTACACTCTAAGTTTCCAGCCTCTCACCAAGTGAGGTTATCTGAGTCACAGATAAGGGCCATCCAGTTATTCCTGCTTTGCACTTAGACTGATTTGGATATATAACCTTTACCAAGACGATTGTGATGCCCAAATTGGTTGCGTTGCTTCCCTTGGTGAATATTCTTCTCCTAAAAAGGCATAAGTAAGTTGATGAGGAAGCAAAATCTCCTGAGAAGTTAAAAATAATTTAATCTTATCTAATCTCGTCAAGAAGGTTCCACAAAATTTAACAAATTGAATTTGAAATTAGAACATGAAAGAAAGAAATTATATCATGAAATAAAACTCTGTCAAATAACTAAAAGATCGTACTGTACCTTATCCTAAACACTTGCTACTCTGTCATAAAAACCTTTAAGATTGAACTGACATACCTGTGATTATTTCATTATATGATTATTATAAACTACTGGATAAATTACCCATTAAAGTCATTTTTAATCCAATTAAAATCATGACAGTTCTAGTTGACTCAATTCAGTCTCCTAAATCATCTGTAGAAAATACTGTAGAATAAATTAAGTGCCCAACAGTTAATGTCCTTTTGCACAGTATTTTAGAATCATAGATGTTTGGGACTAAAAGGGACTTCGTATTTAGTCTAACCCCATTTTATATGGAAGAAACTGAGGCACAGAGATTATGACTTGCCCAATGTTACACAGCGAATCTGTGACCAGAATCCAGGTGTCTTCATTTTTAGTTTAGTTCTGGCTCTGTCGAGCCAATTATTCTCATATTTTTTCAGCTGTAACATGCATGTGTGTGCACACACAAACACATAGCATGGCTACTTCCACACTCACTTCATACCCCTAGGTTATATTCAGGGATACCTACAATTCCCAGCATTCCAGTTACAACTTCATCTCCCTTCTCATTCCACTCAAGAAAATACATGGAATAAGAATGAGTAAGAGTGGCATTATCATGAGGGTTATTTTGAATGGGCATATTTACATTCATAAATATATATGCATGTATATATAGAAAATCATTCCCATACTTGCTACTAAAACACTTATTAATGGCAGTTATTAATGAGACTTCTCTTAGACCAAGGGTTTATGACCTGTAACTCCCACCAGCCAAATCTGGCCTGCTGCCTGTTTTGCAAATAAAGTTTCATTGAAACTCAGCCATACCCATTTGTGTAAGTATTGTCTGTGCCGCTTTCACTCTACAACAGCAGAGTTGTGAAGCTGGACAGAGCATATCGCCCACGAATCCTAAAATATTCACTATCTGGTCCTTTACAGGAAAAGGTTGCTGATCCCTGCATTAGACAATTCTTCCAACTCACGGAATACAGTCATACTTTTTGCATTACTCTGTTGTTCTTAACCACTCAACAGCACTGGACACCACTGCTTGTAAGCCCCTTCTAGAAACTTTTCCAGAATTTATTGCTCTTCATGGATCTTGTCCCTCTTAACACCTTTACGATCTCTTTTCCTCTTTCTGCTTTTAAACAACTTTGTACTTTATTCACATGTCCCCAAAGACTGGTATAGCATGTTAAGAACATTATTGTTTAGTAACCGACATGGATGCATTACTGCATGCTAAACACAAAGAAAATTGAATAACAATGGTAGCTAAGCCCTATTTAACACTTTCTATGAGGTAAGATAGAACACGTCCGCACACATGCACATACATGCACACACTCTTAACCCTCATAGCATCTCTGCTAAGTATACTAAATAGGTATTTATAAAGCCCATTTTACAGATGAGTAAACTAAATTAAGCACCTTTGCCTAAGGTTACACAGCTAATCATAGCAGTCAGTGGGAAAGCTAGAATTTGACACAAGTCTTTTATCTCCAGAGCCTCTGTGTTTTACTTTCCTCTGGTACTAAACTTAAGATCATAAAGTGAGATAGAGAATTAGAAAATCTTTCAGGTAAATACTTCCTCTTTCCTTTCAAGGAGGGGTTTCAAGGGAGGCTTTTAGATTTAAAAAGGGAGCATTCTTTACTTGCTTAGTCTGTTTTCATTCTTCTACCACTTGTAAATACAAGTTTTTCTGTTCCCTCCTCATCTTCCTGATGAAATTACATACTGTGGAATAGATCGTAGCTACGTGATTCTTTCCCCTAGTACGAGGAAAATATAACTAAGTGTAGAGAGTGGAGAACCAGAGTCAGACTATCTAGCTTCAGATCCCAGCTTGACCATCTAATAGCTGCATGCCCTAGGGCAAGTTCTATAACCTCTCTGACCCTCAGTTCCTTATCCTGAAAGTGGGGCTGATGATAATAAGCACCTCATTGGAGTTACTGTGCATATTAAATCTGTATCTATGCAAAGCCCTTTAAGTGGATCTTAGGACCTGGTGAGCTCTCAATAATATTATGTAAAAATTGCGATGGTGGTCGTGATAATGATGGTGATGATGATGATGATGAAGATAAGAATTCTCATAAAGCATTCCTATGGAGTCTTACCAATTGCCCTGCCCTGCCTGGCCTTTGGAGTTTTATCATGGGGACTGCATAGGTAAAGTGGCCAATGGCTGGGGGAAGAAATTTCTCCCTTCTCTAAACTCATCCCTCTGCATTCTGTATCTAGATCTTGGTCTCCCAGCATGGGATTAGTTTACGATCTACTGAGGCAGATGAACAGGCTGTATATAAAGGAAGTAGCAAATAAATATTAAACAGTTCTGACATGGTTGATGGAGGAAATGCTGTGGCTTCTTGGATTAGGTATTCACTATTGGCATCCTATATTCACTGAAAACCCCCAGTGGTTTTGACAGAGTAAACAAACACACTAATGTTCATGATACTGGCCAACTTCTAAATCAGGTGATTGTAGTTCGCTTATCTTAGTTGGATTTCCGGTGGGTTCTTCTCTGCTTGTCCTAAAGCACGGGTCATCAACCTCTGGCAAACAGGCTCAGTTCAATTGCTCAGACATTTCCTGAAGTCTACACCCTATTCACCAAAAAACTGTCGAAATGTCATGACATACATTACATTTACATGGTGCTCTACAGTTTACAACATGGCTTTCATTTGAGTTATGTCATTAGATCTTTGCAACATCCTGGAGTTATAGAATCTAGGAGTTTGAGGGAATTGCCTGACAATATAGCAATGGAGCTGTAGGGGGAAGGAGTTTCTCATGGGTGTATTGCTGTTTTATGCTTCAGGTCCTTTGCTTAGGCTGTTTCTTCTCCCACACCTGTAAAGCTTCTCTCTAAAGGTTCAACTCAGGCATCATTTTATTTAGGAAAAGTTCTGACAGCCTCTTGGTCCTGTCCTTTTAGCTCCTCACTCCTTCTTTGTGCTTTCGTCATGCCCCGCAGCACCTAGGGCTCAGGTCTCTTAGCACATTTACCATATTAAATCACCGTTACATACTTACATATTTGCCCATCTAGTTCCCGCCCCCAGGCCTTACTGTGAGCACCTGTTACTCAGAGAAGCTGTTTATTTTCCATTGACCTTTTCATTTCTAGCATATAGCACAGCACCTGGCATGCAATAGGTGCTCAGTAAATGAGTAACATATTGAACAAATCTGATTCCAAATCCTCGGCTCTCCCCAGCACCCTCCCTGAACCAATATAGGTGCCCTCCTGCCAGACCCAAGCAGCTTCCGAACATCCACCACGTACCAGAGACTACAAGGTAAAACCAGATGAAACAATTCTTGACTGACAGCAAAAGATGATATGACTAACTTGAAGAGTAATAAATGAAATGGCTGAAGAATGCTTTCATGCTATGACATATCAAATACCAATTAAGTTCACTGTATATTCAGTACAAGCATGCTAAGAGGATGCAGGTAGCTCAGGCAGCGGGGGAGCCTTGTTGAGATGGGAGATTTTGAGATGGGTTGCTCATAAATTGATGCAGAGGCCCTGGAGGTAAACAGCTAGAGGAGAGGTAACTCATGGTGGGGGTGGGAGAGATAGGAGTCAGTTCCTCTAGTTGGATGGCAAGGTAAGGAGGATTTTCAATTTCAGGGTGAATAATTGAATCTGATAATAGAAATGGAGCTGCTTGTGTAAGTGTGCATCAAGATAACCCTTGAGCCTGACTTACCCTCATTGTTCCATTCCTTTGAGATCAACCAAGAGTTCCAACTCCAAGAGAAAAAGGCAAAGAGAGCTGTCTGCTTTATTGCAATGCCTCATCACTCTGCAATATATCTGTTCTCTCTTTCTACTCACACCAACATAAACAGACATCAAGGATTTTTTTTTTTTTTTTTTGGCATGTTACCATGCCTTTGCAAAAAATGAAATTTCCTTGACCTGGAATACATCCTCCTTCCTCCACCCTTTCATCTCACTAGTTAACTCCTACATATTAGTCAGGGCTCAAGTCAAGTCTCTGACCAGCCTCACCCTAACAGAGTTGGGGGCCTCTCTTTAGTGTTCCCCAAATACTTCTCCTTCTTAGAACAATCAGTTAAGGATTGAACAGTTGTCCATGCACTCTACCACAGTGGAATCAACAGGAGGGTAGGAGCTATATTGTGGTCTTATTTGTTATTTTCAGGGTCTAGCCAATAGTAGACTCTTGATAAACATTTTTAATAAATAAAGGAATGAATGAGTAAATTAATGACTAAGTGAATAAATCCCTTATATCCTCTTGGTCCCAACCTGGTAGACTTTCTGACTCCCTACCTATACCACTCTTGTACCTATTTGTTACACACAACCCTCTATACAAGTGACATTGACCACAGACAAAAGAATGTAGAGAACAGAGTTTAAGCAGCTCACAGTTACAGTTTCTAGTTACTCAGCTCTCTTAGCTCAGATTTACCAGTTTCAACTGTTTCGCTGGCATCCTTTGATTTTACCCTCCTTTTGTGCGAGTTTCCCTTTTGATCCTTCTCATCAAACTTCTCAGTATCCTAGTCTGCCATCTCAGAACTCCCAAGCCCTCCCTGAGCTTTGTCTGATTGTTTCCTACTCTTCTCGTGCCCAGCTTCCCCTCTGCTTCCCTCTTACTTTTCCTGGGACTCTGCTTATGCTCTCATTACACTCAAACATTAGTTGCCTGCCTTCCAGAGATCTAGGAAGTAATTCCAAGTCTCGCCAGCTTCCCCTGATGTCATTCATGGGTAGAACAGGAGAAGAAGCTAGCATGGGATTTGAAGTCAGAGCCATCTGGGTGCCAAATCAGGGTTTGCTGCGTATTATTTGTGTAACGTGGGACAGATTAATTCTCCAAACCTCGGTCTGCGCATATGTAAAGTGGAAATAACAGTACAGATACATGGCTTGTAAAGTTATTGGCAGATTAAGTGAGATGTAAGGTACTTGAAATATACGTACCTGGCAAGTTGATTAGGATGGCTTCTTATCACATCTTCCTCACAAATACAACACACGTTCACATTCCTAGTCATTCCTTTAAGCAGACCGTACATTTTAAAATAACAAACACCCACATTTGTGTTTGAACCCAGATAATACTAATTTTTCTCCACTGAGAGACCCAAGGTGCCTTCCCTGAGCTGCACAGATACCTCCTTGGGAGGTACGTTAGGGGCCCAGCAGATCCCATCTCAGAATCTCACCCTACCTTGGTGTGTCCAGACTGTCGGGGAGAATATGGAGTGAGAGGTGAGGCCCAGCCAGATCTGAAGCCTCACCCCCACCCATCATCTATCCTCCTGGCATCTTTCCCCTGCTTCTGGTTTAATTAGTTGTTGGATTGATCTGCTGAACCCAGAGGGGTTCTAGAGCAGTTGCTTTATTCCATCTTCAGCTAGCAGAAGTTTTGAAGGATATTGGGTCGGGGTGAAGCTCTGAGCTACCACAGTACAAAAAGTCGCTTCCCCTTGCCCTCAAGAAGGAGTGAGTGTTTCTCCGGGTTATATAGTTTCTGTGCCTCAGAGGAGGCTACGTTTCAGTGGTGTGTGGGGTGACCCTTATGTATTGTTTATATCAAGAAAGCGCTTTGAGACGAAATAGGGTCTATTAATCTCAGATGTTGTGTGTGCCTCTTTGCTGTCTGAGTTTGGTTGTTTTGTTTCATCTGCTGAGGGAGGTTTGTTTTCTTTTTTTTAAATCTGAGATGAAATAAGAACACCACATTTACTGTGATTTATCTGGGGGAAGAAAAAAAGTGAAACTGGAAATGTTTGTCCTTAGGAGATTTGTATAAAGTTCTGTCAGATGATGTTGAGAATGAAATGGGCAGGAGAGATGGAGAAGCAATAAAAGTGCCGTTTTGAGTTTGTGAATGGAATCAAATTTCAATTATGACAACAGTTAAACACAGTGATTTTTCTGTATTTTCAGGAATAAAAACAACACAATTATTTCTTTTGCAGTGCCCAGTAATCTCTAATAATTTATCCGTTTTCATTTAATGCCTCTAAAATGGGCAAGGAGAATTATACACAGCCTGCAACCTGTAATAAAATGGTCAGTTTCAACACAGCTGTTGAGTGGGAGGCAAGGCGAGGACCGCTGTGCAGAGAGGTGCTGGTACTGTACGCATTAATCAATAAGCAAACGCTGAATGCTGCTAGATAGTCATTTACCCTTGACAAAACAAGCAATGATAATCGGATGATAATGTGGTAATTTACCTTTATACATTTTACCCTTGTTGGATTTTTAGAGGTCATTGTTGTATCTGATAAATTTTAGGGTAGAATTCCAGCTTTTTCCTGTGCAAGACCAATATCTGAAGCTTGTGCCTTTTGCTGCTTTTTCCTTCAAATAACAGGATCTTATGAATTAGTGCTTTCATTATATTTGTGTCTATTAAGTCAGACTACAGTTTTCAAGGTGCTTTTCTATTCTAGGGAGATCTGCAGGGCACTTAACCTACATTAGACCTAAGAGGTCTGAGGGTTCTTCAGAAGACAAAGAATTTCTAGATACTTTCCTTGAGGAGGTGTCAAGGGCAATACAGACAAAAGACTGATGTCTCCTTTAACAGCTTGATAAGTATCTCAGGATATTCTGCAGGAATCAGTTCTGTTTCTACAAAGTCCTGTATTCCCATTCAGCATGATATGGCTGAATATGTGTGTGCTACGTGTGACAATGGTGAAGACTTATCTTTGCCCTGAGGGCTGAGTGCTATAACACTGCTCAAGCGATAGGCTTGATAGAAGTGATGATTTGGAGAGATGATCTGCTTTAAAAAAAAAAAAAAAAAAAGGCACATTAGAGATGTGTAAGAATTAAAAATGTGACTCTCTGTTTATCTGGATTTTATTTTATAAGTTCCAAAGGCATTTCTATTCGTAGCATCGAAATCCCTTGTAAAAGTAAAGTGAATCATTCTTGTATTGACCATTTTTTTCATGTTGTTCTATTGAGACATCTTCCCAACTGAGTTTCTTATTGAATTGTATTTCTATAAGGGTATTGTAGGTTAGCAGCACATTTTTATGGTACACAAAAGATGTGCCTTCTGAATTTCCAATGCCTTGCATATTGTTCCCCACAGAAGAAACATCTCGGAAATGCTAAATAAATCAAAACAGAAACATTTGGCTCTTGACTTGCCGCCGGAGCTTTTCTTTTCCTCTCAGTTTACATTGGCTGGAATATCCATTATGATCCATCTTACCTATTTGATTAATTTGTAATAAATCTAGCCCTTTGGAAGCCTCTTGCTGCATTTCTGGACGGGTTACTCTTGTAGAAGGTTTATTTAATATGTGTCTCTGTGTACCTATATGAATGAAAATTTAATATGGTTTAGAAGCCTTTAAAAACACACACGCACATAGTGTTTGCTCTGAATTAAGTGCTCATATTTGACATAGCTTTGCGGTAAAAATCCATAAACGTATAGGCAGACAAAATTGTTTAGAGGACAGTTTCTTCAGAAATTCACGTGACACGTGATATCATTTCAGGGGATGAAATATCATATTTCATATGACCAGTAAATGTAATTATAAATACTAGATTGGAATCCTTATTTTTGTGTTTTTTTAAAAACTTCTTCTCCTTATGGCCTATATTATTTGAAGTGCCACCGCCACATTGCAGAGTTCACCTTCAATTTGATGCAGTGATGTAGTTGTATCCCTGTGGGTGAGAAATGTTCCTCTCCAAATAACTGTAGCAGCATAGCAGGAATATTTTGAGTCAACCTTCTCTATATTATAGCAAGATAATAAAAACGCCTCTACTCTTAACCATCACCATGTACTGAGGAAGGCATAACAAATTCATTTTCTGATGTTGGAAATAAGATCAAGGTGGGAAACAATACCCCCATTTTTCGGACAAAGACATTGGGGACCGGAAAACCACATTTAAGACTGTGTTAATTGTCTTTTATAGCAAAAATAATGAGAAAAATAATATTAGCCATTTTTATGGTATATATCCCACCCTACTCCTTTGGTTATATGTATTACCACCATGTACACTAAGAAAGCCAAGGAAAATAGTTATCTTACACATATGTTTTGTGCTTGCTGAGGTAAACGATGAGTGAATGGTGCTTGCGGTGTGGAGAAAATAAAGAGAGGTTAATTGGTACATACTTGCCTCATATTCCTTATCTGAATGTTTTACATTCATATATAATATGGAACTGTGTAATATGTGTGTTTACTAATTACGTCTGATGTCTGTCTTAACTTTGTCACTCTCAGAATATCCTTATAGGCATGCACCATGTGTCAACTGAATTACACCCATAGTCTGAGCCACACACTCTTCTCAGCACTCTAAGATAGTTAGACAAATACTGTCTACTCAGGGGAATTATAATCCAGTAGAAGAAATTAAACAAATACAACAAAAAGTAAGTTAAGGCAAACTAAAGTA
Organism: Homo sapiens; assembly: GCF_000001405.40. NCBI lineage: Eukaryota > Metazoa > Chordata > Mammalia > Primates > Hominidae > Homo > Homo sapiens. The sequence continues at coordinate 33,523,165 of NC_000014.9, forward strand.
CATTGGGATAGGTACTGTACTTCAGTGATTCAGAGGAGGAAGCACGTTCCTATTCAGCTTCAGAAATGCTTCAGGAATGAGCTGGACTGGTTTGATAGAAAGAGAAAACAGCATGACTCAAGGCACAGGGACCAAACATCTTAGGAATAGTTATCTGACATCATTATTACTGTAGAGAAAGGAGAAACCTTGGATACTATAAAAAGACACTGGCCCAGGCAAGGTTGCAGTGAGCTGAGATCATGCCACTGCGCTCCAGCCTGGGCAACAGAGCGAGACTCTGTCTCAAAAAAAAAAAAAAAAAAAAAAGATCCTGGGCCAGGCATGGTGGCTCATGCCTGTAATCCCAGCACTTTGGGAGGCTGAGGCAGATGGATCACCTGAGGTCAGGAGTTCGAAATTAGCCTGGCCAACATGGTGAAACCTCGTCTCCACTAAAAATACAAAAAGATAAAAATTAAAAAAAATAGCCGGGCGTGGTGGCAGGCACCTGTAATCCCACCTATTCTGGAGGCTGAGGCAAGAGAATGGCTTGAACCCAAGTTGCAGAGGTTGCAGTGAGCTGAGATTGTGCCACTGCACTCCAGCCTGGGCGACAGAGCAAGACTTTGTCTCAAGAAAAAAAAGACCCTGGCTAAGGAGAGTCCAGCAAAATAAATCCCTGCTACAAAGAACCAGATCAGTGCCTGCCATCGATCCATGATGGACCTCCCTTATATGTGTGGGGCCACAACACACCTACGCCTTGAGACAAGAGAAAGGTTATGGAGGCCCTTGAGTGTCAGGTAACGGATGCTATTGTGTCCCCATAAAGCAGATCCTAGTGCTAGGCATATAATAGCCAAAAATAACTATAACTATCTTTAATCAAATACCTACTCTGATTCAGATGGACTTTGGGGAAATTTTTTTAGGTTATCTTTTCATATTTTGCTCCTTCTTATCCATTAGGTCTCAGCTTAAATGTCACCTCCTCAGAAAGACTGTCTTGACAACACTGCTGAAAGTACTGCCCTCTCTAAAAGTCCTCCTTACCCTCTACAACTGCATCCTGTTCCTTTCCTTCATAATACTTAAGTCTTAACTGCATATGTATTTGTCTGTAAATTTGTTATTCTTTTTCTTCCTGCTATACTATCGGATTTTTAAGAACAGGAACTAGAGCTGTTTTATTCACCACCCTATCCCAGCACCTTCAAAAAGTCCCTCTCTATAGCAGACACTCAAAAATTGGTCAAATGGTGATATTCACAACAACCTAATAAAGTAGATACCATTATCTTAATTTTTACAAAAGAGGAAATTGGCATTCACAGAATGACTTGCTCCAGTTAATCAATAATCTGCCAAACCCAGATTCAAACCCAGTCTACATGATCTTAAAGCTTATGGTTGTATCTTTGCTAGATGATAACCTTCCTCTAATAGAAAGATGAAATCTGTATTAGTCTGCCAGGGCTGCCATGACAAAGTATCACAAACTGGTTGGCTTACACAACAGAAATGTGTTGTCTCAGAATTCTGTAGGCTAGAAGTGTGAGATTAAGGTGCTGGCAGGGTTGGTTCCTTCTGAGGGATGTGAGGGAGGCTCTGTTCCAGACCTCTGTCCCAGCTTCCGGTGGTTTGCTGATCATCTTTGGTGGACCATCGCTTGTAGATACATCATTCCGATCTCTGCCTCCATCTTCATGTGTCATTCACCGTGTGTGTCCAAATGTCTTCTTTTTATATAGAAACAGTCACATAGGATTATGGCCCAAACTAATAACCCCATCTTAACTTCATCATCTGCACCACTTCTATTTCCAAATAAGGTCATATCTGAGTTAATGGGGGTTAGTACTTTAACATATGAATTTGGGAGAGAACACAATTCAACCCATAATAGTACATTTTTAGCAAATGACTGACTAATCTCAAGGCATAGTAATTGGTTTTGTGTTAAATGTACTATTCATAATGTAGAAAAATGTTCTAAAAAAGGGGATAAGTATCCTAGTTTTATCCTAACATTAAACTTAAAGAGCCATTCAGTCATCTTTTCTAGAAGATCATGAGAATCTCAAAGATTATGTGATCAGGGACTCAGAACTTGGATGTTTTATAATTTTGCATCTTAGCATGGAAACAAAATCAGAAGTTAGGCAAGTAAGCATGATATTTGAAATCACTTTGCCATATAATTACTGCTAGATTAGATTGGGATGGACCTGACTTCATTCTTCTGTCTTCAGAACTTTAGATAAAGAGTATTTTTTAGCAAGCATTGGAAATTCTCAGTAATAATGCCCTTGCAATCAGAAGGTAGAAGTTTAGTATTATTTCAAGTTAGTTCTTACCACCTATAGTGTCAGAGCACAGTGCTAGGCTCTAGAGAAAAGGTACAATTTCAGGATGATTCATTTATTTCTGTGAATTTTTTCCTATATGCTGTGTCTTTGAGTCACTGAAAGAATTTACTCTATCATATTTGTGACCCACTGAGACCTAGGGATGGGCATCTTTATCCAGAAGGGAGAAGCTTTGAGAAGTCTTCAAGTTGTAGGACACATAAAACCTATTAATGGGGAGAAGTTGTTTCTGAAATGTTGAACCAAATTATTGGCCACTAACACATAAACATGCCTAAGTTTGGAATGTGACATGGGAGGTAGGGTCTGATCAGGAACCGGGAAACGTCTGTTTTCTTCTTTGGCTATCTGACAAAGATAACTAATAGAAGGAGAAATGTGAGATTACGAAAGAGGAAATGGGGAAATAAACCATGACAAAAATAAATGAGAAGAGACAGATAAAACAGAAAGAAAGGTAAGTTAGGGGAAAAAATAAAAGGAAAACACAGGTGAAATGAAAACAGAGATTTCAGCAACCTAGAAAAGATTTAAAAGGAGTGAAATAATCATCAGTGAATGGCAAACAATTTGACGTAATTTTCCATGTTGTTTTCCTACCGGTATTCCAGCCTTAGAACTTACCGGGAGTACCTGGAATGCATTTCCTCACTCATGACCTTTCATAACTCTCAGAAATGATTTTCTTTCACTCTACTTCAGCTGGACTTGAAAGTGCTTGATGGTCTTGGGAAGGAATTACCAGTAAATAATAAACTCACAGTATACTGAAGTCACATATAGTTTTTTAAAACCTGGGAAATGTTTCTCCATTTTCCTATAAAATCCCCTTTACCTTTTATAGGCTCTCCAGCCATTTGTTTGTTTTTAATAAAGGAAAAACCTATTGGACAAATTTTTGAATGTTGTTGAAACAGGGCATGACTATCACTCCAGTAAAGAATATCCCATGTAAAAGAGGTTTCAGTATGTATACTGGGCTCTTACAGGCTGATTCTGTAAAATAATGAAGGAAGCCACTGGTGAATTAAACAGCTTGTTAGTCATGGGGGATCAGTGAATAGGGTCCTCCTGGGGTTCAATATATGGAGAAGTGGCAACGAGATCAGGGGAAAAAATCAAACTAGTAGTTACTGAATATATATTAAGGTATCCTGCAAATGCAATATAGGAAATAGCTTCATTTCAGAAGCTCAGTAATTTAGTACCTCTCACCTAAGGGAGTCAGGTCAGAATTTAGCCTCGGCAGAGCCAGGCAAATTGTTCAGGATGAAGACAGCAGCCAAAGCGGCACATCATTAAGGCCAGGCAGTAGGAGGGTTGCCCAGCCCTTCAGACCTCACTGTGTTAATGAAGTTACTTCATTGACATAACCTAATATTCATTCATTTCTGTTATGAGAACAAGGTCCTTTCAAAACTTCTCTTCATTCAATGAGTGTTCAGCACCTACTATGTAAAGACTCTGTAAGGAGGAATAGATGGCATCCTTGTCCTTAGGAAGCTGGCAGAACCCCCATTCCTTGAATACCAGTATTCAGTGTAGCAAATGCCTGTCTGGCTATATGTGGAGAAGGAGGAGGTTGATTGGCCACCTCCAATGGCTACCAGTGCTAGACAGCATTCCTTCTTCCCCATTTATGATTTTCCCCTTCCTTATCCACTCTCCGTCTTCCCTAGTAGCTGGGACAAATACTGAGGGCATGAGCCCTTGTCAGGGGTGCTCCGAAGTGAGCAGGGCATGGAAATGAATCTTCCTAGCCCTATCCTGTACCCTGTAACCACTTACCTTGTGATGTCGTTTACAGCAAGAGCCCACATCCAGGGTTATTGTCATAGGAAGAAATTGTTGCCCAGAACAACTGTACAATTTGCATGTTGGTGCCTCAATTCTGTCTAATAGATATGCCTGTAACAAAATAAGATGTTATCTCTGTTTCTCAGAGATGTAGTCATTTCACTCAGAGTTCTCATATGACTTCCTTTGGAGAAAGTGCCGTTTCTTTCTGTGTATGATTTTATGTGCACGTACACAAATGCACACCCGTTATGAGTTACTGATACTGGAAAGATTTGAGTAAGTGTGTGGAGATAATAAATGCATGGTCACATCTCATGTGAAAATCAGGATTTATATATGAAGTATTAATAGAAAGAATGGATCCCGCAGAAATCTGCTTTCCCACTGGTTGATTAACTGGTTTCCAAGAATTAGGTAAAGAGGACAAAGGAGAACTTGTGTTTGAAATGTGAGAATCCTGTTTCCTAGTGGGCAAGTGCTGGGGGCTTCCTTTTGAACAACGCTGGGTTTTAAGGGACTTTCAGATATTGCATCCTGATCTCCCTGCCAGAGGGTGGCAAAAATTTGGAGCAATGGCTGTTTCAACAGAAGGAACACATTCCTTCCATTTCAACACAAGGAATCCAGGAATCTTCATCTTGTCCTAAGTATACAGGAAGCTAATGTCCTGGACCTAAAACCTGCCACACCTTTTTATCAGTAAACCATATATTAATTTCTGTGTTCTCTAAATTCTCTTCCATAGAATTATTTTCCCCTTCAAGAGAAAAAATTCATCCTATAGGTGAAGCGTTTATTCTTCACACTATTCCTGCAAAGTAAGAGATTATCCTGATTATCTTTTATTGTGTGTGTGGAAGGAGGGGTGAAGAAGGAATAGAGACTCCACGAGTTTAATGTGCCCACCCCACTGATATTTCAGCCAGGTCTGCCTGACCTCAAAGCCTAAGCTTTGCTACCAAGCTGCACATTCATGCAGTATTCACTTATTCACTTGGTGAGCCACTGCTATGTGAGAAGCCTCATGCCATGCTCTGGGGACAAAAGGAAGAAGAAGACAGCATCTCTGCCTGAAGGGCGCTCACAATCTAGTGGGAAATATGGAAATATTAATAAATAATTCTGCAGAAGGTGATAAATGCAACAATAGACTATGATCAAGTGAAGACATAACAAAGAGGAGGGAGTGGTCGTCCTAATGTGTCTGCAGATTTGGAGGATGCCAAGTGGAAAACTCTCTTTTTTCTAAGTAAGCCTTCTGAGAAATCCTTCATGCTTTTGTCAGCAAATATGCATCTAACCCAAGCCTCTTCCCAGCGCCTGCTTAACCAGGCTGCGAAAAAGTTGCATTTACCCAGTGGACCAGCAAGGGAGGTAGTAGGTGACAGCGTCAGTGAGTCCTATAACAAAGTAATGAACAACTTCCACAGACCAGAGCAGGGATTGATGTCACAGAAAACTTAGGAAGATTCTTAACTTCTAATATAACAACAGCAACTGATAATTATTGAGTGTCACATGCCTTAAGGAATAGCGGTCACGTGTCACATCATTTAATTCTCACAGCAGCCTTGTGAAGGGTCCCAAAGAATCTGAGGACCTGAGCAACTCAATAATGTTTCTTTTAGTTTTTCGAGGTCATATAGTTGATGTGAGGCATCCTAAATTCAAACCCAGAGCTGTCTGACTTCAAATTTCTCCCTCTATCCAGTCTCCCCAAATCTTGACTTAGAACAACACAGCTAAACAAGGTAAAATATGACTAATGCTTGGGGTAAATGTTCTTTCGAAGGGATGGAGGACTTAGGAGGTCTCTCAGTAGCCATGGTTCATCCTTTTTTGCTCTGGCCACCACACTGTAGAGTCATGACAGTCCTGTGCTAGTATTAAGAAAATTACACTTTTCTCAAGGTAGCTTAGTTTACTCAAGGCACTTTGTGTGTCTTAACAGTTTCCCAACTTCTCTTATCTTCCCTAGGAAGAAAACTAAAGATGCCATCAGGGTGCTTAACTAGTCTATATTTATTGAGAGCATGCCTCAGGGGTATTTTAGACAAAATAACCTCGTAACAGTGGATTTTTCCTGAGCAGAATCTAGGTTAAGAAGCTTTGCAGGCTAGTCTGTATAGACTGATATTAACTTTTCCATTAAGTAGGGCAGACTGAATTACTGTTTCAGAATTTGATGATGGATGAAGAAGCAATGCAAAAGTGACACCATCCTATATTTGTAGTGGTGACATTATCAATCCATTTCCTTTGTGTTGTTAAAGTAATGGGCATCCTAAAGAGACAAGAAATATTTTTTTTCTTTTATGTATGTATGTATGTTTTTTTTCTTAAGCATGTTGGCTGTGAAGAGAATCCGAAGGAAGCTGTCATCAAAACTGAGTTCTAAGCTCAGAAAAGTGACCACCGTGAACATCCCCAGAAAAGTGGTCTAGTACAGAAAACAAAGACCATGTCAACTCTATGAAGTTTCAGCTTCTGAACAACAGACAGAAAGGCACCGTTTCACTTGGGAATAAAATATGATTCCATTGTCTTAGGAATTACCAAGCGGCAGCATGTTCTATTAACATATTTTACTAATATGAAAGTTGCAACTCAAAGTTCAAAAACTATGTGTTGAACAACAGATTCCAGGGATGCGCCAGGCATCTGTCCCATTCGGTGAACAGGCCTTGGAACAGATGTCTCGAATGTCTTCAAATCCAGACATGCTGTCCAATTTTTTTTAGTGATAAACATACTTTCTTTCCTTTTTGTCACCGCTCACCAAAGTATTATATTTAATGCATAAAATATGTAAATTCTTAAACCATCATTTTGCTCTTTAGTGAGTTTAGATATTACAAAACGGTTTAATTATAAAAACAGACAGACCTAGTCCTGGGACCTGTGCAGCTAGAAATAAATGTGCAATCAAAACTGCAATTACCTGCAGAATTTAGTGTAAACAGATCAGCAATCACATAACAAACACAGGCTAGTTTGCATTCTGATATGAATACAGTTAGATCCAAAGCAATTTTCCTTTATTTATCTTAGCTGCTCAGCATAAATAAAGCAAGGGCATTGAAGCAATTAGCATAATTAGAGTATCGTGGTCAGGCCCTGTGTGATTTCAAGAGACGTTTCACTTTAGAATTCTTTTTCCCACACAAGAGTTTCCCTGAGCCACTAAAATATCGCTTTGGGCATTTTTGTATTTCAAATTTGCAAGTTGTCAGTTTGAAAAACCCTTGACACATGGATGTGAAAGCATCTCATAGACAGCCACAGAAGGTATACCCTCAGCTTTTCATTACTAAGAAGCAGGGGAATTTCCTTTTTCAGCTCTTTCTCCTACTTGACGTTTAACCCTAGAAATGTCAGTCTTAATTATTTCCATTGCCTTCAAACTGGGTCCAAGGGTTAAAGACAACTTGTTCCTCCCAAAAATAAATAAAAATAGGGGATGGGAGGGTGGGAAAAGGAGAGGTTATTTCATGGTGGTAGCTGAGCTGTTGCTAAAAAATCGAAGGCTCTGGCAACCAGCTTGCTACTGGTGATCAGACTTTCAGTAGCTCCAAATAATAAGGTAGAGATCAGAGTGGGGTGAGGAACTGCACATGGTTTCCTCGCAGGATGCTCTGCAAGTATGGGAAATATTCTCTGTATGGGTAAACAGTAAGCAGTAGATGAAGATAAAATTGGTCCGGTGAAAACACACAGAAGAAGAGGTTTTGTTTTGTTCTGTTTTGTTCTTTTATGTGTTTGAAGATGTCTGAGAAGACTATCTTTTGGTTGGAAGGTCCAAGGTCAGCCCCTTGGACCATTATATAGGTACCAGAACTCATACAGTCCAGTCAAAGGAAGTGTGGGTCTTAAAATAGGCTGTACTTTCCTTTAAAAATGATTTTTAAAACATACAGTAAAATTGACCCTGTCTGCAATTTTATAAATTTTAACGTGTTTAAATTAATGTAACCACCCATCACAATCTACATACAGAAAAGTGCCATAATTCCAAAGACCTCCTTTGTGCCGTCACTTTGTATCACCCTTACCCCAACCCCTGATGGCCACTGATTTGTTCTCCTTCCTTATAATTGTATCTTTATGAGAACGTCATATAAATGGAATGATACAGTATGTAAGCTTTCAAGACTGGCTTCTTTCACTCAGCGTAATGCACTTGAGACTCATATCGGTAATTCCTTTTTATTGCTGAGTGGTATGCCTATGTACAGCTGTACCACAGTTTTTCTGTTCAACCATTGAAGGACATTTGGGTTGATTCAATATTTTGGCACCGATGAGCAGAGTTGTTATAAATATTTGTGCACAGATTTTTGTGTGAACATAGACTTACATTTCCCTAGGGTAAATACCTAGGAGTAGGGCTTCTGCATTACGTGGTGTGTGTGTGTATATTTAACTTTCTAAGAAACTGCTTTAAGTGTTTTCCAGAGGGGCTGTACCATTTTGCGTTCCCATCAAGTGTTATTCTGCACTGTTGTCAGCACTTAGGATTGTCAGCCTTCTGTTTTTAATCTTAGCCATTCTGATAGGTGTGTGCTGGTATCTCATCGTGACTTTAATTTGCATTTTGCAAATGGCTAGTGATCTTCTACTGTGCTTACTTGCCATTTGTGCGTCCTTTTGAATCAAGTCTTGTCTGCCTCAGTCTCATGCTTACTTTAATTGGGCTGTTTGCTGCATTCAGTCTTAATTTATCTGTGCAAATGTTAGGAAATCTCAACTATGTATCCAGGTCTCAATTATCTTTGCTAATGCAGGCCCATTCAGAAACTCAGTGGTGGCCAATATAAATTATGAGTGAAATTCAGCTCACACCAAACAATCCAGGCTAAAAGGACTAATAAAAAGGAAAATCACATTACAGTAAATCAACTCCATTACTGAGCTTCTGATCTTTCCGTCCTTTTTAAAGTTCAATTCTTTTTTAAATAAAATTCCAAGTCCAGTCTCAGTTTTTCCTTTCTTTGGTCTCTGTCGAGCTTTTGCCCCAGCTGTAGCCAACATTTACTATTAATTAGAGATTAAATATTCTTTCTTTCTGGGAAAAGGTACAACCTCTTTGGGGTTCTCTTCAGCAGCTCTGGGATGGGGCAGACACTATGCTGAGTGATTTACCTGAGTCACTTCACTTCATCCTGTGAGGACAGGTGTTAGCTGTATTTCCTAAATTAAAAAACCCAGAGAAACAGATGATTTGTCCAAGCTCATAGGGCTCATAAATGGCTCAACCTAGGATTTGAACCCAGACCTCCCTGACTCTGGAAGTTCTCTCTTTCTGTGCAGCTGCTTAGTAACCAGAAATCTAAGATGAATGAAGTGATTGCATATAAGCTGTAAGTCGCTATTATCCACAGCCCTGGGAATAATATGTAAAAAGTAGGCGTTGTTCTCTCCCTTCCCTTTGAAAATTCCTTTCCTGTTGTGTAGTAAATGACCGCTTCCTAAAAACAGTAGTAAGATAAGGTCTCATTCTGCTTCAGGAAAGGAAGCAGTAGCCTTTCCCTGTCTAAGTTGACTCCCAAATTTTGTTGGTTCATTGTCCTAGAAAACCATGCTTACACTTTAAAGTGAGCTTTCAAAAATGATACTGAGTTATTTTAAAACTGAGATTGCACAAAGGGAGAGTTGTTTTCAAACAGAACCTCAGAAATGCTCTAAACAGCATTCCTTAATTCTTTAACTCAAGAGTTAAAGAACTAAGCATAATAAACATAACTGTAAACAGTGGAAATAATAGAAGAGAACCTTTTTATTTTCTCATGGTGGAGAAGAGCTTCTTATGAAAAGAAATTCAGGTATTATAAAAGACTGGCAGAGATGATTACTTTAGAATTTTTAACTATGTACAACAAAAGATACCGTAAATAAAATTAAAAGATAAATTGCAGACTTACAGAAAATATTACATCGTATAAGGCAAAGGATAAATAACCAAACTATATAAAGAGATCCAAAAATTCAACAAGAAGACAAACATGCCATTAGAACATGGTCAAAAGATACGAATGGAAATGTCACCAAAGAAATAGAAATGACCAAACAATACATGAAAAGACTTTAAATTAACAGCAGTGACAGATGCTTTTGCTTCACAGATTGGCCAAGTTCGAAAAGACTGATGGCATCAAATATTGGTGAGAATGTTGAGAAACTGACATTCCTGTTTGCTATTGATGAGAATGCATAGTTCTGATATTGAAAACAATTTGGCAAAAAGAGCAATTTCTCAGTATTATTAGAAGGGATCAAGTAATTCATTTTTAAAAAACACTACACTAAATAAATCTTAAAGTGAATCCATTGTGGCATTGCTTCTAATTGCCTCAAATTTTGAAACCATGCTCCATAGAGGAATGGTTAAATTTATTATGAAATACCATACTATTTACAAAAAAGAAAATCACACCTGTATGTGGTGACGTGAAAAGAGATCCGAAATGTATTGTGAGAATTTTTTTAAGGTTACAGAATTTACATATATGTTACACATCATATATACATACACATGTATATATACATATCACATGTCATATACACATGTATATATAAATGTATATGACAAATATTTAAATATATGACAAGTGAACAGGTATTTCCCTGATATTCTGCCCCATATATTAATGTGTTTATGCTTTAAAAAATAATACTCTTTACCTTAAAAATGTTACCAAATCTTTTTGTCATTTTATTCAGTTAGCTAGACATCATGACAAGAGTATTTGTTTATTTCATTTTATTCAGTGTCATAATCTAATATATAATCTACAGGGAGAATTTACAGCCGCCTGCTGACTATTATTGGCCAGTGTAACCAAATTAATAAGAAGACTTGCAAATTTCTGCTATGTGTGGTACTTACTATTTCACAGAGCAGTAAAAAAAAAAAAAAAAAACTCCTTATGTCAGTACTATTTCTATGTATGAACCATGGCATGCTGAAAGTGTCAGACAAAGCAACAGCTAGAGAAGTGGTTAACACTAACTCCAGAATGGGCCTGATTTGTATACTCTCTTGGATCCCATCCTGAAAATGATAAAACTGTGTATTTCTTTACATTGGGAGTCAGGATTTGTTGGCCAAATCCCTTGAATGACATAGTTGCTAGGAGCTGGATACTATAGAAACACGTGAGGAAGTCAGGAGTGTGACTACAATATGGTTTTCAGTGGACAAGTATTTTCAAGTCATAGAAATGGCTTCTTACCTGTCATTTTCCATTTGAGAAGTCCACAATAGTATGTAGTGAGAAAGTGTCTGCTACCTCCTATATATGTATAGTTGGAATCTTTTGTGAATTTCTTCTTCATACAACCTCCATGTGTGGTTATTTAATCGCATTTTTTCTATGAACCTCGTACATCTTATTTCTCTCTGAAAATAAATAGAAAGGGGTCTGAAGTTTCCACCGTGACCACACAGCGTGCACTCTGATGAGACTTTGGAATTTCCTGGAATGTCAGCTCTGTAACACACTCTAAGCAGTGACTCTTGGGGCACAGTGGAATGGGGGAATCCCTGCTATGATCACTCACAGTGGGAATGGACTGCCTCGGCTCTTGAGAAGTCCTCTTTCCAGGACGTGTGCTGTGTCTGCTTTAAAGCCACAGGACATAATGCTCATCATAAGAGGAACATATTAGCAAGGAGCAGTAGCAATAGAACTTGCTATTTTTCTCAGAGGATTCAATGAAAGATTTTGAAAAGAACTAAAAGTCAAAGCAAAATGTTTCTCTGACTTTATAGAGAGATGCTGTTTGAGCCTTTATCATAGAACAAGCAAAACCAAGCGTAGTATTTACTCAAATTCTATAATAAAAGTATATATACTGTCATAAAAAATATCACTTACACCTTTACTAAAAGAAATCTGGATGGGGACCTCACAGTAATTTTGAAATATCCCTTTTCACTATCATTCTAGGGCAGTACCCTTAGGCATATGACTTTCTAAATAGGCGCAAAATGTATTTGACTAGACTAGTATGAAGTTTAGTATAAGAAACAGTAAAATGGACACTTGAGTAGGACTGCTGTTAGAAGAGGCCCAGAGCAGATGCAAATGTGGCAAACCTTTTGGTTGAGTAACTTCTACAACAGTCTATAGAGTAGAATCATGTAGAGTATGCCTTTTTAAATTGTGTATCTATAAACTGTAGGTTTCAAGAGAACACCGACTATCTGCCTAGTTCATCATCTTCAGAGCCTAGTACCTGGGTTAGTTCCCAACACATAGTAGTGGCCCAATAAATACCTAATGAATTAATCAATTAACATGTTCATCAGAACATTAGTAGAATGCATCTCTGGATTATGGATGATTTTTTTATATTTCTATTTTTGCTTATTTGTATTTTCTGAATGTTGTTAATGAAGACGAATTACTCTTAAAATTTCTTAAGCCATTTTGCCATTATTGAAAGGTCTTTGGAACCTACTTGAACTTTTATACTTATTAGTTTTGTTAGTAAATATTTTATTCACAAAAATCTGCTTGTGCAGACATACAGTTTGAGCCTATTTTTCTATCAGCATTGATGGATTTAAACTGACCCAGCCACGCTCTCTGCCCTATCCCTCTGTGACTGAGAGTGCTATATATGTTTAGAGGCCACTGGTTAGCATCAGGAATACTCTCTTTGGCCATAGAACAGAGTAAAACCGCTGGAGAGAGGCCTCTGGCTCCTGACTTTGGCCTCGTATGCAAGTTCTCTAAACAGCTGAGCTAACCCCTACTAGTGCTAATAAGAGTTTGTAATTAGACCTGAGGTGAACAGAACTAAGCGTTCACCTCCAGCTCCCTACCGTTCCACAGCAATAATCAAACCTGAAGACATAGAGAGAGCTGTTTGATTCATAAATATGTAAAGTGGATAGAATGATACATCTCTGTTGAGGTTATGATATGAAATTCTTATTTGTAATTTTTTAAATCTTCAATGATAGATACAACAAAACTACAATTATTATTTGTTAAAAACCATAGTTTAAAATGTTATTTTAAAAGATTTTTATTTTCTATATGGAATAGGGTAATAATCATAAACAGTAGAAGAATAGAGTCATAATTTATGACTGTGCAGAGTGCTAGATTGTATTTTTTCCCAATGAAATGCAGAGATAGAAAAATATTATCATGATTTGTGTTATAACACTGGAGTCAGAACTAATACGAAGAAGTGTTTCCTCAACTTGATGCATGGGCTTTAGCTATGCAGTTCCCATCAGCACTAATGGGAGATTCAAGGCTAAACCACCAAGGATAAAAGCTAGACTATAATGCAAGATTTGGAGATGTTGCCCATTTGAGAACTGGTTTTCATTGTTATTTTATGTGCTTTTTTATGCTTTGGAGGTTCCTGCTGTTATGCTTTTAAAATTCTACTTTCAGATATGGTAAAAAGATAACCTTTCATAATAAATAGAAGATGTAGCCAAGTTTTTCTATGTTTACCAATAAAATTATATAACGGATTACAATTCCAACTAAAACATAGGTCCAAAGGTTTGACTAAGATATTGCTCAAATACCTTAGTCAAATTTTCTAGACATTTGAATTTTCTAGACATTTCACACAATGTCTAGAAAATTCAGTTACCCATCTCTTTGAAAAAGAAATTGGTGTATGTTTTCCTGACAGTCTATTCAATTACTGGTCTACTTTTTTCCTGAAATATTTTCATACTTCAGCAGTACAGCTATGTTACGAAAAAACAACAAAATCCCTAGAAGTTAATATATCTGACAGGAATGGTAAGTCAATATGATGGTGTATATCTTCCCCCTCCATGTAGACAATGTTCCTGGAAGGAAAATTTAATCTTCTGTGGCTAAAATAAATGAACATTTTTGTCTTCTGCTTAAGATCAATAAATGAGTAGATTTTGCCTACATTAATACTTCTGCTCTATTTTAATTGTTGTGTATTTAACTGATGGCAGCTTCCCTAATTTAGGGCACATTAGAATGTGCCAACCAATTCACTTTTGAGGATTAAAATGAAACAAATCAGTGTTTCACTTTGATATGCTCAAACAGAAAAAATCTCCTAGGGTGGATTATTGTTAATGGTAAAGTGGTAAGTGGAGGTTTCAACACAGGCATAAACTTTTAATTGGCCAGTTGTTTGAAAATATGGCTAGTTCATAGATTAATGGACGTTAATCAGAATTGTAGTTTCTTTATATTCAAACCAAAGCCTCTTAATATTAAATATACCAGTGAGATCATCAACCTTATTTTAAATGATCACACTGCGAGAGCCATCGTGAGTGGTGATAATGATGCTAAATGAGCAAGGTAGTTGAGAAAAATAAGCATACAGAATCATTCTCTAACTTCTCAATTATACCCAACCCCTAGAGCTCCACTGTGAAACCACTGGTGCTGGGAGAGTAGGGACCCATTTGACATTGGACGGGAAGAGCTGTGAGCTCGTGAGTCACTCCAGACACCCATGCCAAGGAGAGTGCTCTTTTGAGAGGCAAGCCACTGCAGAGAAGAGGGGAGCCTGGGGGCTTAAGGGCCTTATGGAGCACAGAGCACTGCTCGCCTTGACGATCTGAGCTAGCATCTGGAGTCTCAAGCTGGTCACCTTGCCTCAGCCAGGTGGTTCATGTAGCTTTTAATTATCAACAGAGCTTTAGTCTTCCCTGCCCATAAGCTAAGCATCGGGTTGTGGTGGCATAGACCATAAACCTGTGCAGACCACTTTACATTGGAACACGAATTAATGAATATATGAGTCCCTTTTGTGTCATTTTGGCCAACCAAAAAGAAACTCTTATTGTTATGTATGTAGGTACTGTCATGGGTGTTAACTGGTTGTCCTTATCCCATTCAGCCCCACTTTAAGGACCCTAGATAGTAGACCCATACAAGGCTTGTAGCTCAAAGGTCCTAAAGGACCCAATGGTTACTGGCCACTCCCACACAATAATACCAGAAAACTAATAATGCTAAACCAAAAGAACCTTGAGAAGTTCCCTCTGCTCAGAAGTATATGGCTAGAGTCAGACCTTCTTCTCCCTGCTCTGTTGTGCTGTTAGCACAGCAGCACTGAAACCAAAACATAATAAAACTCCGATATCCCTGCATTCAGCAGTTTACAACTCTCTTTGGAACAGAAGAGTAAAGTAATTCCTTAAGCAGTTTGTCTCTTACAGTAGTCAGTCTTGGACAGCTGTCAACAGAAAAACCCCAAGTTATCTAATATTAAAATCTGCTGTTGCAAAAAGACTTGTCACCTAAACCTTGGCATTAGGACTTATGAGAATTATTATTATTAATATTAGATAGCACTGACAAGTATTTGGAAAAGATAGGGTAACCTAGGAGAGTGGCATCCCGTTTCTCCTCAATACTGCCTTTGAATTTACTTACATAAAGGCTTGATTAAAATGAAAAGTTTTTGTTTTTCGGTAAGTTGAGAAAGCAGTTCCCCTGTAATGCAACCTTAAGACAGCACAAGTACTCATAATAATTGTAAGACCCTACACTTTTTTCTTGAAAATCTCATCAAACCTTACCCACCCCCAACATTCTATAATTTACAAATCTGTCATAGAGTCACATAAGATGATAGGATTTCTGTGACAAAGCATTTGTGATTTTATCTTTATTTTATTTGCTTTTGAGTTGTTTACTGTTTTCCTTATGCAGGCAACCTCTCAAGCATCATCTAGCTGACTCTTATTCTTTGTGTATCCTGCGGAGGGAGGGGGAATCAATGAAGCTCGTTGACTCTCAGGGGGAGAGGTGAGTGAGGGAGAAGAAGATTGTGTAGGGGAAGGAAACGTTTCCTGTCTCAACATTGCGGTGTGCATGGGCTGAGCCAGATGGAAACAGAGATGCCAACCTTGCTGCTCTGCTGGGTCTACTTTTCACTGAAGGAAGAGTATGGCTGGAGGCATAGCTAGGGAAGTGGAGGGCAGGGGTTCAGGGCAGGATTTTTTCAATCACCACTGAAATTGGAGAGATATGAACATGAACTCTTAAGAGGGAGGTGATGTGGTCTCCAAGAAGGCAATTAAGTAGACAAGAAGTGTGGGAATTAGGGATCAAAACTGTACGGCAAACAGGTTGAGTGGTCTTAGACAAGTTACATTTAACCTCAGTGTCTCATTTTCTGTATACCAAGCAGAGGTAGTGTTAGAATTAATTAATTTCGCAGGGTGCCTTGGGATCCACTGACGAAAGACTGGAGCAGTATAGAAGGAAGTTTCATGTTGCTGTTACGGTACTAGAAAAAGAAAAGACTCTCCATTTACTTTCTGCCCATCCCCAAGCCCCACGTCCCACAAAAAGAAGTGAAAGTAATGTGTTGGCTTCATCACCCAAGTATCCATGCACACTTTTCTTTCAAACCTTGCTTTGAAAACCAATGGCATGTTTCTATTGTTAACATTCTCTGTGGGCCTGAGCTTTCAATAATTTTATTCTAACCCTACAGTTAGTTCTTAATATTATGCAGGCTAATAAGGTCACTGTTTGGGGGGTTTGTCTTTGTTTGGTTGCTTGTTTTTTAGGATATTCTTCTATCATAACACTTGTGTACTAATTCCCCTAAACTTCTTTAAATTTCCTCAAACTTGACCTTTGAACAGAGAAAGTCTGCTGTTTCTGAGGCTGACCACGAATGCATCCTCACTCTGCCTTCACCTCTCTTTATGGTTGCTTTCTCTTTTTTGGCAGAACAGAAATTTCCAAGTTTTGTGTGTTTGCTTACAAATAAACGACTCAGCTGTGTCCGCATCCTTTGTGTCAATGTGAACATTCCCTTGTTCTATGTTTAGCTTGAATAATTACCAAACTGTTTGTAATGAGAATGTGAGGATGTGACCTCACAGCAATTTTTTCATTTCCTTTCTCTGTATTTAATACATTTCAGAAACTGAAAATACCAAATCTCTGTGCTTTTTTTTCTGATGCTTATCAGTAATGGAAACATTGCAAAACAATCAGCCCAATACCTATGCTTTGTTCATTTATTGCCTTCTCTGAAGATAAATGGACTGTACTCAACTCTCTTCAGCATTTTTCTTCACCTAGATATTATTGCCTTGTGCAGCCACCCCAAGGTGACTGTTATCACTTAATTAAATCCTTGCACGCTGGGAAGAAAAAACAACATTGTTCCTTCATAACCCCAAGGAGCCTATTTTTAAGCCACTAAGCCTTTTCCCTGTTTTATTAACTTATTCCTGGCTACAACAAGACATACTTTTGTTGATGAGCAAAAGGTTGTATTAGCTTTTTATTTTCTGGGTAAACTTATCTATTCTCTGGGAATAGGGAAAAAAAGAATGGGCATGACAAGAGAAGGGGGAAAAATGGGGTCTCTTCAACCTCCCTCGTTCTAGTAAAGGTCTCTGTAAACACTGAGCTGGAAACTAGAAGCAGGGGATTCAGGGAAGGGAACGAGAAAATAAAATGTAAACATAAAATGGGAACAAGACTAAAAGTAAAATGATGAGACTGTCTATTGGGGAAAACGTGACAGGTAGCGGACACCACTTTCAAGCTAAAGAAACCAGGCGTGGAAGTTGCATTTTTTGAAGAGGGATTATCTCCTGACACCTCTTTTTGTTGCTGGCTTGGACTAGCATCTTTTTATTAATCTCTTGTTTAATGCGTTTTCCCCCCCAAGTCAGGATTTCTTCTTTACTTTATGGTATTAGGCATCCATGATCAACCAGTTCTATACCCAGTTATGTTTCAAGGAATGAAAGAACTATTGTTGGGGTATGTTTAGAGGTGTGTGTGTGTGTGTGTGTGTGTGTGTGTGCATGCACACACACACATTAGTAATAGGAACACACAACCTGTAATCAGCAGTTCTAAGTGCAGCACTTGATATCAGAGTTCACTTGCTGCAAAGGAAGTTACTTGTTCATGCATAGTAAATTATGCACCTTTTAGTTTGTTTCTAGTCCATTAAATCTTGGGCCAGAAAATGGGTTTGTCACTTCTAAAATTTGGACCCAAGCAAGCATATGTGTTTATTCATGATGCTAAATCATTTTCCCACACACTGTGTTCACCAACAGAGTAAATGCCGCTTAAAGCTGTCATATTGGCAAGAGCAGTTGATGCAGTGACAGGCTGGGGTTGGATAGAGACCTGGTTCTTAAATAGTCAGGTAATTAAGATATCTGAACCATCCCTGATCACTGCCCACAGGTTACACTTTTCTTAGCTTCACGCATAGAACATGTGATTGGGAAAACCGATGCACTCCCTGAGACAGTGTAAGGATACTCGTTGGCTCAGTGGCTGTCTCTAAAATGGGAAGAGTGTGAACACCTCTAAGAGGATGTAAGAATGAGGCCAATAATGCCTGTGAAAATTCCTGGAATGAAAGGGCTATCTGTACAAACACCAGGAGTTTTTCTCTTGCTTGGTCCATAAGACCCTCCAATGCTTACTTGGAGTGGTGGAGGATCTTCATGCTTTGCCTTCTTGGATTTGGGTCAAATCTGCTGTAGTTTCCAATTTACCAGCTAAACCACAGACTGTGGGGATGTGCATACCTGCCCACTCACTGTAGTGGATTGGTTTAGCTTTTTCCCTCTGCAGGTTAATTTTTTTTTCTTTATAACAGCATTATAGACATCTCACTGAGGCAGGTTAGCCTCCGTCTCAAGACAGTGCCCTTTGTAGTAGCCACCTATTTGACTCTCACCCTGAACTATGTTTGTCTGAAGAGCTTGCTTGGTACCATGATGAAGTTAGTATGAATGTATATACATATTTGGCTGCAAATTTCAGTTTTGCTGGCCAGAAACTCTTCATGGCTTTCTCCTGACAACTTTAGAACACAACATATATTCACAAAATTAGTGATCATTTAGTGTCTGCCTGTCTCTCACACCTCAACGTTTAGGCAGGGTCTTTCTCAAGCCATACTCGCCAGCAGTATAGGTCTGGCCTGTGAGACTGTCAAACCAGGAGGCAACACAGTTTTCCTCAGTTGCCCTTTTTTTGTCCTCGAGAGTCCTCACTGTCACTTCCTTGAATCCTTTCCCACCCCAGTTATCCACACGTCATCTGCCCTTCCTGAAACAGAGAGGTGGCTGCTGGCCTTGGCAGACAAGCCTCCTGTGTGTTCTCGTCGCCCCTCAAGCTCCTCCAGGTTCAGGGATGCAGTCCTTTCAGCCGTTTCCTATTAGTCTTGTTTTTCAATCATCTCATCATTTTTTTTCAGTTCCCTTTTGAGCCCTTTCTAAGTTCTTCTTTCAATAAAGTGGCAATCCCCAGAACTGAATTTACTTGAGATCTAAACAGTGCCAGATAAGAAGAAAAATTAACTTAGGATTCTAAAATCAAATGTCCATGGCTTCCACTTTACAGGCATTTAAGTAAAAAATATTGAGTTGATCACTTGCCCCGTGTAAACAAAGAACTGGATGGTACACGTTTGCCTGAGTGCGCACGCACATGATGGGAGGGAGGTGCTGGCCTTCTGCAGGGCCACAGAGAGCAAGAGATACTCTCACAGACACTGTGACCACTGCTTGCCAAGCATGAGGCAGCCAGCAGCCTTGAAGTCACTCACAGGCCTCAGTGCGTGGGTGTTATTTGAAGGTAGACAGAACTGGACTTGGGAAAAATTGTCAAGGGGATGAAAGGCTTTAGCATCAGGTGTTTTCTTTTCTCCTTCCCCATCACCCCCAGACATGCCCTCCTGTCCCCATGATGATGAACGTGCAGGCCAGTGCTTTGTGCTTGGAGGGCACAGTTGCTAAGGGAACGCATGCTGATGAAAAGAGAACCTTGCCAAGTGTTCATTTCCTCCTTCCCTCATCTCTTTCTGTGTTCTCATGACCCAGCTCTCATCTGAAACACAAACTGAGTTTGAGGAAGCTTAGGAACAGTCTCCCCTCTAGCCCACACCCATTTTCATCTGCTTCCAGTTATATATGAAGAGGGGACAGTGGAAATAATCCAGAATCAGTATAAACCCATTATACTGCTAGTATGTTTAAGTAGAAACTTAGCAATAGAAGTATGTTGCTATTGCTATCTTTACTGTTTTAGTACCTAGAACCTTCCCATTCTTTCTTCACATTCTTTATAGATTTTATATCAGTCCATTACACTTTGGCCTGAAGGAGTGTTCAAATACAACTGATTTTTCTGGGACTACTAGATGTCTGTTTCCAGTATTTGGGGGGCATAGAAGAATTCCTTGAGGGAAAGAGTGGCCCAGGAGTCACCCTTTGTAAAACACTGCACCCACAGAATGGGATCTACCCAGTGGATTATGATCCACCAAGGTTTGGCTTAAACCACACTTAGCTGACTGTCAAGTCCAGCCACCTCCTCTAGGTTGGCTTCATCTCAATCAGAGAGGACAACAATCATCTTCTTGTCCCACCTCTGCTTTGAACATCACCTTGAGCACTATCATTCTGCTCTATGTCTCAGGGAATTCAAACCTACAGGGGAGTGAGTGGCAGCTGTTTGATATCAAAAACTCAAGAATCTCTGCCATGAAAGAATGGGGTCCAAGTCAATTGCACTACATGCTGCATGGCAGCCTGAATTTCAGTTCCCAGCTGTGTGATCTCACTTTCTTCATCTCAGACAGGTATGGCAAAGTGCATATATATATATATATATATATATATATATATATATATATATATATATATATATATCTATATCAGGAATAGGTGCTGAGGATTGAGTGGGTTAGTTCATGTAGAGTCCTTCTCCCAGGGTCTGGCACAGAGACCACCTCCATAAATGCTATCTGTCACTGTTAATATTATTATTAAAATCTTTTTATGATTTGGGGTCTATTTATTTATATTTAGAGACAGGGTCTCACTCTGTCACCCAGGCTGAAGTGCCGTGGCACCATCATAGCTTGCTGCAGCCTTGAACTCCTGGGCTCAAGCATTCCTCGTACCTTGGCCTCCCAAAGCACTGGGATTATAGGCATGAGCCACTGCACCCAGCTCTGGTGAATATTTAATACACATACATATATATGTGTGCCATAGACTAAATTGTGCCCCCACCACCAATTTATATATTTAAGCCCAAATTCCCAATGTGACAGTGTTTGGAGATTTTAGGAGGTAATTAAGGTTAAATGAGATTTTAGGGATAAGGTCTTGATCCAGTAGGGTTTGTGGTCTTATCAGAAGACGAAGACAGAGAGAGCGCTCTCACTATGTCTGTCTCCCACCATGCACACACATCAAGGAAAGGCCATGTGAGGACACAGCAAAAAAGGTGAGCCACACCCTTCCACAATCTAGGAAGAGAGACCTCACCAAAACTGAACCCTACAGGCACCTTGACTGTGGACTTCCTGGGCTTCAGGCCTGTGACAGAATAAGTTTCTGTTGTTTAAGTCACCCAATCTGTGGTATTTTTTTATGGCAGCCCGGGCCCACTAAGACAACATATGCATGTATGTGTTTATGTGTGTGTATTATATATATATATATATATATATGTATATATAATATATATGTGTATATATATATTATATATATGTGTATATATAATATATATATGTATGTATGTATGTATATATTGTGGTATGTGTATATAGATCCTAGAATAGTTCTTATTTTAAAATGGTCATGCTTATAAAAATCATTTTTCTCCTATGTCTCTGTTTGATTCTTTTCATCTTCTCATTGACATTAATGTTCTGCCCAAGTGTCCCACCCTGTATTTCCTTAATTTGTCTCTTTCCATTAATTTCTGCAATCCCTGAAGTAAACAAAGTCTTTCTCTCCCTTAAAATTGTTTGTCTCCAAACTTGTTTTTTTGAGTTGTAAAGGGAAATATTTTTGACTATGA
Source organism: Homo sapiens (assembly GCF_000001405.40). Taxonomy (NCBI): domain Eukaryota; kingdom Metazoa; phylum Chordata; class Mammalia; order Primates; family Hominidae; genus Homo; species Homo sapiens. The sequence goes on from NC_000014.9 coordinate 33,545,165, forward strand.
TGAAACCTTATCTCAGACATGACTATTGAGTTTTTTTCTTGCTGTAACATTAGTCTCCTGTCTCCTATGTAACACATTTAGTTTAACTGCCCTTAGTAGATTATCCTACACTTCCAAGTGTATTTTTCTCCTTACGAGTAGATAAAACCCACAATTACTAGCAGACATTCTTCCTAAATCAGGGTCCCAAGTCAAGTAATAGTCATCATGGGCACCATTTATTATATACCTGCTGTACGATGACACTTTTACGTGTGTTAACTCCAATCATCTCAACAACTCTATTGACTGAAATGAATAATATATAGATGTTGTTCTTTACATTTTCCTATGAGAAAACAGTGAAGTTGTTAAGTCAGAATTCTAGCTCAGGTCTATTTGAGTTCAAAGCTCGTGTGTCCTTTTGCATTACAGCCTGCTGCCTCTTGAAATGTTTGAAGTGTTCCCATTTCAAAGCTGAACATGGAACTTGTTCAGCTCTGGCCACATAGGCTCTTTAGCATCACTGAAGGAATTGAGAAAACAAGGCCATAGATTGTTCCATCTTCTCTATCATTGTCTCATTTTAGAGTCCCTCTGAATCTGACCAGGGACTTTCTGATAGAGTCATGGTTTTCATGGTGAAGAAAACTAGAGGGTGCGGTCAAGAGAGGTCACTGTATAGTGCCAGATCTGTGAGCCATAAGATATGGCCTCTGGCAGTGTATCTCCCTTGCTGAGGATTTTTTCAAGAGCTGAAGCAAGTCCATTCCTGCTGAAAGCCACAGAATGTGCTCCTTAGCAATGATCGCAGTCAAGGGAACCTGCTCTCAGAAGTAGTTCATCTGCCTGATGCATCTCTTCTTCATTCCTCAATCCTCTTCTTCTGGGGGCTCCTGTTAAGGCCTTCTGACTCTAGAAGCCTCCTCTGCCACACCTCTTAGTGAGGCCAGGAGTCTACCTCTATAGCATAGAAACCCCTGCCTGTTTTCTGGTGCTTTACCTAGGGCTGGAACGATATCCAGATTCCCATTTTTGTGAGAACCCTGGAAAGACCCTAGGCAGAGATATGAAAGAATCCATTCTCTTTAAACTACTCTGGCTGCTTACTGCATCTGCAATCCTGTTGTCGATTGACTTATGCAGAAAAGTGGTGAGAAGAGTCCTAATATTTCAGCCCATGTCCTCCAACACCGCAACACTTCCTCTACCAGGCATCACCCTGTAGCTAAGTGTTTAAGCCTATGAATAATCCGTTCAAACTTCCTAATATACTATAAGGGGCATTAGTAATAAGTTTCTTCCAATCACTTGCTGGATAACTCCCTACATCTACCATTTCCTTGTGTGTGTTCTAGTAAGCCAAAAGATTTCAGCCTTGAAGAAGCAAGCATAAATGATTTGTGGCAGATCCTGTAGGTTTTACTCTGTATAGTAAGCTATGTGGGACAGGGATTTTTATCCTGCTCAATATGTTGATTTTATGTGATAGTTTTGAAAATTTTAATTGTGATGACATAGTTATCACTAGGGGCCCCAATATAAAGACTTGCCTTTTGAAAACTGTGAAGGAATGGATTTCTTTGCTCATTGCCTGTGAGGATACGTTACTTGCACCTTGCTGAGCTTACGAGAAAGAGCTGAGCTTGTTGCATTATACAGTATTGAGATTAATGCTAGTCACTAGCTCATGTGAAATTAAGGATGTTGATAAACTGCAGACCTATGTCTACGTCTAGTACATTAGGCCTGCCTTGTGGGTCATGTCTGTGTGCTGTTTAGGAAAAGGCAAAATAATATTGGCTAACACTTTCATGAAAGGCTCCTGTCGTGGCAGGAAAGGAGTCAGAAAGGTAAAAATCTAGTGGAGAGGAGCAGCAAATGTCTTAAGCAAGTATAGTTAACCTGTAATGAGAGTAGAAGGCACATACAGAAAATGATAAAGACTTAAGGTTGTGTTTGTAAAACCCTTAATATATTTTTATTTGCTTTGGGATACAAGTCTTCCATTTGGTCTCAAAGGCCAGTTTGAGTCTTTAAGGACTCAGTCCTTTAGGGGAAGTCACTTTTCAGGCTGTGACACATTTAAGTAGAAATTAAAGTAGGTCATCCTGCTACTAAAGCACAACCCCCAAGCAAGACAATAAAACAAATCTGACTTGTTGGGAAGGGTCAAGGCTAGAATGAGCAAATCTCATTGGAGGCAAAAAGAGTCTATCCCCAATATTCAACCCTATGAAATTTACACTAGCCAACACAAATTCAGAGCCATTCTTGGTCTTCAAAATTTGTCAGTAATCATTATACACCCCCTGAGTCAGATGTATAAATGAATTCAGAGTTGGTTCACTGCCCTGGGTTCACATACAAATACATTTAGAGTAGGATTTACGGGAACATTGGCTGCGAAGTACGGTCCACGCTCTCCCTGCAGCCATCAGCCCCTCTTTCACTAAATGGATGAATGCAAAATGCAAACCAAAAGATGAAAGGAAAAGTGAAGAAGAAACAGAAGAAAAGTATGAAAAGGGAACTAAAATAAGAACATAGAAGGGGCACAAAGACAGCTGGTCCCAAACCTGTGCACTGTCGTTTTCCAGGCTATACCATCTGACATTGTACTTCCTCACTTTTTCAGGCTACTGTCATTTGTCAGGGAGGTTGCTATTTACTTAGAATCTAAGTTAGGTCTAAGCAACAGTTGTCAGGGGGATTCATTCTTCTTAAATTATTGGGACTTCATTCAAAATATCCTACAAGTTTGTATAAGAGTCTGTGGAAATTTTCTCAACTGTGAAGTTGATCATCTTGTAGTCTTCTGATTCTAGACTAAGATAACTACTACTGTAGTAATGAAAGTAAGTATTAGTTCATGTGCCCAGCTCTTAAAAGAAATCAGGCGGAGGGCCAAGTGAAAAAATAATACTTGGAAATTAATCAGTATCTTTATCCCTTCATGCAATCGTTGTTGGGAATTCGGATGCCTTTGACATCGAACATTGAGAAAGACTAAGTAAGAGGTGACAGCTGTGGCTGAACGTATTATTGCTATATATGGTTGAGGCCACTTTAGTCTACAATTAGTCTACAATTCTGCATGCTAATTTTAATAAGGCTAATAGTCATTGAGATGTAGACCGTCATTCATCAAATGTAGTGAATGGTGGAATATATCCATTTTTAAATTATTTTTGTTCTAACACATCTTCAGCTATTTAAGACAAAAGAGTGGGTAAATAATCATTGTGCACATTAGAATTATACTGAGATTATCGATTCAAGGTTTCTAGTGAGTGGATTATCAATATGACCAACTCCAGATTTCTTTTGGAATTACTTTCGATGAGCACATCAGTGTATTTGAATAGATCATGCATAACCTAGATTATTGGTACAGCAAATCCCTTGTAGGATGTGTAATGCTATGGCTGTTATACAACTTCAGTAAACCACATTGTTCTAATTCACTGAAAGCAGTTTACCCAGCGATTACTCAGGTGTGTTAGGTGATAAGGGCTCTGTAGCAAAAGTAGATTGTTTTGTGGCAATCTATTCCAAATAGCCCAATTCAAAATGCACACTAAGTTATACCTTCCCAGCAGGCTAACACTCTGTGCTGCTTAGGAAAAAGCAGAATGACAAGGTCTGCCCTTTGTTGGCTGAGATGCCAGCTACTGACCTCTGACTTCACCTAAAGAACCTAAGAAAGGGAGAGATCACATGTGTTGATAGCACTCTGGAACAGAGGGAAAGGAAAGGCTTTATCTGGACAAAAGCTATTGACACTTTCTTCTGCCCTGGGACATGTATATGGTAGCATTATTAGCTCCAACAAATGTTTCATCCCCAGTTAGTAATTACAGGAGCATATGTGAACATGTTTATATTTATTTATAACCAAATGTCCAGGCATCTCAAAATATATAGAACAAATCTGTGTCTGAAAAAAATGACCATCCAGTGACAATTCATGTACTAGATATAATTTGCTTTTTGATACCCACAATCTATTACTTGCATAAAACCTTTCACTTCAAGACAGCACTGAATTACACCTTTTCAAATATTTTTTAAACAAATTTGAGCACCTATTTTATTTTACTTTTGAGACGGGGTCTCACTCTATCACTCAGGTTGGAGTGCAGTGGCACAATCTCGGCTCACTGCAAACCCTGCCTTCCAGGTTTAAGCGTTCCTCCCACCCGAGTCTCCTGAGTAGCTGGGACCACAGGCATGTGGCACCAGAGCCGGCTACATTTTTTTGTATTTTTGATAGAGACAAGGCTTCATCATGTTGCCAGGCTGGTCTCAAACTCCTGAGCTCAAGCGATTCGCCTGCCTCGGCCTTCTAATGTGCTAGGATTACAGGCTGAGTGCCTATTTTAAAGAAAAAAACAATCACAGTGATTATTTGATACATCAATCAGATGGCTAAAACAGAAGATATGTGAGTCTATTATCTTTTGCTGTCTGATATGATAGGTCAGAAAGGCACAGAGATGGTCAGCACAGTGGTTTCCATGGTTTAGTTACATTCCTTGCCTTATTCAAATCACCTTAATATATCTGCGTTTACCTTCAAGGCAGTCACTTTAGACATTATTTTCATATTTTAGTTAGTTATACTTACCTTCTTCATAGACAACTTCATTCCCATGATTCCTGTTAAAACTCATTGAGATTTCGGTGTAATCACCTTTTGATCTTGCAAATTCAAGTAATGAATGGCCAATCCCTCTTCAGTGATAGCACTGAATTCATTTCCAGCCAGAATAGTCATCGAAGTACAATCAGAAAGAGGAAGAAAATTCCAGTTTCTCTTTTCACTTTTTAAAAAACAAACAACAAAAGATTCACTTTAGGAAGCCAGTGGAAAATACCAGAATTTGATTTTCTTCTTTACTAAATCATTCCACAAGATTACCAACACCAAAAACCCCATATCTCAGCTCAGTCCTTTCATTCTGTTCCTCAATTAGACCACAGAGAAGCCAGGATCAATACAGCCAAGCACCACTGTTGTTTTCTTTTGTTATTTGGGGTTTGTTTTGTTTTGTTTGAGACGAGGTCTTACTATGTTGTTCAGGCTGGCCTCGAACTCCTGGGCTCACACGATTCTCCTGCCTCAGCCTCCCTAATAAGCATTACTGCTTTTAATTGTATAAATTAAGACTGTCATTTAATGTACACTTAGCAAATTTGGTCCTAGCAAATTTCACAAGCTGAATTGTTCTACTTTGAAGGATGCCATCAAGAGCGTCACTGATGAAGATTTCTTACGATATTAGTTGTTATGTTCTGGATATAAGCAAGTATGTTAGCAAACCATAAAAATCTATAATCTTTTTTACTTCTCATGTGTTACATAGTCTGGCACATGGGGATAAAAGCAGAAGCATTTCCATTTCTTTGGAGCCTTGAATAGGATAAGAGCTCTGTGGACAGGCAGCGTACGCTGGTCCTTCTCACCTAGACTCAGCAGCCAACTGTGAAATGAAAGAAGGTTAGCAAAGCAGCCGAGAGCCATAGCAAATGGTAAACCATGTTGTTTATCCACAGATCATTCAGGACCAGGTCTCAGGTCCATCAGAATAATTAACTTCCCTATAAATATGTATCTCTGCTTCATATGAAGCTAAATTCTGGAGCTAAGGCAGTGAAGCAACATAGCCTCTAAGCGTCTGGAATTCACAGAAAACCAATATAAAGATTTCAGTATTGTAAAGTGAAGGACCCAGAAGAGGTGCAGTTACTCACAAAAAATTTTAAAAACAATTCTAAGCATTGTTGACTCCAGGAACTAAATACTAGTTTCTATTATCAGCCCATCATATTTATAGCTGTATGTGGTTCTACTAAAAATTAATTGTTAATTATATGAATGATACATAAAATAAAGAGCAAAGAACCTATTTACAATGATTTCCTGAAATTAACATAGAAGGGTTTCATGGCCTATGAAT